>NC_000014.9:59005652-59308682 GCF_000001405.40 Homo sapiens
AAAATCATCAGATCTCATGCGACTTATTCACTATCACAAGAACAGTATGCAAAGTGTCCATTCCCATGATTCAATTATCTCCCCCAGGTCCCTCCCACAACACGTGAGAATTATGGGAACTACAATTCAAGATGAGATTTGGGTGGGGACACAGCCAAACCATGTCAATGTCTTTCAGGACTGTGATACTAAGGAAATCTCTTTTTGGCTCAAGCCATGAGCCATCTTTCAGTCTCCTTTCTAGTCTTAGACCAACTCTTGCAGTATTTCATGGATAGTGTTTCACAGTTTGGCCATATAGTTTGTGGCATTGACAAATTGTCAATCACATTTTGTCTCTGTCGTTTTCATTTTTAGACAACAGACAGCAAAAACTTAAGATGTTACTTGATGAAATTTCTGGATCCTTATTCTAAACCCAATCCTGAAGACACCATAGAAGTGAGAGGGAAAATGGTACATCTAAGAAGATACTGGAAAAACTAAAAAGTCTCTGAGGAGACCGAAGTTGGCTGGTTCCCAGGTTCCAGCTGAAATGATAGCCTAGGAGAGGAAAGGGCAGGGGGTCACAGATGGAGGAAGCGTGAATGCAGAAGGAGGGCCCTGAGAGGCGGAGGTTGCAGTGAGCTGAGATCATGCCACTGTACTCCAGCCTGGTGACAGAGCGAGACTCTGTCTCAAAAATAAATAAATAAATAAATAAATAAACAAACAAACAAATAAATAAATAAATAAAATTAATTAATTTAAAAAAAGGAGGGCTCTGAATGGATCTTGCCTTCTCTGTCACATCTTGAGACAAAAAGAGAAACCTAGGTCAGTGTGAGTAACACGATGGCAGTGTTTGAGCCCAGGGGAAGTGGGGAGGAATAAAATAAGTGCAGACAATTGAGTTGGCCCTGGACTCTGCCACCTCCCTTGCCTCTCCCACTGTTCCACACTCCAAGAACAAGTACTTACAACTGAGGAAGACAGTTGTAAAAAAGAAAAGTGTTGGAGTACTGGGATGGACAGGCCTCAGAGAGGAGGCTGGGGTAGCAAATTGGAGGCCAGATTGTGTAGTCTTGAATATTTCTTAAGATTATTGTGCATTCCCTTTATGCATTCTCTTTAAGGCTGGGAACAAAAATAGACTTTCTCTACTTTCAATCCTGATCAACATAGTGTTGGAATCAGCCCGTGAAATATGGCAATAAATAAGAGGTTAAGGGTTGGAAGTGGAGAAAGTAAAATGAAATGAAAACCGTAAGATCATTTACATTTGAAAAAGCTTCATCAACTAAAAAACTGTTAGAACTAATAAGAGAGTGTAGCGGGTTTTCTTAGCCCATGATATTTCTTTACACCAGCAATAACTAACTAGAAAATGCAGCAGAAATGCATTATCCACAAGAGCATTTTAAGAAATCTGAGGTACATATTTATAGAAAATAAACACTTTATTATTTTTCTTCTGCCATTCTTTTTCTCTTTTATACTGGTTACATAATGTGGTTATAATGGTTAACATTAAAATGTTTCATAATTTCCTTGATATCAAAGCAAAGTTGTTACTGTACTAGAAGAAGAATGAACAGCACCCAGAAATGGAAATAATCTTTAACAAATCCACAAAACTTTTATAGAGAAAATTTAAAAACATTATCGTAGGACATAAAAGAAAGCCTAAATAGAGAGCCATACTGTATTCATTGATGGACAACTTAATATTGTAACGATGTAAATTATCCCAAGATCGTTCTATAAATCCAATGTCATTTTAATAATAAATCCAAGAGTACTTTTGAGGCTTTTATCAAATCCATTAAAAATGTATATGTAAAAAGAAAATCCCACTGATAAAATCTTGCAGGGACTTGTCTTATATTAAGGACCAGATCTTTACTGTATTCAAACTTAACCTATCTGAATAGGCAATCTTAGATTCCCATTTTACTCCTTGAAGATTTTCAACCATTTATGGTACCAATTACCACACGGGCCAGTCTTCTTAGTTGACAACAACAGAATCCCCTCTATTTTGAGCAGAAGGAGGTTTATTAAAGGGTATGAATAGCTCATGGAATCATTGGAAGGGCTGACAAAACAGACTACACTGAGCATCCACGATGTCTGTCTTGACACCCTTAACAGCATCCACGCACACTCTCTTCCCCATTCTCAAATTTTGAAGAAACAGCATGTTCTTACCTAATATAATGCAACTAACCTCACACAAACTTATTCAATTTTCCTGCAAAAGGATATACCAAAATCTCAACATTTTAAAGCAATATGCCACTTTATGACCATTAAATTATCAAAAAGTAGAAAGGTACTATCAAATATTAATGAGAAGGTGGGGAGACAAAAACTCTCATGTACTGTTGGTGAAAGAGTAAACTGGCTTGGTTGTCCTAAAAAGCAAGAATAGGTACTAAAGTACTCAGGAAAATTAAGAATGTATATATGACAATGGAATTTCACTCCTGGATTCATATCCTAAGGAAACTCTTTCATAGTCTTTTTATAGACTCATAAAAAGACTATATAAGGATATTCATCATAATGTGTCTAGTTACAGTGAGGAGTTGGAGGTTACACTGGGAAATCATGAAGAGAAAATGGCAGATGCGCACCACAGAAGCAACACATTTGATGCACATAGAACAATGTGGGTAAATCTGAAAGGCATAATGTTGTCCCACAAGTAAGAAACAAAACACTGTCTATACCACAGTGCCATTATGTAAGTTAATACACACATACAAAATGTACTTATAAGTATCTAGTCATACAAAAGGGCACATATCAAGCACATTGAAGAAGGTAACCATGTGGTAGAGAGAATGGAAGTGGGAATAAGAAATAAAGTAGAGAAAATAATAAAAATGATGAACCTTGCATATATATGTCAGGATGGTGAACTCCACACAAATAAATGGGGTTAGTTCAACTCCACACCTGGTGGTTTGGGTTAGTTGGGTTTTTGTTGTTTTTATTGTTTTTTTTTTTTTTTTTACAGCGGAGATATTCTGTGATTATGGCATCCCATTTTCCCCAGTTAATTATAATAATTAAAAATTTAAAAATTGCTCCAAAGGTACAGATGTATTTTAATTTTGAAAATAGTCCTGACTCATCTGTGTCTCTAAGGAGACTTCACTAAATCTTCAGTCTTATTCATCTCCAAGCTGCTTATTTTCTTGATTCCATCTAATCTTGGCAAAGGAAAGGGAAGGTTAGAACAATCTTTCAAAACTTTGAAAATAGTTCTAATTGCTCTACATTTAGACAAAGTTACTGGTTACTTAATTGTCACTTAGAGCTCTTTTTGGATAGCAGGCAGCCATTCTAGGCTATAAAGGTGGTTTCATGGAAATGTTCCTTCCTTGACAGAAGGAAGACGTTGGAGAATTCACATGCTATTTTAGCTGGCTCTGTGATTGCAATCACACAAATCATTACATTCCAGCGAGATCCCATCAACAGAAGGTTTTTCCATTTCAGTCTGTCAAGGTAAAACATTATCTTTTCATTTTCTGTATACTCCAGGATATCAAGAAATTATGGAATGTAAGCTATACTTACAATAGCATTTTCTAAGTCTACCTTGATGGTCAGAGGTAAGAAAAAGAGAGAGGAAGAGAGCTTTTTTGCTCTCAGTTACATTAAAATATTCATTCAGGTAAAAAATATATATATTGGATTGGCTTCCTTTTATTCAAGTTTTATAATTTCCTGCAATCTCACTTCATGAGTTAATGTTGCAGAGCAAGATAATGATTGTCTTCTAGAAACCTATGTAGTGCCATAGAACCAGAATGGGTGGGTGCAAAGAACAGAAATGAAATTAGAAGGTTAATGGACTGCAGATTTTTCATGCATTTTTCCAGATGTTCATTCTGGCCTTCTGTTCCTTTCTTCAGGACTTGTATTTATGCACATGTAACACCATGAGGAATCAGATAATACAAACAGGGAATATCTCTTGGGCTATTCAGTTTTGGCTTTATATTTCAACTATGTTGATGACTGCTGGTTACATTTTTACTCAATTTAGGTGGTCTGATTTAAATGTAGGAGATCACATAAGGGATGGTGGGAATGGGTACCTCAAGTGAAAGCTTTTACATTCAGTAATGCAGATTTAATTGCTCAGGATGCTCTAGCCTGGGAAACTCAGCTTATCCAGATTTCCTGAGAACTGATCATTGCTAAGAATTTTCTGAGGTCTGGTATGTGTGGCCTCCATTCATACTGAGGGAAGACTGTCTCTTAGGAGCAGAGGATTGCTTAGCAATTGAAAACAGAATTTTGTCTTTTTAGAAATTAATAATGTAAGATATAAGCCCTTTGGCTATTAAAAATATTTCTCCATACAGGCCAGCCCCTTCAGCCCCAGGCTGCAGGTCCACCAAAGGTTTCAGACCAGCCCAGATTCAGGTTGTCCCACATAACTCCACACTTTGAACTTTCCCTAGTACCAGGTAAACACCCCTGGCCTTGGGCATGAGGCCAGAACCTATAGACATAAGCTCCAGGCCTGCCCAATATCAGGCTAGTCCCTAGCCCCTGCAGCCTTATACTCCAGCAGACTCAGGTTCCAGGCCCATCACAGTAGATGTCAGTGCCAGACTCACCCCCAAAGACTGAGGCACCAGGTCAACTCCTCAGGCTGCTAGACTGTACCAGTGGACCCAGATCAGGTACCAAGCCCACCCACCTGCTGACCCAGGCACTGGGCCAGCCTGCTTAAGGACTTTAGTAGCAAGCTCACCCACAGACCATGCCAGGCATCCTGCAGAGGATATCTGGACGAGCTGACTGGTGAAGTGCATTCTCAGACATAGCCAGTCTGAAAAGACTGCAAAAAGTGCCTTCTTCTTCAAATGCACAGACAACAGCACAAAGCAATAAGAAACACGAAGAAAACAAGGATATAACACCACCAAAGAAACACAATAACCTCAAAATGAAAATATTAAAACTGCCTGACAAATAATTCAAAATAATTGTTTCAAGAAAGCTCAGGGAATTTCATAAAAATACAGATAGGTAGTACAACAAAATCAGGAAAGCAATAAATGACCAAAATGATAAATTTAATAAGGAGATTTAAATCATTTTAAAAGTCAGATTTGGGAGCCGAAAAATATAAAGAATGAAATGAAAAACGCAATAGAGGGCATCAGCAGCAGAACTGATAAAGCAAAAGAAAGTATGAACTTGAAACAGGTTATTTGAAAAATAAAGACAAGGAAAAAGAATCAAAAGGATTGAAGAAAACATACAGAAATTATGGGACAGCATCAAAAGAGAAAATGTTTGGGTTACAGGAGCTCATAAAGGAGAAGACAGAATAAAGAGGTAGAAGCTTATTAAAGAAATAATAGCAGAAAACTTTCCAAATCTGGAGAAAAATATAAATATCCAGATACAGGAAGGTCAAAGGTCTGCCATCAGATTCAATTCAAACCAAAACCACACAAAAACTGAGAACTGACCAATGCAACAGAAATTCCTGAGGTCTAGTATGTGTGGTCTCCATTCACAACTGAGGGAAATCTGTCTCTTAAAAGACAGTCTATTGGAAACAGAATTTTGTCTTTTTAGAAATTAATATTGCAAGATATAAGCCCATTATAATCGAATAGTCAAATGTCAAAGACAAAGAGAGGAGCCTGAAAGCAGCAAAGGAAAATAATCAAATAACATATGAAGGAATTCCAAAAAGACTAGCAGTGGATTTCTCAGCAAAAATTGACAGGTCAGAAGAGAGGAATTATATGTTCAAAGTGCTAAAGAATGACACCTTCAACCAAGAGAACTATACCTGACAAAGCTGTCCCTTAAAAATGAAGAAGAAATCAAGATGTTCCCAGACTAACAAAGGGAGTTCATTAAACCAGGCCTTTCTTTATAAGAAATGTTAAAAGAAGTTCTTTAAGCTGAAAGAAAAGGACACCAATTAGTAACACAAAAGCATGTGAAAGTGTAAAACTCACTGATAAAAATAAGTATGTTATTGGGCCAGGTGCAGTGGCTCATGCCTTTAATTCCAGCACTTTGGGAGGCCAAGGCGTGCAGTTCATGAGGTCAGGAGATCGAGACCATCCTGGCTAACATGGTGAAACCCCATCTCTACTAAAGAAAAATACAAAAAATTAGCCAGGTGTGGTGGCACGCGCCTGTAGTCCCAGTTACTCGGGAGGCTGAGGGAGGAGACTCACTTGAACCTGGGAGGTGAAGGTTGCAGTGAGCTGAGATGGTGCAACTGCACTCCAGCCTGGGCAAGAGAGGGAGACTCTGTCTCAAAAGAAAAAAAAGTATATTATCAAATTCAGAATATTTTAATACTGTAAGATTCATTTGCTTCTTTAGTATAAAGGTTGAAAACCAAAACTATTAAAAATAATTTTAAAGTAATTCAATAGTTTTTTTAAAAAGCTAAAATACTTTGGTAAATGATACACAATATAAAAAGATATAAATTGTGAAATCAAAAATACAAGATGGAGATGGGTTGGAGTAAAAGTATAGAGTAAAAGTATAACCTTTTTTGAGGTTAGGAAAAAAATATAACATGATTTTTCTTTTGAAATCATTCCACAATGATGAATAGATGCAAGTGGGGCATTCAAGAGCTTAGTCTATTTATGAACAGAAAAAGGAAGAAAACTTCCTCTAGAGTTGCTAACTATAAATTTCAGCTCTTCTCATTCTTTTTCTTAATTGATAAGGGTATTTAGGGGATCTATTTCCCACAAGTATGTATCATATCTTTGTGCTGGAACATTTCACTCTCTTCTAGTTATTTTAAAATATGCATACATTGTTGTTAACTGTAGTCACCTTACTTTGCTATTACTTATCATTGTGGTTTGGTAGTTTTTCTGTAGTGGTAATAATTGAGTCCTTTCTCTTTCATATTTGTGTGTTTGCTTTACCAGTGGGTCTATACTTTTGTGTGTTTTCATGATAGATTTATCCTTTTGCTTCCAAGTGTAGGACTTCCTTAGGCATTTCTTATAGGGCCATTCTAGTGGTGATTGATTCCCTCAGCTTTTGCTTGTCTGGAAAAGACTATTTCTCCTTCATTTATGAAGGGTAATATTTCTGGGTATAGCATCCTTGGTTGGCAGTTTATTTCTTTCAGCACTTTGAATATATCATCCCACTCTCTCCTGGCCTGTGAAGTTTCTGCTGAGAAATCCACTATTAGTCTGATGGAGGTTCCCCTTTATAAGTGGCTAGATGCATTTCTCATGCTGTTTTTACAATTCTGTTTTTGTCTTTTACTTTTAACAGTTTGTCTATAATGTGCTGTGGAGAAGACATTCGTTTTTAATTGTATCTATTTGGGGATCTCTGAGTTTCCTGTATCTGAATGTACAAATTTCTAACTAGACTTGGGGACTTTTCTGCTAGTTTTATTAAATATGGTTTTTTTTTTTTTTTGGAATGAGTCTCGTTCTGTCACCCAGGCTGGAGTGCAGTGGCGTGATCTCCGCTCACTGCAAGCTCCACCTCCCAGGTTCACGCCATTCTCCTGCTTCAGCCTCCCAAGTAGCTGGGACTACAGGCACCCGCCACCACGCCTGGCTAATTTTTTTTGTATTTTTAATAGAGATGGCGTTTCACCGTGTTAGCCAGGATGGTCTCGATCTCCTGACCTCGTGATCTGCCCGCCTTGGCCTCCCAAAGTGTTGGGATTACAAGCCTGGACTATTAAATATGTTTTCTAACCCTTTGTTTTTCTGTTACCTTCTGGGACACTAGAAATTTGACTATTTGGTTGTTTAATGGTGACCTATAAGTCACATAGGCTTTGTTTATTCTTTTTTTAAATTTTTGTCTGACTGGGTATTTCAAAAGACCTATCTTCAAGTTCTGAAATTCTTTCTTCTGCTTCATTTAGTATATTGCTGAAGCTCTCTTAATGTATTTTTATTTCATTCAATGAATTACTCAGTTTCAGGATTTCAGTTTTGTTTTTTTAAATCATATCTATCTTTTTGGCAGATTTCTCATTCATAACCTGATTTGTTTTTCTGATTTCTTTGTATTATTTAGCTGTGTTCTCTTGTATAAGTAATGGATGTGCTTTGGTCAAGGATAGGCCAAGGTAAACATCCTGCATGAGTCAGTGAGTTTGTTGCACAATCACATAACTCCACTTGTTATATAATCACAACCACGTACCCATAACATGGGAAGGCTCATCGCTTGCTCAGAGCCATTATTGTCTGTAAAAGGTATAATTGCCCTGCTGACACTGTACAGGCATGCTTGCGCCCAGAGAAAGAGAGAAATCCAGGGCTGTTCATCTTGCAGACGGACAGTGGAAAGCCAGGACACAGCTTGTCTTGCTTGTGCCCAGAGAAAGAGTTAAGCTGCTGACCCTGAAGGGAGAGCCGGCCATGCAGTAGTACATGGGAGAGGCTGGAGCAGGCAGCTGAGACAGAGACAGACAGTGTAAGAGTGCTGCTGAATAAAGCCGTATTTCACCTACCTGCAGCCCCCCGAGTGTTCTTTCAGCTGTCTGCCATTCATCCACCCACTTCCTTTGGACCTCAGCATAGGCTGGAACCTGACCCTGGACCTGACATCTTATATCTCAGTAAGCTGCTTTGATATTATTATTTTGAATTCTTTTTCTAGAATTTCACAAATTTCCTTTTCATTGGGATCTCTTGCTAGAGAATTATTGTGTTGCTTTTAGAGTTGTCCTATTTCCTTGCTTTTTCATGTTTCTTGTGTTTTTATATTGATATTTGTACGGGTAGTGTAACAGTCATTTCTTCCAATAGTTTAAATTTGTTTTTGTAGGGGATAACTTTTTCCTTATAATGTATCTATGGATTTGGCTGAGTAGGGAACTTAGGCTTTAATTCTGGGTGCTTACAGTAGTGTGTTTCATGCAATTTCTTTGGCTGTCAGCAGCATCAGTGGGATCTGTGGTTTCCTCAGTAGCTTAGGGTGTAATTGTTAGTGGAGGCTGTGGTGAAGTTATGTTAGGGACAGGGATGTCAGGTGGGCCAGTCCCTGGGGCTCCAGTGGTGGCAGCAATAGGGCTGACTATATCTGTCTTTGGGCTCCAGGGTTGTGTATGTCAGCACCAGTGTTAGTGGTCCAAGTGGGCTGATTCTTGGGCCTCCAAGCAACTTGCTTGAGTACCAGCAGTGTCAGGGGTAGGACACGCAGGTGGGCAGGTTCCAAGGCCCCTGGATGGCAGGTGTGGTGTGGGCAATGGCAATAGCAATGGTGGGATAACCTTTTGGCTCCCAAGAGGTTTGGACTGGTATTGGTGTCTGTGACCGGCTGGCTGGGACAGTACACAGGCCCACAAGTGGTGCATGTGGGTAGGTGTCAGCTGGTGATAGCTGCAAGCTGGGTGGGCTTCTCCTCAGGCTCCCAGAGGAGTGCTCAGGTGCAAATAGTCATAGGTGGGGTAGGCTGATCTCCAGGCCCCTGGATGGTGTGATTGAGCACTGGTGGTAGTGAAGCCAGGCTGAGTGGGCCTATCTTCAGGTGCCCTAGTGGTGCATATAGAAGCTGGCTATTATGGCTAGGGGAAGGATAATCCCCAGGCTCCAAGCAGAGAGCTTGGGTGGGGGCAGCAGCAACTGTGTTGCAGCTCTGTTGCCAGGGAGTATAGAATTGCTTTCAGTGGCAGAAGCCATAGGTTGGTGGCTTCTGCTCCAGGTGACAGCTGTCAGCCAGGGAACCTGTCCTCATGGCACTTGTAAATGCATGGCCACCTGCTGCTGGGAGAAGTGGTGTTGCTGCCAGTGGCTTATGCTTTGGCCATGGTGATGGCAGCTAGCAGGGGCAGTTGCTGTGGGTGGGGCAGTTTGTCCTTAGAGGGCTTATAAATGCACAGCAGCCCCACTGTTGGAGGTGGTGTGATCACTTCATTGGGATGCACTTTGTCACATGGCAACAGCAGCCGGCAGTGGTGGTGGACCCTTTTGTCAGGATGCGTGAAAATGCATAGCAGCCCCACTGCTGGGGGCAGTGCTGTTGCTGCCAGTGGCTTTCACTTTGGCCCTGGTGGCAGCAGCCAGCAGTGGCAGAAGCTGCAGGCAGAGGATGTCATGGGGCTCAATGCAAAGATGCTCGTTATTGTGGAGATGCAGGAGCTGTTGGGCCCCAGGGCAGAATAAAGTCTGGTGGGGGCTGGCCTTCAAAATGGCACTGTGCTGTAGCTGTTTAGGATTCAGGAGGTGTGTGGGACCCAGTGTAACCTTCCTTTTTGGAGCAATGCCATTGTGCAATCTCCGGGCATCTCCCTAGTTTAGTCTCATGCCAGAGGGTGGAGGTGCTCACGCATGGCTAAGATTGCAGGAGTCTGTAGTGGGCATATAGACCCCTGGGGAACTCTCACTTTTCCCTGCATTGGATAACCTCTCTAGGCTCCCAGCTGATCCTGGCCAAGCAGGCTGCCTCACTTCCTTGCCTTAGGTGTGTCCTCTCACTTCTCTGTTGAATTCCAGTGTTCTCTCTTAGACAATTTATTTGAAGTGTGACTATCTACTCACTATGCTGGTTCTTCTTTGTGGAGGAGGTGAATGCCAGATGCCTCTTGTTAGCCGTCTTGAAGCCCCTCCTAATGTAGTTTTTGTATGTAACCAAAGTTAAGTTGTTAACAGCTTAAAATAGCCTGTTATAAGATGTTTTATATTAAGTCTCATGGTAACCACAAAGCAAAAACCTGCAATAGATACACAAAAAGGAATAAAATCATACCAGTTGAGAAAATTAGGTAATCACAATGGAAAACAGAAAAAGAGAAACAAAGAATCTACAAAACAATCAGAAAATGATTAACAAAATGGCAATAATAAGTTCTTACCTATCAACAATTACCTTGAATATAAAATGGACTAAATTCTCCAATCAAAGGACAAAGAGTGGCTGAATAGATTAAAAAAAAAATCAGAACAAATATATACTGCCTACAAGAGACTTACTTCACACTTAAGGACATATATGTTGAAGAGATATGTGCACTTCCATGCTCACTACAACATTATTCACAATAACCAAGATGTGAAATCCTAAATGTTCATCAATAAATGAATGGATTAAAAAATATGGTATATATACATAATAGAATACTATTCAGCCTTAAAAGAAGAAAATACTGTCATTTGTAATAACCCAAAGGACATTATGCTAAATGAAATAAGCCAGGCACAGAAAGACAAATACCACATGGTCTCACATTTATGTGGAATCTAACAAATTTGAACTTAAAAGTAGACAGTAGAGTGTTAGTTATCAGGTGCTGGGTGATGGGTTGGGAGATGTTGGTCAAAGGATACAAAATTTTAGTTAGATAGGAGGAATAATTTCAAGAGAGCTATTGTACCATATGGTGGCTATAGTTAATAATAATATATTGTATTTTGAAAATTAATAAGAGTAGGTTTTGTGTTCTTATCACAAAAATGATAAGTATGTCAGGTAATGCATGTTAATTAACTCAGTTGAACCAAAATGTAGCATATCTCAAAACATCATGTTGTACATAACATGCAATTTTTATTTATCAATTTAAAAAGCTAAAATAAAATATTCGTCCTTGGAAAAGATAATCCAAAATGATTTCCTTTCCTGTTTCAGTTTTTCAGGCATGAATACTGTAAGCAAGAAGAGAAAAGTTACAATAAATTGACATTTATAGTTGAAGTTGACCTCTAACCTGTGAAGCTTTCTTGAACATTCCCTCACTGAAAACTCCTTTTCATTACTTTTCCTGTATTGTATCTCTACATGCTCATGAGCAGTTTAAATCATTGGCAGATCTGGATAGTATCTGCTAAAAACATGTTGGCACCTAGATTCCACTGTTACTAACTAAACATGAAGCTAAAAATAAATGAGAGATGCTAGAGATTTGAGTAATTCCACAGTCTCATCATAAATGGCAGCAAGCAGATTCTGTTGACCATGGTCTGCTTGTTGCAGAAAGATAAAACCCAATATCAAAATTGTTCGGGTGATAATCTTCTGCACTTTATCTTCCAGATGGAAAATAACCTACACTCTTCAAATCCTTAAATATTTTTGTGCTCACATTTTCCAAATACTTAAGGCTGTTATTCCGAGATAGTGAGAACCAGCCCAATCTGTCATCTTATCTCCCTTTAATAATGAAACCCAGATTGCCACAATCATCTAAAACCAAGATTCAGAAGTTGCCATTTGAGATCGTGTGATGTTGTTAACGGGAGAAGTATAACTTCCATTGCCTAGACCTCAGAGTCACAGCGAATATGTTAATGACCCTTGATACCTGAGATAATCATAAATACATTGGAAAATATGTGAGCCAAAAACTTGAAGAGTTCTAAAACATTAAAGATAAACTATAGTTAGTTGAATGATCTTACCTTCTAAAGTGAAAGAATATAAAAAATACTTGCAGAGAGTTCTTGCTAGATTCATCATGCTTTTCAAAACTAGGTTGATGTTACTCATGTTGATTTTAAGCATCCACCATTTCATTTCCAGTAAATGATGTTGAAATGCAAGAAATTATAAAAGTTTAGTCCAAAAAACTGGAAAAAAAAGAAAAACTGGAAAAAAAAAGTTTAGTCCAGTGTGCCCTCAGCAATATTCTGCAGTTGATTAATACATGTTATTTTACTTTGTCCCTTTCCTTAGAGTTCAGAGTTCGTTGAATAAGTTTGACATCTCCGTTGTCTCTGCAGGGTGGGAATGTGTCAAGTAGGAGCAATATCTGGATGAAACGGGTCTTAGAATCAGGTCAACTGTGCATTGCAAGAATAGAGGCAGTAGGTAGGAGCCAAGACCATAACTAGACAGAAGATATACATTAAACTTGAGTGGTGAGATGGAGAAATCAACAGCATGATTATCCAAAATTACCCATGCCACCTCCGCCGCAGAAGAGGACAGGATGCAGGATGTTAGTTGATTTAGCTGGTTTGGGAGCTAATGTGTTAATCAGGTATGCAATGGGACTTGCTTTGATGTGAAGCCCAGCATGCTGTGAGTGTGACTACTTAAAGAAAGCACACTGGAATGGAAACAATGCAGTCACCTACATTTAGGGGTAGGGCAGCAGGAGTGGAAAAAATGTTTGATAGGTTTGTGGGGCAGGTTTCAGGTGGTCACTTATAAGTCTTAAGTTTGCTTCTCTGGGCCTTGACTCTCACTGAGAGTCATAGAGTTTGAAACTTATAGAGTTTGTCTATGTTCTCTGTCCCCAGTTACACTATTAATTCAGGTGATGGTAGAACAGCCTTTTGGGCTTTCCTGGCTTAATTTTGATTATAGGAAAACTTCTGATTTGGCTCTCTTTACTAACAAACCAAAAACTCCAAGACACAGGGCACTGCAAATCCAGACCTGCTAGTTTGAATGTCTTGGAGAGGGCTTGGTGGCCTCCGAGGACAGGATCATCCATTCTCAGAAAATTTGTGGGAGCTTTGGGATACAGATAAGGGGTTGTAAAACCCCAGTGGAGTCCAGGACTGAGGAGGACCACTTTGAGGATGCAGACCTGCACCCTGGTGGCCGGGTGCAGCTATGCTTTTTCTTGCCCCTGGTAAAAGGACCACTGAACTCAACCAGACTGCAAACCCTAAAACAGCCCTGTGATCTGGCTTCCGCTCCCTCTGCTGCCATCCAGGGCAGTCCTGCCTGCCCAGGACCCAAACCCCTTTATTTTCCTAGTGACAGGCCCATCAACCTTGGACCACATTGTAGACTTAATGAAAGATCTTGAAACAGCTAACATGCATATGAAAAGGTATTCAACATCACTAATCATCAGGGAAATGCAAATCAAAACCACAGTGACATACCACCTCACACCTGTTAGAAGAGTTATTAGGAAGGTGAAAGATAACAAGTGTTGGTGAGGATGTGAAGAAAAGGGAAACTTGTACACTGTTGGTAGGAATGTAAATTGGTACAGCCGTATAGAAAACAGTATGGAAGTTCCTCAAAGAATTAAAAATAGAACTACCATATAATCCAGGAACCCCACTTCCAGGTATATATATATATCCAAAGGAAATCAGTATCTTGAAGAGATATCTGCACTTCCATGTTCACTGGGGGCATTATTCACAATAGCCAATATATGGAAACAACCTACATGTCCATCGGTGGATAGACGAATAAAGAAAATGTGGTATATACATACAATGGAATACTATTCAGCCTTAAAAAGGAAGAAAATATGCCATTTGTGACAACACGGATAAACCTGGGGGACATTGTGCTAAATGTAATAAGCCAGACACACAAATACAAATCCTGCATAATCTCACTTCTATGTGAAATCTAAAATATTCAAACTCATAGAAGCTGAGAGTAGAATGGTAGTTGACAGAGGTTAGAGGATGGTAGAAATGGGGAGATGTTGGTCAAAGGGTACAAAGTTTAAATTAGGAGGAATAAGTTCTGGAGATCTAATGTACAGACTATCATGACTATAGAAATCATGGCTATAGAAAACAATACTGTATTGTATATATGAAATTTGCTACAGGGCTAGATCTTAAGTGTTTTCACCACACATGAAAAAGTAACTATATAAGGTGATGGATATGTTAACTAGCTTGATAGTTGTTTATATATATATATGTGTGTGTGTGTGTGTGTGTATGTATGTATGTTTATATATATAAACATTAACTTTTGCAACTTAGATATATACAATTTCTATTTGTCAATTACATCCCATTAAACCTGAAACAAAAACAAACCTTAGAAAAACTTGACTCAGTCTGTGAAATTCTAATGCAAGAATATGACCAATTGTCACAGACGGATACACACTACATTTGAAGCTAAGAGAAACACATGATTTGATTTTTTTCTGATGGAGAATGTTAAGATTAAGACATGCCTAGAGAAAAGCATGATCCTCTGTCCTTCTATGTGTAGTGAGGCTCAGCAGTGCCCCTGCTGGCTTATAGTTAATGGTTATAAAGAAATGAACACAGCCAGTCTGCCACATAAGCTTGATAAAGTCAGGAACTATGTCTGCCATGTTCACTAATGCATTTCCATGTCTTAGCACAGTGCCTGCTTATACACTGGCAATATGAAATTATTAATACTAACCTCTCACTTATATGTGGAATCTAAAATATTCAGTGATTATGAGGATTGAGTGAGAGCACCTCATTTGATTATTTCAGTTTTCTATTGTTGCATAATAAATAGCCAAACCTAGTGGCCTAAAGCAACTGCAATATTTATTTTGCTCACAAAGCTTCAGTTTAGGCAGGACATGGTGGGAATCGTTCATTTCTGCTCCACCCCACTTCCAGTGGGGGTGGCTTGAAGACCAGGGGCTGGAGTCACCTGAATGCTCATATGTCTGGTAGTAATGCTGTCAGTTGAGACTTCTGAAGGCCCAGTCTGCAGAACACCCACACATGGCCTCTCCATGTGATCTGGGTTTCCTCACCACATCATCCCTGAATTTCAAGGGTGAACATCCCAGGAGAGAGAACCAGGTAAAAGAAACTCTCATGACCTTACCTTGGAAGAAGGCAGTGTTGCTTTCACCAGATCCTATTCATTTAGGCAGACAGTCAAAACATCAACCCAATTTCAAGGGGAGGAGAAACAGACTCCCTGCTTGTTGAGTGGTGCCATGTGGGACCAGGAATATTTCTGTAGCCTTCTTTGAAAATATAATCTCATATTGGCACATAATGAGATACAAAAAATTGACATAAGTTTGATTTTAAGATGAGATATTGGCTAGGTATTATTAATCATTCTATTTATAGCTTGGCCACCTAGCTTCAAATATGTCATAGTTTAATGATAACATGGCTTTGTGGTCATAAGTCAGCTTTTTCTGGTGTGAGAAGGTTCTGGGTTCCTGGAGTATAATCTGAATTTATAGTAGAAATTTGAGAGTTAGGTCATAATCACAGCCTTTTATTTTGGAAAATTTATTTGAAATAGCATTAAAATGAGAAATATTACAGATATATTCTTAAGCAAAGGTAAAAATAGGATTACCTGAATAGATGGATACATTTTGCTCAGGTGTTGCCCAGGGGTCTTTCTGTTGAAGCAAAGTGAAGCAAGCAGTGTGGTTACTGTAACCACAAACATCTTCCTAGAAACCAATTGTTTTATCCTATTTTGTTTCTCCATTGGACTTCTAGACTTCTGAAAGAATAAAGAAAAATTTCCTCCAGTTCTTGAGGTAAAGGAGAAGTCTCTGCCTCTACTATCTGGACAACTGGAACTCTCTCTCTTTAATCTCTTGAATGAGAAGGGGTGCCGTCTTCCAGGCTCTGGGGTTATGCCCATCCTTCCACTGCATGATTGAGAAAGGTGCAAGGAGAGCCTTTTGTTTGAGTCCTTTAAAAGCTAGAATGTCCACAAGGAAAGAGCTACTGGACCTGGAGACCACACAAATGAAGTAACCTGAGATTTAAAAAAAATATATTTATGTTCTGAAGCCAGAGATATATGCTTCAAGTACTTGTTTAATTGGTAGGTTAGGGGATGTTCTAAGGCTTTCATTCATTCATTGAATGAGCATTTACTGAAAACCTACTAAATGTTGCATACCATGCTAAATATTCAAAATAGGAACGAGAACAAAAGAAACAAGTTTCCCCCTCTCACAGACCTTACAGACATTAGAGATAATTTGTATGAAGATTCTGTTAGTTGTAGGGTTTAGAGCAGCCACAGGGTGGCACAAGTTGGCATTGGAGCTGGGCAGAATTAGGATCAGCAGGTCGGTTAGAATACGCAGCCATCAGTGACTGCTTAGATGGGGATGTGCCCCCTCAAATGACACCAGAAAACAAATGAGATTTTGTGTGGTCAGCATCTAGAGACTGGCAGGAATTGGACTTTGGACCTGGAATAGAAGCCGTGTCTCAGGACTTGGAATGGTCCTTTCCAGAATGAAGAAGGACACTGTGATTACTTGCAGTTGGTCATTGAGATGCAGGCAGATCTTGAGCTACAGAAGAGATGACACCACTCCATGTACAAAAGAGTGGGAGACAGAGGGAGATGGAAACTGTAGCCCAGTGTTGAGACCTTCTATGTCCCCTATGTCACTTTCTTGTCCAAAGTGAAGTGAAGGACCCCCATAGTCCCAAAGCTTGCCATAGGATACCAAAGCTTCTTAAGTCTCACTTTGAAGTCCATCTCCTCTATAGTGATGAATGTGTTTCAGAGTGGATCAGATGAAACACATGTGGCTTTCATTGAGTCTCCAGATAAATGAAGTGACCCACTAAATCCATTCGAAAGTTTATTATCTTTTATAGCATCACTAAATGAAATATCATAGGCACCAAAAGTATTGATTTCATTAAGATAATTGACAAAATTTGTCATGATCTCCTTGTGGATAAGCTTGAGAAACTGGATAATTACGTGGCAAAATCTTGAGATACAAAAAAATGTATCTCAAGAATACTGATAAATTAATCAACGCTAATCTGGACCAAGGTTTCTCAAACTTGAGTAATCTGTGGGTCCCTTTCAAAGGAAAAATATTCTCATGAATTTCACCAATATTGATTTGTTTTTATTGTAATAGTATTGAAATATTTAGACCCAACCCTAGAAATAAGTTCTTTATACTTGCAAGTTTTTTTAAATCAAAACAAATACATGAATCAAATAAAAACATAGTTTAAGTGAATAGTATTAATTTAACATGGCAGATAATATTGTTTGCTGACAGTAAATCAACTGGTGCTGAATTTAACATTAAAATGATGAGGGTTTATGTCAGATTCTACGCCCTGCAGCATTTTGGCTTCTCTTTCTAATACAGAAAAGACTTGCTCACATAGATATGCTACACAAAATGAAACTTCAAACTTCAAAAATTTGTTTGATAGTTTAGGTTAGTTAGTTGGACCTTATAGTTTATCAAAATCCTATAAACAAGAAATTTTTACATAAAAATTTTAGTTAATTAGTGAAGATTAATGTTAAGGCTAGTATTTTTAGAAAAGTGAAATCTGCATCAAGTGAGAATTTACTCCATTTATTTCTCGATATGGAAGCAGAATTTCTTTATATTTATTATAATATTTCCTGCCAAATTGATACTATAGAAGAAAGATATTTTTGGAACTAAGTGTTCAATCAACATCAGCATTCATTGAGCGTCTTTCTCAAACTACTATGTGCTCTGTGAATATAGATCTCATTACATTTCCCTATTTCAGCTTCTGGAAACCTTTCTTTTTTGTGGGCTGCCATGAAATTATTTGGCTTTCACACAGTACAAACACAGTGGCAGGCACAAATATAAACTTGGACAATGAGAAGGAAGTAGCAATCTCAGTTTAAGACAATTGCCAGATGATAAAGAATATGCTCATATTATCTTTAAAGATTATCATTTAGTGTAAACCCATATTTAAAATCCTGGCTCCAAATTCTCAGTCCAGAGTGAATAACTATCATTATTGTTTTGTTGCTATTTACTTATTTAAAACATTTGGTTGGCAACATAGCCAAAAGAAAGGGGCTGTTGCTGGAACAAGGATTCAGTCTTTTTAGTCTGATGCTGACTAGCCAGCTCATATTGGGTACTCTGTACTTGAGTTTTCCTATCCACAAATGAAGTTGAAACCTTCTAGAATTGCTGGGTGAGACACAGGACTTTAAATTTTAATTCAGTGGATGTCTATTATATAAAATTCCTGAAGTAAGTCTTATGGCATTATATGCCAGTGCTCTGAAAACCAAACAATGCTGCACATATCTTAGATATTATTTTAATGTGAGCCAATTTGAAGAAAACTAATTTCTCAACAATAAAAAAACCCAACTACCTCAGAAATACAACATTAACTCATGGCCCCTGCGAAATTTTCTTTATTATTCTACCACACTATAGTGATTAGTCTCAAATGAGATTTTCTGCAGCTGAGAAAAGATTTTGAGTGCAGATTCTTTACCTGGAATCCATGGATAGGCTTCGGGCAGTATTAGCCTCTGAATATGCCTGCAATATTTGCAGTGTGTGCATGTGTATTTGTGTATGCATGCACACACATCTAAAGGGAAAATCTTTAGATTTGATCAAAATCATGATGGTGTGTAAAGAATCAAAAACTATATGAGCCACTGTTTGGGGATGAAATTCTTAACTCTTAGTTCCAGTTGAGAATTAACACTTTACTTTGACCTGAAACTCAGCTGTTTTACGGAGTCATTTTTCTGGGAATGGTGTCCATGGTATTATGGTACTTAGTCTCCTGATCATGGTACGAAGTATTGATTGATTTAATATGGGCAGTTTGTTCTTTCTGCATCGCTATCAAAGATAAATTGGGACTATAAGTTGAACAATGATATACCTTGCAACCATTGAGCTAATGTTGTTGAATTGTGTTACTTAATTTGGAATTATAGCCGAAAATAGGTGATGCTCCATAAACATGTGCTTGATCTTTATAGATGAAACAAACTCAAGCCACAGGGCATCTTTTTAGTTAAGTGAATATGAGTCAGTATTTATCTGGAGACCAACAGGATTTCAGCTGGATCTGGCCTTCAGTTATTTTATTTTATGTTATGTATGGTGAGATCATAGATCCTAACTGTACACTTTAGTTTTGACAACAGCTTACACCTGTATGACCCATACGCCTGTCAAGATACAGAACATGACCGTGATTCCAGACAGTTCCTTTGCTTCTTTTCTCAGGAATCTTCTCTCTCAAGACTGATCTGGTTTCTTTCATTGCTAGCTAATCCTTTAATTATTGTAGAATTTTGTTCTAGTTTCTTATTTAGAAAATCAATTGTTATATTGGCATAGATTACTTTTTTTCAGTTTGTGCTGCCTAGAGTCTTAAAGATCTTTGGAGGTGGCTGGGGAGCCACTACCAGAGGATTGGAAGAAGGGGTGAAAGAGGATCTCAGATATTTTAGACACTTTCCCAACCCCTCCTTCAAGTGGAGTAGTTCCCTCTCTGAACTCTTTTATAAACTGGAATTCCATGTGGGGTTTGGTTTTAAAAGGGGGCTCTACCAGGTGCCTATGAATAGTGGATTGGATAAAGAAAATGTGGCACATATACACCATGGAATACAACTCAGCCATAACAAAGAATGATATCATATCCTTTGCAGCAACATAAATGCAGCTGGAGGCCATTATTCTAAGTGAATTAACACAGAAACAGAAAACCAAATACCACACGTTCCCACTTCTAAGAGAGAGCTAAACATTGGGTAGACATAGACACAAAGATGCGAACAATAAACACTGAGGATTCCAAAAAGCAGGGAGGGAGGAAGGGGAACACGTGTTGAAAACCTGCCCATTGGGTACTATGTTCACTACTTGTGTGTCAAGAACATTAGAAGCCCAAACCTCAGCATCATTCAGTAGACCCATGTAACGAACCTATACAAATACTTCCTAAATCAACAAATTTTAAATAAAAAGGTGTTCTACTTATTTTAAAAATTTATCTGACATAGGTCATTGTGCCAAAAACAACTACAATGTTTCAGTTAAACTATTATATAATCTGACTCTTGAAATGACAGTTAAGACTTCCTAAGATCCAAGGGAGGAAGTAATGGTTGGCAGCTGTGCAGAATGAAGGCTAATGAAATGAGGTGGCCCCACATTGAAGCCAGCAGCAACAGGACTTGGGAAAGCAATTCCTCAGTGGGGGTAGCCTTCCCTGAATGTGTCTTTGAAGTCACGTAGAGGAATTTGTTAATGATGCTCGTGCATTTTCTGCTATGTTTTCTCTATTTCTCTTGTAAGGTGACCATTTTGACTGTTTCAGGTCAATCTTGTGCCTTAAAATCAACTGGACTCAGGAACTGGCCAGAATCACTTACGAAAATATCTAAGTTTGGAATTGTCCTATTTTCTCCCCCAAATGCAAGTTCATTGTTTTGTGAATTACAACCTAAGGTCTATCTGTGCTAGGAGGTTTTGCTTTAATAGTAGAAACTGTAAATTATATACACTACAAATGTTCTCATATTTTCTGTCTTCTCATTATGGAAGACATTATGCCAATTACTCAAGGATCTAGAACCAGAAATACCATTTGATCCAGCAATCTCATTACTGGGCATATACCCAAAGGAGTATGAATCATTCTACTATAAAGACATATGTTTATTGCAGCATTATTTACAATAGCAAACACATGGAACCAACCCAAATGCCCATTAATGATAGACTGGATAAAGGAAGTGTGGTACATATACATCATGGAATACTATGCAGCCATAAAAAGGAATGAGATCATGTTCTTTGCAGGGACATGGATGAAGCTGGAAGCCATCATCTTCAGCAAACTAACACAGGAACAGAAAGCCAAACACCGCATGTTCTCACCATAAGTGGGAGCTGAACATTGAGAACACATGGACAGAGTGGGAAACAACACACACCAGGGCCTTTTGAGGAGTAGGGGGTGAGGGGAGGGAACGTAGAGGACAGGTCAATAGGTGCAGCAAACCACCGTGGCACACGTATACCTATGTAACAAACCTGCACGTTCTGCACATGTATCATGGTTTTTTTGTTTTAGAAGAAATAAAGAAAAAAAAGTTCTCATATTTAAGATAGGTCAATAGAAGAAACTATCTTTAGAATACAATTTATTTTTCTGAATTATCTGCTACTAGCTAAGTTTTATAAAGGGCCCATTAGAGAAGCATCTTTGTTGGTTGGTTGTTTTGATGCTGTATTCCTTTATTTCCCCCCAAAAAAGGGCATACATAATAATATTTTATATTTATATCTTGATTTACAGTGTGTAAAATGTCACATCGGTTTGTCATAACAACCCTGCAAAATATGTATTATAATGTCTATTTTAAAGATGAATAAAGTGAGATGCTGTGAGGTTGAGTGACCTGGTCACAAAGGTAGAGAGCACTAGAGGTCATACTCGTCCTAATATCTAAATCATTAGTATAGGCCGGGGGCGGTGGCTCATGCCTGTAATCCCAGCACTTTGGGAAGCTGAGACAGGCAGATCACCTGAGGTCAGGAGTTCAAGACCAGCCTGGCCAACATGGCAAAAACCCATCTCTACCAAAAAATACAAAAATTAGCCAGACGTGGTGGCGGGCACCCATAATCACAGTCACTCGGGAAGCTGAAGCATGAGAGCCACTTGAAGCAGGGAGGCAGAGGCTACAGAGAGCCGAAATCGCGCCACTGCATTATAGCCTGGGTGACAGAGTGAACTCTGTCTCAAAATAATAATAATAAATTAATTAATTAAAATAAATAAATCACTAGTATATGTCATATATCCAGGACCTAGTATCATTTACCTGCATTCTTTAAAAAGTACTGATGTGTTAAAAGACAATGAGTAGATAACTGTTCTTAATGCTAGACCTCAGTCTTACCCCACTTACTATTGTCTTGCAATGAAATTAAAATATTTAAAAATTTTAAAAGAATGTTTCCATGCAGAAAGGAGACAAAATCATTCCTCAAAACTTGAGAAAGTTCCAGGCAAAGGGAAATGATTAATTTCTCTTAAAGCAGATCAGGTCTTTCATCTTGGCAAATTACTCTGAATTAGAAGTCTTCCCTAGATTGTAGATCAAACTTAACAAGGCTCGCTGAACTAAGAAAAGGCATATTTGACTGCATGGTGAGAAAAGTAAAAAATAAAAGACAAAGGCTCCTGCGAAAAATCTCCCTGCAAATGCCTGTAATACACACAGTGAACAAGCCAAGCTTTGCTAACACATGTGCCCAGCCTGATCATTGGCGCCTGATGAAGTGGCATATTATAAGCGAGGATTGAGAATATAATTTTTAAACAAATAATCACTTAACTGAATGCACCATTACTTAGAATATACACTTCCTATCAAAGAAGAAAGAGCATTTAGTCACACATGAGGAGCACCAATGCTGGAAGGGAATAGAGTCTAGCAGAGCATAACATTGCAATCCTGGGGGCAAATTGGAGCCATAAATCTGGATGAGTCACTGAGGGCCTGAATTCCTACAGCTATCACAGATGAGGGTAAAGAGGAGAATAAACAGCAGAGAAAACAGATGACAAAGGGTGAGACTGGGCAGCTGGACAAAAGGCTGCACACGTTGTTAGGACCCCGGGAAGCCACAGGAGGGCAGCAGAAGCAAGTGGCACAGACGTAAGTTACAGAGCGTCCTTTCAGGAAGGGTGCATTTTAAAACATATCAATCTGTCACAGAATCTAGACTTCAAACCGCTGGAAGTTAGTGGAGTATTTCTTAATGGCTCTTATGCCATTAAACTGAACCCAAAACAATGTTTATATGCAATCTAAAGATTCAAAGGATTAGGTAGGAGAAGTGAGTCTGGTGAAGGGATTTTCTGAGCAGGGAAGACAGAAGGTGCATTCTTCCTTTCATTATTTTCTCATTGTCTGCCATCATGGGTAGAGTATTCATGGACCAGTAACTAAGAATTCAGGACAGAGGCTGTGGCCTTTCTTAGAAGTAGTGGCAAGCAGGCAGCTAAAGATATGCTAACAACCTCAATCAGAATGTAGAATGAATGAAAAGTGTATCTGAGGAAATTGACAATTGATTGACGAGACTCCTTAATTGCTCATTAAAATTATACCTGGGGAGCTACAATGAGGGTCCCTCCAGAAAGGACCCTCTTAGCCACTTCTTGTGCTCCCATGAGTTTTTAATAATTGTATGAATAAAAGAGCATAGATTTTTGCTTAATCACATTTCTTTTCAAAAAGGAAAGTGAGAATCTATTACTGAAAAAGAAAATACCATTCCAGCATGCCATCTAAGTAGTGCCCAAAACAGACCTGTCATTATGTTAAGAGCTAATTTTGACCTATGGATGAACTTCTTTACTTCAATTTAAGGATAGAAAGCTCAACTTTTAAGGATATGGGTGAATCTGCCCTATAATGTTGGGACAGTGAGTAGGAAAATACTTATTTTGTTCAGGGAATGTATTCTTTTCACCCTTTCCCCTTGAGGCTTGAATTTGCTTTTTCATCTTTATAAAAATCTGATAAATTATCAAAATAAAATAGGCATTAACCAAGAATTCCCTTTCTAGGAAATGATTCCAAAAATTAATCAGATGCAAAAAGTGATGTATGTTCAAGGATGTTTTGAGGAATGGATGTCCTATTTACGTTTGAGAAAATGGAAAATAACCTCACATTTTTATAATAATAATAACAATAACAAATCTTTATTGAATATTAACTTTGTACCAGATCCTACTAAGCCCTCTTACTTGTTTCTCACAACAAGCCTAGCAGGTAGGTGTTATTACTATACCCATTTTGGAGATGAGAAAGCCATGCCTCCAAAAGGTTAAGCAACTTGCTGAAGGTCACACATCTAATACAAATTGGAGTGGGGATTTTGGTTCCAGAACCCATAGATTTAACATCTATATTATATATCTTCTTTTTATATAACAGAATGATTAAATATATTTGGGTACATCCTCATAATAGGATATTTTCCAAAATTAAACATCGTGATTTTTGAAAAATAGTAATGCAAAATGAAAAACAATATAATGTTAAGTGAATAAATCAGGATACAAAATAGTAGGTGCAGTATGATTTCAATTGCGTAAGATTCAAAAGAAAAATACATGTGAACATGTTCAAAGTGAACATGTTTCTGGATGGTATATTGAAATTCTTGTCTTTTCATCTTTTCGTATTTTCTAGTTCTTTATATGAGCATACTTTGCTTCTATAATTATGAAGTTATTGTGTAGCAGATGCACAGTGAAGAGAACTTTTGCATTTTTATTCTGTAAGAAAATTTGACATAATGAATGCTGTAGTTTGGATATGGTTTGTTTGTCCCCACCAAATCTCTTGTTTGAATTTGATCCTCAATGTTGGAGGTGGGGCACAATGGAAGGTGTTTGGGTCAGGGGGTGAATCCCTCATGAACAGATTAATGCCCTCCCTCTGGGGCGAGTGAGTTCTCACTCTATTAGTTTCCATGACAGCTGGTTGTTGAAAAGAGCCTGGCACCTCACCTCTCTCTCTCTTGCTTCCTTTCTCTGCAAACCTGTGATCTCTGCACAAGTCAGTTTCCCTTCACCTTCCACCATGAGTAGAAACAGCCTGAGGCCTTCACCAGATGCAGATGCCCAATCTCAAACTTTTTCAGCCATCAGGACTGTGAGCCAAATAGTCCCTTTTTATTTACAAATTACCCATCCTCGGATATTCCTGCACAGCAATACAAAATGGACCAAGACAATGAACTTGACAGTTGCTTAGGAATTTGTAGGCAAATTTGCATGAGTCCAAACATTTGGTGGGAGGTGAGGAACAAGAATCTGACTCCTATCAGTAATTCATAGCTACTGAAACTTGTTGGGGAGAATTATGGTGGCTTAACTAAGTAGCAGTAAAATGTGATTGAGGCCCGTAAATAAAATCACCATGAGGGTGGAAAAGAGCTGGGGTTAGCGGTTGACCCCTGCAATTGTGAACCTTCCCATAGAGACAGTATGTCCCAGTTAGGATGCCTTTGCCTATGAATGACACAATACCCAGCTAAAATTGGCATAGGTAATAAGTATATTACTTTCCATGAGAAGCTCAGAGGCACAGTGGTTCCAGATTTGGTTCAGCAAACTAATATGCGCAATGAAGCCAGATCCTTCCAGTCTTTTCTCTCACCATTCTCAGCATGTTGACAACCTCTCCCCTCATTGTCTCATAATGGTGGCAGTAGTTCCAGGCATCACTTGGAGATTTGACCACATTCAATGTGTATGGAAAGTTGTTTTTCCTCCCATGCATTTCTTCTTACTAAGAAAAACCTTTTCCTGAAGCCCCTGATATATTTCCCATTGTTCTCTATCAGGTAGGATTATATACTAGCAAGAGAGTAGGAAAGGGGAATGGCTTTTGGGTAGGCAACATCCATTATCTGCACAAGTTGTTCTGGGTGATGCAGGGAATAGTAGAACTTCACCTGGTCCTTCAGGTGAAGGAGCTGTGTATTCAAGCATTGTAAATTGGGAGCCCCAGACAGATTTGACATGGAGCACCTTGGATGCATGTAGCAATGACTGGGAATGGGAATCAGGGACCAACCTCCTGAATGAGATAAAGGTCAATCATCCTGAGACTTCCGGGTATTACAGGAGAGAAGGCGCTGGTGGGATTCAAGTGATTTAATGGGCACATTTAAAGGAAATGTGGGATGGGCGTGGTGGCTCATGCCTGTAATCCCAGCACTTTGAGAGGCCAAGGTGGGTGGATTGCTTGAGCTCAGGAGTTCGAGACCAGCCTGGACAATATGGTGAAACCCCATCTCTAGAAAAAATACAAAAATTAGCCAGGTGGAGTGGTGCATAACTGTTGTCTCAGCTACTCGAGAGGCAGAGGTGGGAGGATCGCTTGAACCTGGGAGGCAGAGGTTGCAGTGAGCCAAGATCACTCCACTGCACTCCAGCGGGCAATAGAAGGAAACCTTGAAAAGAAAAAAGAAAAGAAAAGAAAAGAAAAAAAGAAAAGAGAAAAGAAAAGAAAAAGAAAAGGAAAAGAAAAATGTGACCATACATCATGCTGGTAAATGGGATGTTGAGATTACATTTTGATAGAAGAATGAAATTATCTAAGAGGACATGTTAGCAAGATAATATGGTAAGATAAACATTTTATATGAAATAAAAAAATAATAATTTGATTGGTAAATAAGGCAAAGAAAGCTAAAAGATTTTTTAAAAAACAAGCTGAAACAATACCAGCAAATGCATACATGAAGAATAAAAAATAATTTGGCTAAAAGAAAATGTTAGAAGAATAAAAAGGATCAAATATAGTGATACACAAAGTCAATTAAATGTATACATTTGACACATTAAAAAAAAAAAAAAAATAGAAGAAACATTCCCCAAAATCTTGGGACTCATATAACTTTAGTTCATTACCCTTCGTGTTGTGGTAATTAGAGAAGGCCAGCAAACATTTTTTTAAAAAATTTCTTACATAAGTCTGAAACCTAAGAAAGGATGTCCCCATAGCCTCTTGCTGAAGTTGGTTGTCTCTGGGCTTTTATATTTTTACCGTTCTGGAAAAAACTGCCAACTTTGGCCCAGCTCCAACTGTTCTTCCTTGCTGGCCCCAGTGGAAATGTGGTCACTGCCTTATTCCTGCTCAGGCAGACCAACCAGTCCACATTCAGTTCTTGCTATTTTAATAAAGCCATCATTTTTCAACAGAAAATTCATAATTGAGCAAATCATATGCAAATCACATCCACACCTGGGGAATTCTGTTTAGTCCACAAAGGACAGCTACCCAATTTGCAAGCACAGCATCTAAATAAGGCTAAATCAAGAGTAATGGCACATGTCAAATTCCCAAATGATATGGTCATCTTCTCCCTGTGTTTCTTCTAGGACAACAGCACTCTGTAAATTTTTGAGGCTTAGCAACTCTGCTTTATTTTTAACTTTTCTTTGTTCAGTCTCCCCATATTAACCCCTTGCAAAAGCTTCTGTGGCCACACAATAATAGCAGATGCTGCTGTTGAGTGCAGGTTCAATCCTCTGTTTGAGTCCTAGATAGGTAATGAGTTATAGTTATTCCTGATAATGGATATTTTCTAAACTCTTAGCCTTGAAACTTATAACCTTTAAATAAATATTAAGTGAAAGTAATACTTCTGTTACATAATATGTTAATTTTAAAAATTAGGAAATACAGATAATTATGAAGAAAAAATCAAAACCATTTTGTTAACATATTGAGATAGGACTTTTTTGGCTTTGTAATGTTGTGTGTGGAGGCACACTTTCATTTACTGTTTCAACATTCAACAGATATTCATTTTGTGTGTTCCAAGCACTAGAAACTAGGTGTAAGGAATATAGCGCTGAAAAAAAGCCTCTTTTCGCAGGGAGCTTACTTTCTAGATTCTCTTCACAAAAATGGAATCATTCCATACCTACAATTCTAAAGCCTGCTTTTATTCCATTTAAAGTATATTGCATGCATTATTATGCTAAGTATAGATCTATGCAGTATTTTCAAATGACTGCTTAATAGTTCAGCATTTGCTCCATTATGAATCTAATTCCTTAATAATAAAGTTTCCAATGTGTTCTGTTATTATATTTATATTTTATGTTTATATTTTATGTTTATTTACTTATATAAACTTCACACTCCAGTGTTCTGTTTTGTTTTGTTTTTGAGACAGGGTCCTGCTCTGTCACCCAGGCTGGAGTGCAGTGGCAATATCGCAGCTTACTGCAGCCTCGAACTCCAGGGCTCAAATGATCCTCCCACCTCAGCCTCCTGAGTAATTGGAACCACAGGCGCATGCCACCATGCCTGGCTAATTTTGTTTATTTTTTGTAGAGACAAGGTCTCACTGTGTTCCCCAGGTTGGTCTGTAACTCCTGGAATCAAGTGGTCCTCCCACCTCAGCCTCCCAAAGTGCTCGGATTACAAGCATGAGCCACCGCGCCTGGCCCGTACTCCAGTGTTTTGAGTCCTAGCTCATATACTCCTTTCCAAGTGAATATGTAGATCTACTTTACCATTATCTTTGTATTTCCTTGCATGGATAGTCCATTTTTAAAAAGCAGCTCCCAATTAATTGTTATCATAAACAGCAACAAATATCCTTGTGCATGTACTTACACACATTTATGTGAATGTTCATTCCTTTATTTAAACACTTTAAAATTGAAATACATGCTTGGTATAAAAATTGTAAGTACAGAAGTGTATTAAATGAAAAGTATAAGCTACATCCTATCCTTTCTTCCTACTCCCAGTTCAACTCCTTGGAAGTAAACCACAGATATTCTCTGTACATTTATTTTTCATATGAATTTCTTCCACAGATCCCATATGTGCTACCTAGTGTGTTTGATCATATAGCATCCATGCCTTCTCTCCTTCGAAACTGCACCCTGATTTTCAAGAATACCTATTCTTCCTGCACTAAATCTGCTCCAACTACTCCAGCTCCCTTATTCTTCGCACAGGTTAAAACAAATTAAAACTATTCCAGCTTGTGGGCCTGTTCACTTGCTGCTTCCATGGCCTTGAAAGCTTATCCTCAGATCCCCTTAGCTCCCTCTCTGAACATTTTAGGTTTTTGCTCAGTTTTTATCTTGTCAGTGCAGTATTCCATTACAACCCCATTTACCCCATTTAAAATGGCAGCCCCAGCCCCACGCCTCCCATCTCCCTTCTTGGTTCCACTTTTCTCTAGAGCATTATTCGTCATCTGACATTCTGTTTTCCTTATCTGCACATTTGTTTATTATTTGAATTCACCCATTAGAATGTAAGCTTCATGAGGGTAGGAATTTTTGTCTCTTTTGTCCACTGTTATATTGTTCATGCTAGAACAGTTATTACAATATAATAAATAGGTGCTTAATGAATATTTAATAGATGAATAAATAGCAGTGAAGGGCACACATAAGTTGAGGGCTATTTAGACATTAGTTTGAGTCTCAGCTTCACTAAGGCTATAATGATAGCTCTGTGATCTTGGACACATTTCTTAATTTATCTAAGCTTCCATTTCTTCATCTGTAACAGAGGGTATTCAATTTAATTGTTTCATAGGGTGTTATGATTATCAACAGAGGTTCCATCAAGAAAAATGTTTAGGGCAGTACCTGGCACATAGCAAGCACTCAACAAAGCATTTCTTCCCCTTCCCCTCCTCCTCCTCCTCCTCCTTCTTCATCTCCTCCTGCTCCTCCTCCTCCTGCTCCTCCTCTTCTTCTTCCTCTTCTCCTCCTCCCTCCTCCCCCCTCCTCCCCCTCCTCCCCCTCTTCTCCTCCTCCTTCTTCTTCCTCCTCTTTCTCCATTTTGTTATTATTATTACAAGATAAATAGCATAATCATGTTATTTTTTTTCCTTAGAGTTCCAAATTTTTGCATAGCACACAAAGCATGTGGAACCTTTCATGTGCAACAAGCTTGACTCATGTCACCCTCCAGTGTATCCTAGCATTGCAATGCAGGTAACACTGCCAAATCAAAAGTGTCCTTCTGCTTTGCTCCACCAGAGTAATTTGCTACTAGGGCAGTCATTTGAATATGGGGACACTGTAGCCTCCTTCTACATGGTAGGGAATAGCCATAAAGATTGGTCCAAGTTTAGAGTTGCTCATGTTAATGAAAACCTGGAACCTGGGACAGCGCCAGCATTTCTATACTAGTATGTAAAGACATACCTGAGACTGGGAAAAAAGAGGTTTAATGGAATTACAGTTACACATGGCTGGGGAGGCCTCACAATCATGGCAGAAGGCAAGGAAGAGCAAGTCATGTCTTACATGGATGGCAGCAGGCAAAGAGAGAGAGCCTGTGCAGGAAAACTACCATTTTTAAAACGATCAGATCTCATGAGACTTATTCACCACCAATAGAACAGTATGGGAGAATAATTTAATTATCTCCCACTGGGTCCCTCCCACAACACGTGGTAATTATGGTAGTACAATTCAAGATGAGATTTGGGTAGAGACACAGAGCCAAACCATATCAGTTTCCTCGACTGTTTAGTGATACACTCTTTTAGTTATATATACTCAAAATATATAACTATCCCATTCCTAGTTCACAGCAGCAAAGGACAAATTAGCAAAAGAAGAAACTCACTTAGTTTCTTGAAATTCAAGAAAAGAGGAAATGACCCATTCGTGTTTCTCACAGACTAATTCCCAGAAACTACTAGCCAAGACTCAGGCTCCAAGTTTAGGCATTACCATATTTTTCATTCACTCAACAAAGTTTTTTAAATAAACTCTATGGGGAAGTTACCATAAAATATGCCATGAAGACTCTTTCTGCCTAAAGATAATTGTTACTAGTTATAAAAGTCATAAAAGCTGTTTATTGAGAAATTATTGTTTCAGGCATTCTAAGCAGGAATTTAAAATGATTGGGGTGTAGCAGATATGATGAAATCTACATTACAGATAAGAAAACTGAGGTTCAAAGAAGTTACCTATGCAAGGTCACAAGATAGATTGTGACTGAGCCAAGAGTCAAACCCAATGCTGAAAAACTCGAAAGCCCGCAATTTTTGCAACATTTTATATTGCTTCTGAATATTTTAATCTAGAGGGGAAAAATATAAAAGCTTATCAATAATATAAATTATATGTAAGTTATTCAATTGCATCCAAGAAGCATTTATTGAGGATATAAAGCACTATTATGCATTTGAAGGAGGTATAAAGTCTTGAATAAGATAGTCTACCCAGATCTTCTTTAGGGGATTGTACTCTAATATAGTACAAATAAGTGCTATAACTGAGTTAGCAGAGAACCTTATTTCTCATTAAAGAAGATCAGAGAATGTATCACAGATAATGTAAGTTAGCCACTTCTGGAAGGTTATAAGAGTATTTCAGCAAGTGGAGAAGGGTGGAAAGAACACAGCTAAGCACAGATACTTGGTGTGATATTGAGCATGAGTGAGTAGTCTGAAGGGGCAATTACTTTTGCGCCAACCTAAAAGAGCTATAAAGAGATTCACTGGCTATAGGAGGCAAGCCACATCTTTGCCAGGAAAAGGGTCATGGGACACTGTAGACCAGGAAGGTTGAGCTGGATGATATCACAGCAAAAATGCAGCAATTCAGGAAAATCTGGATGCAGAAGGATTGTGAATCACAGGCTTGGAGTTGCTGGGCCACACGAACTGGAGAGATGTGGTAATAATGGGGAGACGACTGTGTGTAGAAGTAGCCATTCTCAAGGTTCCAGATGGAACTGTGGAATGGTGATAGGATCATTTCAACAGGCTCAAAATGTCCATTTCTGACCAGCTGTACCATGGGTTTGAATCATCAAAACCTTCAGTCTTGCAGTAGGATTACTTTGAAATGGCTTCACTAGAGTGGGGGCCTGGTCTTTGTTGACAGGAATGGTGTGGAGCAGCCTTAGGTTAATGGTATGACTACTGAAAAGTAAACCCTCAAATGCTGGTGTTTTCCCAGTGTAGTGTCTTAGCCCCAACAGATCAACAAAGACCTTCTTGTAGAATATTGCCAAAAAAGATGCTTTTGTTTTGAATGCTCTTCTAATGGTTCCTGAAAGTATTAGGTTCGTGCAAAAGTAACTGCGGGTTGTGAGGTTTTTTATTGTTGTTTTTTGTGTTTTTTTGGCCATTAAAAGTAATGGCAAAAACCGCAATTACTTTTGCACCAACCTAGTATTTGATTGTTCCCTAATTCAAAGTGTTTTATTGATGCCAGAGGAACCTAAGAAATACTCTGTGGGGGTTTAACGCAGGTATCTATTGTTTTTTCAGTTACAAGACTTACTGTTAGTTTAAACCTTGACATAGAAGATAATAGATAAAAGCATACTATTATTCTGGTAGAAACTAAAATGGCTGCTCAGGTGAGGCTGTACTGTTTTTCTGTTATTCTGAATTGACTGGTAGTTTGATTAAATGTATTATTTTACACTGAAAATGTACACCAATAACTATGGCTATAACGTGTTTAATTGTATAATTTACTATGGGTGGATTTTAGTTATTGAAAGGATATTGCTTTTAAAATGTGCTTTTTTTTTTTTTTGAAACAAAGTCTCGCTCTATTGCTCAGGCTGGAGTGCAGTGAGTGGCACAGTCTTGGCTCACTGTAACCTCTGCCTCCTGGGTTTAAGTAATTTTCCTGCCTCTGCAACCCAAGTAGCTGGATTACAGGCATGGGCCACAATGCCTGGCTAATTTTTGTATTTTTAGTAGAGATGGGGTTTCACCATGTTGGCCAGCCTGGTCTCAAGTGATCGCCCGCCTCAGCCTCTTAAAGTGTTGGGATTGGGATCACAGGTGTTAAAATGTGCGGTGTGATCTCGGCTCACTGCAACCTCCACCTCCTGGGTTCAAGAGAGTCTTTCGCCTCAGCCTCCCAAGTAGCTGGGATTACAGGTGCCTGCCACCATGCCCAGCTAATTTTTGTATTTTTAGTAGAGACAGAGTTTCACCATATTGGCCAGGCTGGTCTTGAACTCCTGACCTCAAGTGATCCACCGGCCTCGGCCTCCCAAAGTGCTGGGATTACAGGCATAAGCCACTGCGCCCAGCAAAATGTGCTTGTTCTTGTAATGATGTCTTAAGGTTCTGAATATCACATACAACATAAAACCATGTGTTTTCACTCTTAAAATCCCCACTGGGAAAGAAAGTTCACCTGAGTGCTACTGAGATTTGCTCCATTCTCTAAAGTGGAAGAGGCTGTGAGGAGGCAGAGTCGAGTTGAGAGCACTACTACTTTCAAGTCGGGAATCCCTGCCTCAAAGCGTTGCCCCAGAGCCATATGACACACACAAGCTGTTCACCTTTCTTAATGTTAGAACCTGGCCTCCTCAAGAGAAGAATCTTGTTAATCATACCAACAACTATTTTGTTCTTTCTGCCTCACGCTTTGCAAGGCAAAGGGGTGCAGGAATTGGAAGGCAGAGTGGATACTCCTCTTCCTTCTCCTGCTACTACTACTATTGCTACTGCTGCAAACACTACCAGTTCTTTGGCTGCTAGCTAAGATTTATTGGGCATTTTCTATTTGCTATACCTTACTCTAAGCATTCAAATATATCAATTCAATCTTTATAGTAACTCTTCCAAGTAGCTATTTTTAATCTCCATTTTACAGGTGATGATCTGAAACACAGTGATATGGGTAGGCTTTGTTTTCTCACCCAAATCTCATCTTCAATTGTAATCCCCAGGTGTTGTGGGAGGGACCAGGTGGGAGATGATTGGATCATGGGGGCAGTTTTCCCCATACTGTTCTCGTGATAGTGAGGGAGTTCTCATGAGATCTGATAGTTTTATACATGGCAGTTTCCCCTGGGCCTTTTTCTCTCTCCCGCCACCTTGTGAAGAAGATGCCTTCCTTTCTGGCATGATTGGAAGTTTCCTGAGACCTCCCCAGCCATGCAGAACTGTGAGTCTATTAAACCTCCTTTCTTTATAAATTACCCAGTCTCGGATAGTGTCTTTATAGCAGTGTGAAAACAGACTAATCCACGCAGCAAGGATACATAACTGGCCTGAGTTTACACCACTAGTAACTGGTAGAGTTTGGTCTAACTTAATCTACTTTATCAGAAAATGAAAGCATTAACATGTACTCTTTTAAAAATATTTGTTGACATACTCCAACATGTAACTCCGTGATAAAATTTCTTCCACGGAGGCTGAATAAACAACTGAGCCACTTGGCCAGCTTTGACCCTCCAATATATTTCTATCTACAAAAATAGCACAGTTTATCATCTTTTTAAGAATAGGAGGTTTATAGTTAGAGGGAAAGTGGAGTCATTTTTCTGCTTCCATGACTAGGAATTGATCTCTTTTGTATAGTTGTCTAAAGGTATGTTAATAAATATGAGGGAATTCACATTGCCTATCTGAAAATTTTGTTTTGCTTTGTCGTATTGGGTTTCTTTTGGGAGGACATAAAGTGATGCGAATTCTTCTGACCCTCATTCCAGGGTATAAGAAAGAGATAAATCCACAAAGGCATACTAATAATTGCCTACATAGTATATCTGCTTGGGGCAATGATATTTTGAGCCTTGGAGAAAGACTCTGAGGTACAGCAGTGACAGTTGGCCATTAATACAAAAATTGATTTTCTGAAAAAACTTTCTAATATGATCTGAGAAGATGTCAGACTTTTTCTGCAAGTAAGAGATTAAGATATGGTTATTGTCAGAGTCATAAGACTGCTATCCATGTAGAAAAGTTGTTTGGTGTAAAAATTCCATGAAATAAATTCCTTCATTGAGGTTCAATACAGTTTATCAAAACAGGACATTTTGTTTCAGCTGTGAACCAGATAGGAAAGACTAGAGTAAGAGCAAGGAAATCATGCAGACTGGGAAGAAAGATGAAGGTAGCATGTGAGAAGAAAGTAGAAGGAGGCAAAAATCAGAGAAGGAACAAATTGCAATCCAATCACTAGATGAGTATAAAAACTAAAAATATTCTGATTGATGTGATCCTGAGAAGTTTCTTTTACCATTGTTCCTTACAAAATTCAAAAAGGTGTTCTGAAAAGAAGATAATTTGGCAGAAAATATGGCTTATTTTTCTTCCTCTTTTTTCAAAGATTGTGATGTTCTGAATTGTGGACACATTGCCTTAAGCCTTTTCTTATGGTATTTTTTGTGATACAGCGAATGTAATTCTAATGAAATTATTGTTATTACTCTTTTCCTTTAGGGTTTATACAACTTATGCCATCCATTCGCCAACTTTGATGTCATGAGACATTTCCTTAAATGTTCTTATAAAAGTTTTACAATTTTGCGTTTTTTACATTTAAATCATTTTAATCCATCTAAATTGTGCGTGTGTGCATGCATGTGTGCATGCATGTAAAGCAGGATCTAATTTTACATATTGTTCCATATGGAGAGCCAATTGTTCCAGAACAATTTATTGAATAATTATTTCCTTATTCATTTTTAATGTTATCTTTGTCATATTTCAGGTTCTTATATGTACATAAATCTGTTTTTGGACTTTTGATTCTGTTCTGTTTGAATTACAATAGCCTTGGAATAAGTCGTGAAATAAATGTTTTTACGCTTTTGTATGAATTTCATGATCAAATTCATACAAATGAATCAAATTCCATGATATACTCTGCTGAAGTTTTAATAGAAATGTCTTTGAATTTGAAGATAATTATTATATGATGATATTGTATTTTTAAACACAAATGAGGTACTTCCCTATTTAGGGCCTCATCTATGTTTTTCTAAGTTTTTCAATAAGGATTTATAATTTTTTCCGTTAACATGTTTGTACATATTTTGTCATCTTTGTTTGTAGGTGACATATAGTTTTGTTGCTATTATGGATGACATCACCACCATCATTATAATAATTACTAGCGTAATATTATTACATATTCTGATTGATTTACTAATTGTCACATTACCACCAATTTGAAGTTTGTGTAGTCTCGCATATTTTCTAAGTAACAATTATGTTTTCTGTGAATAATTGTTTTTCTTTTCTAATTTTATTGGAGGTTTGATGGGGGTAATGATATTTATTATTTTACTCTTTATTCTATCTCTAATTTTTGAATTTTTAAAAATCAACCTTGAGGTATAATTTTTATAAAATGAAATCCACTCACATAAAGTATACAGTTTAATGAGTTTTCCAAATGTATACACCAATGTAAAAACCATCAAAATCAAGCTATAGAACATACACATTATCTCAAAAATCTTTCTTAGGTTTTTCTTTTTTTTTTTTTTTTTTGAGACAGAGTCTCGCTCTGTCACCCAGGCTGGAGTGCAGGGGTGCAATCTTGGCTCACTGCAAGCTCTGCCTCCCGGGTTCATGCCGTTCTTCTGCCTCAGCCTCCCGAGTAGCTGGGACTACAGGTGCCCGCCACCACGCCCGGCTGTTTTTTGTTTTTTTTTTTTTTTAGTAGAGACGGGGTTTCACCGTGTTAGCGAGGATGGTCTCGGTCTCCTGACCTCGTTCTCCGCCCGCCCCGGCCTCCCAAAGTGCTGGGGGATTACAGGCGCGAGCCACTGCGCCCGGCCCTTAGGTTTTTCTAAATTCGCCCGCCCCCAGTCTCAGGCAACCACTGATCGATCCATTTTTACTTGCTATAATTTTGTGTTTCCTAGAATTTCTTATACATGGAGTCATCTATTATGCAGGAATCATATATTTATAGTCTTTTACAGCTCACGTCTTTCCTTTAGCATGATATTTTTTATATTTACCTATATTATTTCACTTACCAATATGTCATATTTTATTGCTGAGTAGTATTCTATTGTATATCTATACCAAAATTCCATTTATACAAATTGATGAACTTTGAGTTGCTTCCAGATTCGGGCTATCAGAAATATTTTTAATGTCTTTTGGTGAGGAAACACACTTTCGTTTTTATTTTGAGACGGAGCCTCGTTCTGTCGCCCAGGCTGGAGTGCAGTGATGCGATCTCGGCTCACTGCAACCTCCGCCTCCCGGGTTCAAGCGATTCCCCTGCCTCAGCCTATGGAGTAGCTGGGACTACAGGCGTGCACCACCATACCCGGCTAATTTTTTGTGTTTTTAGTAGAGACGGGGTTTCACCATGTTGGCCAGGATGGTCTCGCTCTCCTGACCTGGTGATCCGCCCGCCTCTGTCTCCCAAAGTGCTGGGATTACAGGCTGAGCCACCGTGCCCGGCCAGGAAACACACTGTTTTTGGTAATGCCTAGGAGTGAAATTGATATGTGAAATACTAAGTGTGTGTATAACTCTATAAGAAACAGCCAGAATGGTTTTTCAGAGTGGTTGTATAATTTCACACTCCCATCAACAATATGTCAGAGTTCCAGTTGCTCTGCATCTCCACTGAAATTTTATGTTGTTAGGTGTTGCATTTTAACTGATCTAATGATGTTATCTCATTGTGATTTTAATTTGCATTTCTTAGATGACTAATTATGTTAAGCATTTTTATGAGTTTATTGGCCATCTTATATCATCTCTTGTGAATTGTTTGTTCAAATATCTCCCGTTTTTTTATTTGACTTCTTAATGCTGTTACATGTCCTTTTTATATAGTTTATTATTTATGTTTATTTATATATTTCAAGTTAGTTTTGGTGAATTGTATGAGTAATCAAAATTTATTGTTCTTGTTGTTTTTAATATGAATATCCTGTGGTTTGTTGTTTCAGAATCATGTTTTTAAAAGACTATATCTTTTTATGGTTGCGTAGTGTTCAAAATGTACAGGATATAATCCCAAACTATTCAGCATATGAAGGACCACAAACATCTCAACTGATGATGAGTTCTCCCAGGTTTTGTGTGTCTGAAAAAGCTTTTGTTTTGCCTTTTTTTAAAATGATATTTTCATTGCATATTTAATTCCGGTCTGGCACCTTAAAGATGTTGTTCCATTGTCTTCTGGTTTGCATTACTTATGACAGGAAGCCTGTTTTTATATATATATATATTTCTTGCCCTTTACATACTGTGTCTTTTTTTCCTCTGGCTACATTTTAGACAGCTGGTTTTTAGCAATCTGATTATGCTGTGTACGTGTTTTTTGTGTAGAAGGATGTTGGTGTATGTGTGTGTGCATATGTGTGTGTGTGTCTGTTCATCCTGCTTGTGGTTCATTGAGTTTCTTGAAACTAGGTTTATAGTTTATATAAAATTGGAAAAATTTCAGTCATTACTCTGCCCTTATTTCATCAAATCTAAAATTTTTCAGTCATTATTCTATACCCTACTTTTTCCCAATACACATACTTAATACGTTCTGTATTTGACTGCGACTCTGATTTTGAGGGGTGTTTTGTTTCTCTGTATGCATACATTTGGCTAAAATATGCTATGTGTTTATATTTATGAATTTTTTCTTCTGCTTCCAATCCCATCTAGAGAAATATTCTTTTCTATTGTATTTTTCATCTTTGAATTTCCATTTGGTTATACTTTTTAAGTATTCTATTTCCCCCCTTGTTATGTTAATGCTTCTTATATCATTTAGGTAGTTATAACAGCTCTTTTACAATTCTTGTCTGCTAGTTCCATTACTTTGTTATTTATGGGTCTGTTTCTATTGAATGATTTTTCTCCTGATCATTGGTTATATTTTCCTGCTTCTTTGTATATCTCATATTTTTTAATTGGATAATGAGTATTGTAAATTTTATATTTTAGAGTGCTTGGGTTTATGATGTTTCTTTAGATTCCTTGGACTTTCTCTGGCAGGCAATTTGTTACTTAAATATTACTTTCATTTTTTTCAAGATTTGTCTTTAAGCTCATTTCAGGCTTAAAGTAGCCAATATTTTTCTGGGGCTAATTTTGCTGTGCTTCTCAGTCATGGCCTTTCTTGATTCTCTACTGAATTTCCTCAGCATAGAATATAGTCTCTTTAGCTGAAAAAGCTCAATTTCCAACCCTGTGTGAGCTTTAGGAACAGTTCAGTATATAGGCCCCAGTTATTATTCTTTCCCAATATATTCGTTGTCTGTTACAGCATAACCATATTTCCACAAATTTAGTAGCTCAAAACACATTTATTATCTCGGTTTCTGTGGGTCAGAAGTTTGAGTACAACTTAGCGAGGTCCTCTGCAAGACAGCAATCAAGGTGTCAGACAGGAGCGTGGTTTCATCTGAGGAAAAATCTCCTTGCCAACTCACATGGCCTTGAGCAGCATTCAGTTTCCTTGCAAGTGGCCAGACCAGTGACAATAGTTGCTCACTGGCTGTCAGCCAGAGGTTATCTCCCGGTCCCTGTTGCATCACCAGTAGGCAGTTCACAATATGGCAGCTTACTTCTTCAAAGCCAGCAAGGTAGAGACTGCGTGATCTCTACCATGGTTTCTCATGGTGTTTTTGATTTGCATGTCTCTAATGATTAGTGATGTTGAGCATCGTTTTATGGGCTTATTGGCCATTTATATTTATTTGTTTCCTCACCAACCTTTGTTTTTCTGCTTTGTTTTCTTTTATAGAGCCATCCTAATAAGTGTGAGATGGTTCCTCATGATGTTTTTGATTTGCATATCTCTAATGATTAGTAATCGTCATGTACATGATTCAACGTATATGATTAGATTACATAAGACTGTAGTGCCCAATCTCATTCTTTTGCATGTGGATATCCAGTTTCCCAACACTGATTGCTGAAAAGACTATTCTTTCCCCATTAAATAGTCTTAGCACTTTTGTCAAAAATTATTTGAACATATATGCAAGGGTTTATTTCTGGGCTGCTTATTCTGTTCCATTGGTTTACATGTCTGTCATTATACCAATACCGCATTGTTTCGACTCCTATAGCTTTGCAACTTTGAAATTAAAAAAATGTGAGACCTCCAGCTTTGTTTTTCAAGATTGTTTTGGCTATTTGGCATCTCTTGATATCCCATACCAAATTGGAAAGAATTTTTCTATTTCTTACAAATAACTATTGGGATTTTTGATTAGAATTTAAAAAATCTAGATCACTTAGGGTAGTACTGATCTCATAAAAATATTACGCCCTCCAATTCATGAGCAAAGGCTATCTTCCCACTTGTATTTTCTTTAGTTTCTTTCAGCTACATTTTGTAGATTTCCTAGGTTAAGTTTATTCTAAGTATTCTTTTTGATGGTATTACAAATGGAATTGTTTTCTTAATTGCCTTTTTGGATTGTTTGTGTATAGAAATCAACTGAATTTTGTGTGTTGATACTCTATCCTGCAACTTTGCTGAATTCATTTATTAGTTCTGATAGGGTTTTTAATGGAATCTTTTGGGTTTTCTACATACATGATCATGTCATCTATAAATGGAGATAATTTTACTTCAACCTTTCCAATTTGGGTGCCACTTATTTATTTATGCCTATTTGCTCTATCTAGGATTTTCACACTGTGTGAAAAGCAGACATCCTTGTCTTGTTAATCTTAAGGAAAATGTTTTCAGTATTTTACCATTGAGCATGATATTAGCTGTTTTTTAATATATGGCCTTCTTATGTTTAGCTGGTTTCTTTCTATTCATTAGTTTCCTTTGTATATGATAGTTTCCTTCTTTTTCTAAATGTTTAGTTTTTTTTTTTTTATCATGAAAGAGTGTTGAATTTTGTGAAATGCTTTTTCTGCATCAATAAAGATGATCATATGGGTTTTTCTTCATTTTGCTAATGTGGTATATTGTAGTGATTGATTTTCAGATATTTGATTATCCTTGCATTTCAGGAATAACCTCAATTGGTCAAGTCATACAATTCTTTTGGTATGCTGTTGAATTCTCTTTGCTAGTATTTTATTGAGGTCTTTTGCACCAGTATTGTGAAGCAAGTAACATCTGTTGCCTATCACCCTAAGTAGCAGTTCTAGGACATCAAACTCCTGGATGGTTTGCATTTGTCTTCCAACTTGCAAGAAAGTTGCCAAGAAAGGCGCAACTTACACAGGCATTGGATGGAACAATGCTTTACTTACATAAAGAAGGGGCAGAAAAACATCAGCTTAAATTGTGAGCAAGGGTCCTTCATGGCCAACAGATTTTGCCTCACAGCTGATGCAAGGAAACTGTCTACTGCAAGTGTAGAACCTTGACCCCCTTCCCCATGGGGTCTGAAATATAAAAAAAGAGGGGTGAGGCTGAGCTCCACTGACACACACGTTTAAGCAGAACAAAGGAGTATACACCAATCCTGCAACAGGGAAAGATATTCCCAAACACCCAAACAGATACGCCCAGCACAAGCTGTGAGGGCTCCTTATTTCCCTGTAAGGAAATGTTCCAGGCTCACAGCCAGTCTTATGTGGCTATGCAGAGGGCAATAATCTGTGCATGACTGCCTTTCCCCACAAGTATCCACCAGGGATACTGGTCTGTAGTTTCCTTTTCTTGTAATGTCTTTATATCAGGGTAATGCTGGCCTCACAGAATACATTTGCAAGTGTTCTGTCCTCTTCAATTTTTTGGAAGAATTTGAGGATCATTGGTGTTAAGTCTTCTTTACACTGTGTTTGATAGATTAACCAGTGAAGCCACCTGGGTTTAGGGTTTTCTTTGTTGAGAGGTGTTTGATTACTGATTTAATCTCCATACTAGTTATAGGTCTGTTCATATTTTCTTTAATGATTCAGTCTTGGTAGGTAGTGTTTTTCTCAGAATTTATCCATTTTATCTAAGTTATCAAGTTTGTTGGCATACCATGTTCTTAGTACTTTCTTATAATCTATTTTATTTCTGTTAAGTTGGTTGTGGTGTCCCCTTGTTCTTTTCTAATTTCGTTATTTGACTCTTTCTTTTTTTGTTAGTCAATGTAGCTAAAGACTTGTCAATTTTGTCAGTCTTTTGAAGAACCAGCTTTTAGTTTTGTCGATTTACCTATCTTTCTGTTATCTGTTTTGTTTCTCTGCCTTAAACTTTATCGTTTTTTTCCTTTTGCCAGTTTTGAGTTTAGTTTGTTCTTTCTCTAGCTGCTTAAGGTATACATTTAGGTTGTCAATCTGAGATATTTTTAATGCAAGCATTTATAGCTATAAATTTCCCTCTTAGCACTACTTTCGCTGCATCTCATAAGTTTTAGTATGTTATGTTTTCATTTTTGTCTCAATATATTTTCTAATTTCTGTTGTGATTTCTTGACATGTTGGTGGCTTAAGAGTGTGTTAATTAATTTCCACATATTTTTAGGTTTTCCATTTTTCCTTCTTGCTATAATTTTTAGTTTTATCCCATTGTGATTGGAAAATATATTTTGTATTATTTCAATATTTTAAAATTCATTAAGACTTGACTTGTGACCCAAAATATAGTCAGTCCTGGAGAATGTTAGATGTGTATTTGAGAAAAAATGTGTATTTGGCTGTTAGGTGGAGTGTTCTGTATATATTTCTTAGGCCCAATTAGTCTAGTGTTTTTCAATTCCTCAATTTCCTTTATTGATTTTCTCTCTGGTTCTTCTATTCATTATTGAAAATTGGTCATTGACATCTCCTACTATAATTATAGGAACACTTGTTTCTTTAATTCTGTCAGTGTTTGCTTCATGCAGTTAGGAGCTCTTATGTTTGGTGCATATATGTTCATAACCATTAAATCTTCTAGTAAACTGACCCTTTTATTATTATATACTGTCCTTTCTTGTCCCTCTTCGCAGTTTTTATTCTATTTTGTCTGATAGTAGTATAGCCACTTCTATGTTAGTTACTATTTACATGAAATATCTTGTTATCCTTTCACTTTCAATCTATGCATGTCCTCAAATCTAAAGTGAGTCTCTTTTAGAAAACAAATAATTGGACTGTTTTTTCAATCCATTCTGCCAATCTAATATCTTTGAGAAGTTAATCCATTTACATTTAAAATACTGATAGGAGAGAGCTTTCTGTTGTCATTTTGTTGTTTTCTGTATATTTTACATTTTTACACCTTATTTCCATCCTTATTGATTTCCTTTGTGTTTAGTTGATTTTTTGTAGTGACCAGAGACAAATTATACCATAAACACATTATGCTTTATTGAGAAATCTCTGCCTGTAGTCTCTTGCCCCAAGTGAGTCTATAGATAATATTAAATAATCTAATGTATAATTTAAAATATTTCCTTTATTTTATGGTCTAATTAGCAGAAAATTTAAGACATTTTGACTCCCTTCTCATTTTCTTTTGAGTACTCATTTCCTTTTGAGAATATTCTATAGATATTTTCTTTGATGTTTAATCATGGATTATTATATACAATATCCTGATGTCATAACAATCTATTTTAAACTGATACCAACTTAATGGTTGTAAACAAAAGCTGTACTCTTTTACAGCTCTACTCCACTTTTGTTATTGATGTTACAAATTACAATTTTATATATCGTATACCTATTAACAGATATTTATAATTATTTTTTATTCTCTTGTCTTCTCTGGTCTTTTCTGGGCATGTATCTTCCCTGAGCCTGTGCATGTGCTTTTTTCTTAATCCCTTCCTATATACACAGCTGTTTTTAAATGTCTTAATTTCCCTATGAGTTTCACCCCTGCATTTTCTCAAGGACTTATATTTCCTACTGTATTTCTCTGCCTATAGTCTTTTGTTCCAGGTAAATTTACAGATAATATTGAAAACTTTAATGTCTGATAATTTAAATTTTTTATTTTATGCCATAATTAGCACAGCACAGTCAAATCGCATTATATGATAAATTGCCATTTATTTATTATATAATTTGTTTCTTGTCACTTCTCTTTGACTTCAAAGTCCATGTTGTTTCCGTTACATGGAAGATTGAGGGAAACATTTTAGGAAGTGTCAGAGCAACAAGCTAGAAGCCTGGGAGCTGTGTCATGTCATCCTGGTCTGTACAGTTGATGCTATCATGTAGGACAGATAATCTTTTGTATTATTGTGTGTTAGGCCATTCTTGCATTGCTATAAGGAAATACCTGAGACTGGGTAATTTATAAGAAAAGAGGTTTAATTGGCTCACAGTTCTGCAGGCTGTACAGGAAGTATGGCAGCATCCGCTTCTGAGGAGGCTTCAGGGAGCTTTAATTCATGGCAGAAGGCAAAGCGGGAGCAGGATGTCACATGTCAAAAGCAGGAGCAAGAGGTGTGGGGAGGGACTATATGCTTTTAAATGACCAGATCTCACAAGAACTCACTCACTACTATGAGGACAGTACCAAGGGGATGGTACTAAATTATTCATGAGAAACCACCTCCATGGTCCAATCACCTCCCACCAGGAGACTTGGATGGGGACACAGATCCACAGGACCATATCATATCACAAAGTTAATTTCTTAACTGGCTTGCACAGGTAAAGTTTCTTCTTACACTTTGCAAATATTTATTTATATAAGTTGTTCCCTTTGCTTATTAAAATTTCCAGCTCTTGTAAATCTTACCAGCTCTGTGACATTTTTGTTAGAAGGATATGCCATCCCATAATCGATCACCATGAATAAATTCAGTAATAGTTTAAAAACCAAGAATGAATGTCATCAAAAATTTCCAATTTTAGTGAATTCTTAAATGATAGAAAGTATTTTTAAAGCCCAGAATCAACAGACACATCAGGCAAGAAGATGCTCTGGGGCAAGCTTCAAAGGGACAATTGTTAATCTACAGTCTCATCATGTAGGTCAGAAGTTCCTCCCTCCCTACATCCCTTCTTCCCCTCTCCCTTATCCTTTTTTCCGTCCTTGCCTTCACTTAGATGAGTAGCAGTTCTTAGTGGTTCTTGTCCACAGACTCTGATAGTAACTGTGAGCACTAGAGACAGAAAATTAGAAAGATTCCAAGAGAGCCAAGGACTCCAGATCAGCAGAATAGACAGCACTGCAGAGAGGACCAAAGAGCTAGAATGAAGTATATCAAGTGTGATCTACAGAGCACCTGCACCAAATTTACCTGGAGTGCTTCTTAAAAATGCAGATTTCTGGAGCCTATAGTAGATACACTGTATCAAAATCTGTAGCAGTCTCATTTCCAGGAATCTGGATGTTTAACAAACTTCACAGGTGAATGTTGTGACTCAAGTGTGGTCTTCACATTAGCAGCATTGACATCACCTGGGGCTTGTGAGAAATGCATAATCTCAGGCAGACCCCAAACTTACTCAATCTTAGGATTCCCAGGTGACTTGTATACACATTAACAGTTGAGGATCACTGATTTTCCAATCCATTGCGGCAGCAGAAGTCTTCAGATTGTGAATTTCAACAGTATTAATGGAGCAATTGAAATAGCAGCCACCCAAAAAGTGGCTTGCTGTTGTACTGATCAGATCTTCCAGTGACTTCTCTCCTTGAAAGGTATTTGAAAGCAGAACTAGTTCCTTTGGATTGAGCAAATCCTAGGATTCGATGGAATAATTTGGGGGCAGAAAAGGGGAAAACCCCAAGGACTTCTTAGTAATCATAAATTCTTTTACAGGCTAGGACTAGTGTCTTACTCATCATGAGCACAAAATTTAGGGGGGACATCAAAAGCCTCAGTAATCAAGATACATCATGTTTTAGTGAAATGTTTTTAAAATTTAAAAACCTATGCAAAAATATCCAGGATGAACAAAATATCAAAATTTTATATAAAAACTGGATCAGCATGACAGATTTTTCCTATTGTTTCAGACTTCAGTATGGCTTGGAATAGCACTGTTACTAATCCTGTATTTAAAATTTGGATACTTTATTCATAATAAATTTGTTTGTATTAATTTATTAGATATTGCATTGAAATAGTATGTATCTTAATTACTGAGCTATTTGGTACATGCCTCCTTAAATTTTACGCCCAAGGTGAGTGCCTCATCCTCTCATCCTAGTCCTGGATCTCCTCTCTCACCAGTGTGTACAAGACACTAATGCACACAATCATGTGCTGTACTTTAACTTGACCCAGATTTATAGACAGATAAGATTCTCCCAGGCATTTCCAGCTCACTTAACTAAGTTCACTTTTCTTTGACTTTGGATTGAGACAAAGCACAGTATAGTAGCTAATTCAGGCTCTGGAAGCTGATTGTCTTGATTCCAGGTATGGCTCTACTACTTAGAGAGGGTGACCTTGGGCAAGGTATTTAACCTCTCCAGGTCACTGTTTGCTCACCTATAAAATAAGTAAAATAACAATACCTCAGAGAATTGGTGTGAAGTAACATACAAAGTGTTTATTACAGTTCCTGACATATATTAATCATAAAGTATTATCTCTATTATAATTACTGTTTAATATGGTTTGGCTCTGTGTCCCCACCCAAATCTCATGTCGAATTATAATCCCCAGTGTTGGAGGAGGGGCCTGGTTGGAGGTGATTGGATCAGGGGAATGGCTTATAATGGTTTAGCATAATCTTCCTAGTGCTGTCTTATGATAGAGTTCTCCTGAGATCTGCTTGTTTAAAAGTGTGTAGCATCTCCTTCCTCTTTCTCTTTCTCTCCTGCTGGCCATGTGAAGATATACCTGTTTCCCTTCACCTGCCACCATGATTGTAAGTTTTCTGAAGCCTCCCCGGAAGCAGAAGCCTGTACAACCTGCAGAAACATGAGCTGATTACACTTTTTTTTAATGAATTACTCAGTCTCAGGCATGTCTTTGCAGCAGTGTGAGAATGGACTAATATACTGTTTTTGTTATTATCCTGGATCCTGATGAGATTTTGCCTTGCAACTCTTTCAGTCACTGACAAAGTTAACTACTGTGTGTTTGATCTCAGTTTCCTCTTTAGTTTCCACCCAGGGTAGAGTGCAGTGGCAAAATCTCAGCTCACTGCAACCTCTGCCTCCTGAGTTCAAGCGATTCTCCTGCCTCAGCCTCCCGAGTAGCTGGGATTACAGTTGTGTGCCACCACGCCAGCTAATTTTTGTGTTTTTAGTAGAGACAGGGTTTCACCATGTTGGCCAGGCTGGTCTTGAACTCCTGACTCCAGGTGATCTGCCCACTTTGGCCTCCCAAAGTGCTGGGATTACAGATGTGAGCCACTGCACCCAGCCTAGTTTCCATCTTGAAACTATGATTAAAATAACGTATGCCTTAACTTTCTTAGATGCTTCCCAATGGCACATCTTTCTTGGCAAAAAAAGTGAAGAAAGTTTTGCATACTAACAACAATTAACTATTAATACTCTGGAAGCTTCTGCTAGTTTTTTTCAGAGTCTGTCTTTTTTAAATTAAAAAACTTTTTAGTATTGAAATATTCAAAATACACATAAAAGTAAGGAGAATAATGTAATGAATCCCCCTTGGACCTATCACCCAGCTTCCAGATTAAGATTATCAATACCTTAATCTTGGTTCATCTCTCTTTCCCTCCACTCACACATAGTTATTTTCTAGAGTAGTGAAAAAATTCCAGACATCATCTCATTTCACCCATAAATACTTCAATATCTGAAAGCTTTTTGAACCTAAATTCCTCCAAAAAAAAAAAGTTTAGATGAAAACTATTACATAATCCTAGTGATACACAATGTAACTGATTTTACTATTCTAATGTGGTATCTGTGCACTTTCTTTGACACACAGTGGAGGTGGGGTAGAAAGAAAAACTGGATTCTTTTTCCCGTAGTACAGCAAATAGGAAATGTCAAGAGTGGGTCATAAAACGGGACCCAAGTCAGAGATGACTTGGATCAGGTGCCAGTGACAATGGGTCTTTACATGATATTTTGTAGTCTCCTTATTGGAACACCTTACCAGAACAAATGGATCTCATTTTAATGAATATATCATTTGTCACCATAATCAACAATGCCTGCTGGCATGTGGGAAGGGTACGTAATGAAATTTAGAGTTCTGCGTACAAAGATGGTAATACAGGATAGATGAAATATTTCTTTATACAAGTACAAAGGGAGGGACACACAGACGCTTCCAACCAAAACAATCAATTAAAAAAATAAGCCATCAAGCCACAAAAAGAGAAGAGCCTTAAATGTACACTGCTAAATAAAAGAAGCCAATTTAAAAAGGCTACATACTATATGATTCCAACTATATGACATTCTGGAAAAGGCAAAACTATAGAGATAGAAAAAAATCAGTGGTTGCCAGAGGTTCTGGACAAGGAAGAAGATGACTGGGTGGAGCACAGGAGAATTTTAGAGCAGTGAAACTATTCTGTATGATATTGCAGTGTTAGATACATAATGTTAGGCCCTTGTCAAAACCCATAGAGATGTACAACATGAAGAGTGAGCCTTCATGTAAACTATGGAATCTAATTGATCATAATGTATCAATTAGTTATTAAAATCTTGCATTAGCGTGGGTGAGGGCTGCATTAGTTGAGGGTGGGGCAGGGGGAGGAGGAGTATATGGGAATGCTGTCTTTTAAACTCCTTTTTCTGTAAACCTAAAACTGCTCTAAAACAGAGTCTATTGACTTTTTAAAAACTGAATTGGTATTTCTAAGTTTGGTCTAAGAAAAAAATGATTAGGATTCCAGAGAAAATGGAATTTTCTTTAAGATAGAAATTTTCTTTATTTTAAGATAGAAATCTGGTTTCATTATTTTTGCCAAGATCAGAAGAAACTTTGCTTCTTGTCTCCCATAAATATTAGTTTTATGTATTTGTCATGTACTCTATATATTTGAGTTTTATGTATTTGTCATGCTGACTTTTTTCTGACTCTTCTTTTTGCACTATTATAAACTAAGACTTTTCTTTTAACTTCCATAATATGTTTCAAGATGTAATTCATTAGTATAAAAGGATTATGGGTGGAATTTTTTGTTTGTTTTAGAATGGACTTTAAAACAGCTTCATCCTTAAACTAATAGACCTTTCCAGGCTGCAGAGGCATCCAGATGTCTTCACTTGAACAACCATCTTTAGATGCTCCACCTGAATTCTTATTCCAAACCACTAGTCTTTATCTTAGAGTATTGCAGTTGCCTCCTGACTGGTTTTCCTGTTTGGCCCTGCTCCACACTTGCCACCTATTCTTACCAGAACAACCAGATGGGTTTCAGTAAAGTCAAATCATGCCATGACTCTACCAGAAATCCTGGAAGGAGTCCCATCTAGTCTGCCTCAGCCACACTAGCATTTTTGCTGTCCCTTGACTTTGACTTTGCTGGTTCCTCTACCTGGAGTGCTCTTCTCCCAAATATACCTCTGGTGTGCTCCCTCACTTGCTTCAAGTGTTTCCTTAAATGTCACTTGTTCATTTTGTCCTAGATTAACTACTGTATTTCAAATGTTTGCCTTCTTTTCCACTTTTGATCTGTCGCACTTATCTTCTATACAATTTTGTTTATTCATTTATCTATTGTGTTTATTCTCTGTCTCTTTTCCCTAAACCATAAACCATGTGGGCAGGGATTTTGTCTGCTTTGTTTACTGCTGTATTCTCAACACTTAAAATCGACCTGGAATGTAGTAGATGCTCAATAAATGTTTATTGAACAAATAGAATAAAAAAGGATGCCCTCTAAGAGCAAACTTCTTCTTGAGGTTTCTATAGCAACACCCATAATAAATCTGGGACACTTTCTGGAGCAATTTACTTTCACATGGTCTTCATAGACATGGACCTATTTTTAATCCCACTTTCTAATGGAAATGGCTCTAAATATGTACTGCACAGCTGTAGAATGTAAGGAATGTCAGATATGGCCTCTGATTCTCTTGAATAATTTTTGAGGACTCATAGGATAGATGTCATAATTATGTAAATAATAATTTTACTCCAAGAGCAATTGTTAAATTTAACACTCTTTCCACATTTTTATTTGTGGTAATGGTGTCCAACTTTCTTGAAGTGGTATTTCCAGATTCATATACTTGTTGCATGTTTTCCATACCAGCTTTATGGTTCAGTGTCTCCCAAAGTAATAGATTAAAAGGTATCTATTTATTACATTTTTAAAATCAAAGAATGATTGTGCATCTGCAATGTTATTTAATAGACAAGTAGAGAAGAGCTTTAACCATCCAACTGGTTCACATAGTAACTACCTCCATCAATTGAGTTCATACTGACATCTGGAGGCCAAGCCTTGGCACTACATAAAGGCTATTACCCATTTCAGAGCCCATCAGAGTAATTAGTGCCTCTAAACTTCTTTAAATAAAAATCTGAAACATCTAAAAATATCAAAAAGTAGTTAAAAAAAGAGGTTTGAACTTTCTATCTTCTACATATAGCTCTGTTTCTGAAAATTTGAGTATGAATTTGGGATAAGAATAACAGTGATGATGAGGAACATCTGAGTGCCCAGTAGATGCCAGGCAGCACAGGAGTGCTCTCATTGTGGCAACCCATTCAATCTTCAGACCACCCTATGAGATAAGAACTATTGTTATCTCCATTTTACAGTTGAAATCAAGGCTCAGAGGGATTAGTAATTTCTTAGTGTCACTTAACTAGTCTTGGTGCTGCAGAACTTGAACCCAAATTCATGTGACCAAATCCCCAGGTCCAGCACTCTTGGAGATGGACCAGTTTACACTGTTACAAAGATTCTTCAACAAGGATTGTGTTAAAAAGCATAGTTATCTTTAAAGTTGCAGTTATTGGCCAGGCACGGTGGCTCATGTCTGTAATCGCAGCACTTTGGGAGGCCAAGGTGGGCAAATTGCTTGAGCCCAGGAGATCGAGACCAGCCTAGGCAACATGGTGAAACCCTATCTCTACCAAAAAACACAAAAATTAGCCAGGCATGGTGGTGCGTGCCTGTGGTCCCAGTTACTTGGGAGGCTGAGGTAGGGGGATCACTTGAGTCCAGGAGGCGGAGGTTGCAGTGAGCCAAGATCCACCAGGCACTCCAACCTGGATGACAGAGTGAGGCCCTGTCTCAAAATAAATAAAATGAAAATAAAATAGCAATTATGTTGCACTATATTTTTGTCAAAGGACATTCCTATGAAGAATAAGCATTCTGGGTCATTCCTACAAGGAGCCAAGGTATATAACTTCCTAAGTCATAAACACTCAAAATAGACCATCAAAAATGTTACCTAGAAAGGAGGCTTAGTGGAAAGGGGCAGGAGTGTCTCAGAAACCATCATTTCCCAAAACGAAGTCTAAGGTCTACTTTTTTGATACCTAATATTTGTACATATTAATGGGGTATGTGTGAAATTTTGTTACACTTCTAGAACATGTAAGACGGATATTTAGGATATCCACTGCCTCCAACATCTATTTTTGAAGTGCTTTCTTGGGCTAAAGGAGTTGGGACTACCTCTATACTAGTAGAGACCTGAAGGGCTATTTATCCAAGGCCCATATTCGTGAAGGGGCTCAAGTAGATCTTCAAATGGGGTATACTGATGACATTGAAAGATGTCGTATAGTTTTAAGCTTATGTTCCATTAACTGTCTACCTCCATTATGTGGAGCAATGACTTTTATGAATGTTATTATCTTTTAAATAGCATAGTTATATTGCACTATATTTTTTCTAAGTATTAATTTGTTAAGTGTATTCATGCTATATTTCAACTGTTATACGTCTATTTTGGCATTCAAAAAATTTTTAGTAAACTAATAGCCTCCAAAGATGGAAGGGGCCTAGGTTTCTGTAGCCCTTTTAAATGCCCAAGTGGACAGCTCTGTACCTTCCACAAATGCGCTTGGAACATTTAGCCAAGAAAGTGTTAATCTGTGCTTTAAGGACTCTCTTCTCAAACTCAGCCTTCTCTTCTAGGAAGTAGTTTCACTAAAGTATCGTCAGGCCTTTGTTAAGTCCAACCACTCAAAAGCTACATGTTACAGATAATATGTAAGAAACTAGAAAAAGATACTTTGCTTTTGGAAGGTGGATGATTAAGTAATGAACTTCACCCAGAGCATTTTGGCTAGTGTAGTTCCTATACTTGGCTAAAGGGACTTAGCTGACTTCAGTGTTTCTCGATGATTTAATACTCCTAATAATGAGGGCATGCTTATTGTAGAAAGGGAAAAATAATTTTTTATATTAGGGTGGTGACAATAGACATCTCAAAAAAGGGAACGTTAATGTATTTTTCAATCAAAATTCATTGTAAGACTGGCAAATGTCAGTAGGCACAATGTTTTCTCTCCTCCTGTTCCTAGCCATATGCCCAGAGATCATAAATGATGAGGGTACTTCTTACACTTCGTCCCTCCAAGTTTTCCTTCATTACAAACTTGTCAACTCAATCTGTTGATGATAGCAGTCTGGCAAGAGCCAGTATCTGTCTACCAGCTTGGGAGAGAAAGAAAGATCTGTTAGGACTAAGATTGCCTGCTTCCATTATTGTACTACAGGCAGTTCTGTAAACCAATTAAAGGTGTTCACTCTGAAGCACTTTTTGTCTCCTTTTTGGGGACAATATCATCAGCCGTTGTTATTATTACTATTTACATGAGAACCAAGTGTAATAAGGTGGTAGTAAGCTGACAACCTTATGTCACCCTTGACTTCTTGCATTCCTTCGCAAAAGCCACCCAACCTCTCCAAGTTTTTTACATATATATATTTAATATATATTATATATACATATAAAATTATTTGAGTGTACTATTTACATGAGAACCAAGTGTAATAAGGTGGTAGTAAGCTGACAACCTTATGTCACCCTTGACTTCTTGCATTCCTTCGCAAAAGCCACCCAACCTCTCCCACCAAGTTTTTTACATATATATATTTAATATATATTATATATACATATAAAATTATTTGAGTGCTTTTTTTTTTTTATTGATCATTCTTGGGTGTTTCTCGCAGAGGGGGATTTGGCAGGGTCATAGGACAATAGTGGAGGGAAGGTCAGCAGATAAGCAAGTGAACAAAGGTCTCTGGTTTTCCTAGGCAGAGGACCCTGCGGCCTTCCGCAGTGTTTGTGTCCCTGGGTACTTGAGATTAGGGAGTGGTGATGACTCTTAACGAGCATGCTGCCTTCAAGCATCTGTTTAGCAAAGCACCTCTTGCACCGCCCTTAATCCATTTAACCCTGAGTGGACACAGCACATGTTTCAGAGAGCACAGGGTTGGGGGTAAGGTCATAGATCAACAGGATCCCAAGGCAGAAGAATTTTTCTTAGTACAGAACAAAATGAAAAGTCTCCCATGTCTACTTCTTTCTACACAGACACGGCAACCATCCGATTTCTCAATCTTTTCCCCACCTTTCCCCCGTTTCTATTCCACAAAATCGCCATTGTCATCATGGCCCGTTCTCAGTGAGCTGTTGGGTACACCTCCCAGACGGGGTGGTGGCCGGGCAGAGGCACCCCTCACCTCCCGGACGGGGCGGCTGGCCGGGCGGGGGGCTGACCCCCCCGCCTCCCTCCCAGACGGGGTGGCTGCCGGGCGGAGACGCTCCTCACTTCCCAGACGGGGTGGCTGCCGGGCAGAGGGGCTCCTCACTTCTCAGACGGGGCGGTTGCCGGGCAGAGGCACTCCTCACATCCCAGACGGGGCGGCGGGGCAGAGGTGCTCCCCACATCTCAGACGATGGGCGGCCGGTCAGAGATGCTCCTCACTTCCTAGATGGGATGGCGGCCGGGAAGAGGCGCTCCTCACTTCCTAGATGGGATGGCGGCCGGGCAGAGACGCTCCTCACTTTCCAGACTGGGCAGCCAGGCAGAGGGGCTCCTCACATCCCAGATGATGGGCGGCCAGGCAGAGACGCTCCTCACTTCCCAGACGGGGTGGCGGCCGGGCAGAGGCTGCAATCTCGGCACTTTGGGAGGCCAAGGCAGGCGGCTGGGAGGTGGAGGTTGTAGCGAGCCGAGATCACGCCACTGCACTCCAGCCTGGGCACCATTGAGCACTGAGTGAACGAGACTCTGTCTGCAATCCCGGCACCTCGGGAGGCCAAGGCTGGCGGATCACTCGCGGTTAGGAGCTGGAGACCAGCCCGGCCAACACAGCGAAACCCCGTCTCCACCAAAAAAATACAAAAACCAGTCAGGCGTGGTGGAGCGTGCCTGCAATCGCAGACACTCGGCAGGCTGAGGCAGGAGAATCAGGCAGAGAGGTTGCAGTGAGCCGAGATGGCAGCAGTACAGTCCAGCTTCGGCTCGGCATCAGAGGAAGACCGTGGAAAGAGAGGGAGACCGTGGGGAGAGGCAGAGGCAGAGGCAGAGGCAGGGGCAGGGGCAGGGGCAGGGGGCAGGGGCAGGGGCAGGGGGCAGGGGCAGGGGCAGAGGCAGAGCTTGAGTGCTTTTATGAAGAATAAAAATGAATGACTGGGCGGCCAACTTAGGTAGATACATAAAAGTTGGCCACTTTATTCTTCATAAAAGCACTCGAATCATTATAAGATCTCCATTCACACTGTCACTGGCATATCAAGGTGCTTATTTTTCACCTAGATAATTGTAATTGTCTTCCTGTCTCCAAAACACAACCCTCAAATGTTCCTTGCACACTACAGTTAGAGTGAACTGGCTAAAGGTGACCTCTCTTATGTTAAATAGACCTAAGCTTGAACTATAGTCCTGTTACTAACTGGGCAACCTTGGACAACTTACTAACCCTCAATTTCCACATCAGTAAAATGAGGACGATAATCATACTTAGCACATGAAGTATGATTGCAATGAATGAAAATATATCAGAATCACAATAGGAAATCACACATTCAAATGGGTAATTGAGGGTCATTTAATAAAGGGACTATTTACAAACTGGAAAGAGAGTAGTCATAAGAGATGGTGAAGTACCCCAATGTTGGAAAAATAAAAGTCATTACCACCTTAGGCCTAAAAAGGCAAAGAAGAGAATAGATAACTGAACCCAGAGAAAGTTTAAGTTGTAGTTGTAGGAGAGGACACTGACAAATGCTTCAACAGAAGAAAGCAACTGTCCTTTGATGACCCAGTAGAGGTCAGCTTTGATGACCTCAGCTTTAGCTGAGGGATTAAATGCTCTAAAATCCCTCTCTCCTCTTCATCTAATCTACTGCCAGTAATTCCCATTCATCAAATTAAAACAGAAGCAAAGGGCAAGGCTGCCTGTTGATGCAGCCACTAAGTTCGGTGTATGGGGCTCAGAGCAGAGTGCAGAATGGTGGAGAGTGGAACTGGAAGGCCGACAGCCACTCCCTAGAACACAGTGCATGTAAGGCACTTAATACTACTTCTTCAGGATGCAAAAATTCTTGGCTCTTGCACCAATAACACAGATAAAGGGGATAAAATAAAAACCCTAGTTGTCTGTAGAGCTATTGAGCAGTGGACACAAGGAAGCCATGATGGATGAATTCACAAGAAGAATGAGCCCTTCATAGGTCAGCAGAGCTCTGTGGCAACTCATTCCTGGGACAAACGCAGATGTGTCTGGCAGAGGACAGGGCCTGCCAGAGATGAAGAGGCTACAGGGATGAAGAGAAAACAACTGAGCCCTTAACTTCAGCTGAGCTGGTGGGACTAATCTTAGGAGTCTAGCTCCAGGCCAAAGTTCTGTGTGTGGTCATTCAAGCCTGACCACAGGCAATTACAAGGCTTTGCCTGGCAGGCCTCATAAGGGGAAGCTGGCCTTCCACACCAGTCTTGGTGCACAGCCAGTGCATTGCAGTCTCTGGAGGGGGTTGCAGGAAAGGACTCAGGCGCCCCTGGGCCAACCATGCTCATTGACCTCTCTGCATGTCTAGCCTAGGCGCCTCCATTTGAAGACATCTTTATGGGGGTCCTCAGCTGAGGCACATTTTGAGCAACTCTGCCAAGACCGCCTCACTGGGAGGCCTTGACTAAGACATGTTTCTCCACTCTGACTTAATACTTTTCCAGTCCTAGCCCTTACCCACTCTGTCTCCCCACAGCCTCCTGGATCCATAAAATGACAGGAACCTTTTGTTCACAGCTCCTTGGCAGTGAGACAATCCCCTTGCCTACACTGCTTTACCTCACCCAGTGCTGTTCTATGGGGGGAAATGAAACACTGAGGAGCCAGCACCTATACTGTCTCTTGCTTACTCTATCACAGAAAGTGAATAAAAAGTTTATCATTACTTTCAGTTTGTCTTTTTGTCCTGAGTAAACACCTCAACACATGGGAGCTCAACAAAATGAGAATTTGGAAGAGGTACGAACGCGAAAATGAAAGTGAGAAAATTACAACAGGTGCCTCAGAAATACAAAAGATTATAAGAAACCCTCATGAAAAATTTTATGCCAACAAACAAGATAACCTAAAGGAAACAGATAAATTCCTGGAAAAATACAAACCACCAAGATTGTAAATTTGGTAGATTGTAAATAATGACCACGATTCTGCCAGGAAGAAATAGAAATCCTGAACAGACATATAACAAGCAAAAGATTGAAGAGGTATTCAAAAACCTTTCAAGAAATAAAAGCCCAGGACCAGATAGCTTCACGGCTAAATTCTACCAAACATCCAAATAATTAATACCGGTACTCCTAAAACTCTTCCAAAAAATAGAACTAGAGATAATACTTCCAAACACATCTTATAAGACCAGTATCACCTTGATACAAAAACCAAAGACATTTCAAGAAAAGAAAACAGGCTAATTTCTGTAATGAATATTGATGCAAAAGTGCTCAATAAAATATTAGCAAACCTAATCCAGCAATACATCAAAAAGATTGTACATCATCATGAGCAAGTGGGATTTATCCCTGGCATGCAATCCTATTTTAACACATGCATATCAATCAGTGTAATACATCATTTTATCAGAATGTGAGATAAAAACCACGGGATCATCTTAATTGATGCAGAAAAAGCATTTGACAGAGTCCAACATCTTTTCTTGATAAAAACTCTCAACAGTTTAGGTATAGAAGGAAAGCTTCTCAACATAATAAAGGTCATCTATGAAAAACACACAGCTAACATTATAATCAATGGGGGAAAACTGAAAGCATTTCCAATAAGATCCAGTACAAAGCAAGGATGCTCACTCTTGCCACTTCTATTCAACATAGTTCTGGAAGTACTAGCAAGGGCAATCAGAAAAGAAAAAGAAATAAAGTGTATCTAAACGGAAAGAGAAGAAGTCAAATTATCTCTATTTGCAGATGAAGTATTTCTATATGTAAACAACCTTAATGATTCTTAAACAATCTTAAAGATTCCATAAAATACTGTTTAAACTAATAATTGAATTCAGTAAAGTTGCAGGATACAAAATCAATATAGAAAAATCAGTAGCATTTTAAAATATAATTACCTAACTGAAAAATAAATTTAAAAAAACAAATGCCATTTGCAACTGCATCAAGAAATACTTTAGGAGATGAAAAATCTGAAAACTATAAAACATTGATGAAAGAAATTGAAGATACAAATAAATGGAAAGATATCCTGCGTTCATAGAATAGAAAAATTAATACTGGGCCAGGCACTGTGGCTCATGCCTGTAATCCCAGCACTTTGGGAGGCCAAGGTGGGTGGATCACCAGGTCAGGATTTCAAGACCAGCCTGGCCAAGATGGTAAAAACCCGTCTCTACTAAAAATACAAAAGTCTAACATCTTTTCTGGGTGTGGCAGCAGGTGCCTGTAATCCCAGCTACTCGGGAGGCTGAGGCAGGAGAATCACTTGAACCTGGGTGCCAGAGGTTGCAGTGTGCTGAGATCACAGCCTGGGCAACAGAGTGAGACTCTTTCTCAAAAGAAAAAGAAAAATTAATACTGTTAAAATTTCCATACTATTCCAAGCAATATACAGATTAAACACAATTCCTATTAAAATCCTGATCACATTCTTCACAGGAATAGAAAAAACTAATCCTAAAATTAACGTGGAAACATAAAAGACTCCAAATAGCTAAAATAATTCTGAAAAGAAAAAATAAATTTCGAGGCATCACATTTCCTGATTTAAAACTATAGTACAAAGCTATAGTAGTCAGAACAGTATGGTACTGAGCTAAAAGCCATCACATAGACCAGTAGAACAGAATAGAGATCTCAGAAATAAATCCAACCATATATGGTAAACTAATTTTTGAAAAGGGCATCAAGAGGACACAACTGGGAAAGGATAGTCTCTTCAATAAATGGTACTGAGAAAATGGGATTTCCACATGCAGAAAAACAAAGAAACACTTCACCCACAAAAATCAACTTATAATGGATAAAAGACTTAACTGTAAGACCAGAAACTACAAAGCCTCCAGAATAAAACATAGGGGAAAATCTCCTGGATATTGGCAATTCAAGACCAGATATAAGACCAGAAACTATAAAACCTCCAGAATAAAACATAGGGGAAAATCTCCTGGACACTGGCAATTCAAGGAAGACCAAAGGTACACCAAAGTATTCGTATTATTGGGTAAATTCGTGAGTAATTCTTAGAAGGATTTATACCTAAAGGCAAAAATCCAATCACATTTAAGTCACCGAAAGTTGAATTTTGCCTCTCATCCCCTTTTCCCCTTTATAAGCTATAACACATTAGTATAAACCCACAAAAAGCCTACATGTGGAGTCTAATCACTGACTATTATAGATTATTTTACACTAACTGGAAATTAAGAAGTAGCACTTATAAAATGAATATTATATTCAATAAGAATACATAATTATAGTTCTAAATTTATAGTTATAATTCTCATTTTGAATTTTTTTAGTATCACATGATTGGAGTTTTAAAAATAGTTTTTGGCCTCCATCCTACTCTAATAGATAACTTCTAAATTTCTAGTTATACTTCTATCTAAAATTCTGTTGATTCTGGCTGGGCATGGTGGCTCACACCTGTAATCCCAGCACTTTGGGAGGTGGAGGTGGGTGGATTACTCGAGATCAGGAGTTTGAGACCAGGCTGGCCAAGATGGTGAAATCTGGTCTCTACTAAAAATGCAAAAATTAGCTGGGTGTGTTGGTGGACACCTGTAATTCTAGCTACTCGGGAGGCTGAGGCAGGAGAATCGCTTGAACCTGAGAGGCAGAGGTTGCGGTGGGTCGAGATGGCACCACTACACTCCAGTCTGGGCGACAGAGCAAGACTCCCTCTCAAAAAAAAAATCTGTTGATTCTGTAGCTAGTAATAATAAAATTCTATGATTAATATCAGTTGACCTACCTAATACATAGTCACCAAACCCAATGATGCTTAAGGTCAATGCAAAATATAATCCTTTCTTATAAGTCCAGCCCACTGTATGCACGAAAGTTAATAGTGGTAGCAGGATGAAAATGAGAAGTCCAGAAGAAGAAGAGTCTGTAAATTTTTACTTGTTTCTAGAAAAAAGGAAGGGAAGGGAAGGGGGAAAGGAAGGAAGAAGGGAAGGAGGAAAGCAAGGAGGAGGGGAAAGGAAGAAGGAAGGGAGGGGGAGGGAGGGAGGGAAGGAGGGAAGATAGATGTTAATATTAATCTAACTAAACCAACATTTCCCCTTTACAAATCTGTTTAAGAGCTTACTGGGTGTCTCCTACCACACTCTGACAGGCAGACTTCCCTTGAATGTGGGAGTATTTCCTTGCTCCACCTGCTGAATTAACTTCTTCCTTGTGAATATCTATTGCTGACCCTTTATTTCATTTCTCCCTCTTCATGCGTTTTGTTGCACTTTACATTTAAAACCTGCCCTTCCTTCCCATCCTCTGTGTGTCTCAGACTATAGTATTCTTTTGTTTTGTGACCTGCTCACTCTCACCTCAAGCTCTGGGTCCCACTGGCTGAGTCCAAAAAGGTAGGAGGAACAATCGTCATCTGGAAGTTCTGGACATCAATTTATAAACTAATTGTGTTTTGTTCAGAGACATTTCAAAATCTGAAATTTTGAGAGAAAATAAATGTATTTTCCAATCTAAAAATTGAATATTTCATTTACAATTCTATATCCTATTAACTGATTAAATGCTTTTCATGATGAAATTCAAATTCTTAACAATGCAATATACTACCTCTTCATTCATTCATTCATTTACTCAAAAAGCATTTATTGAGCTTTTCCTATTAGTTCCATGAGAGATACTCAAGATACAAAGAAAAAAACTAGTTTGTCTACAGAGAGATTACAGTTTTATTGGAGGAAAGGAGGAGAGACAGAGAGGGAAACCAATATTACAAATAACATGTCTTTTAAGCTTTTGTTTGTAGAATATCTCATATGGGACAGACACTATGCTAAGAGCATTATATAATTCTAAAATGTATTATGATAAAGGGACATCATGTAAATAGTTCCTTGAATTTTAGCGCTTATTGTAATTATTATATTGGATTGTGGAATTTGAACTACTTTCTAAATTTGGTAGGATATGGAGCTGATATTATGAAATTCTATGTGCTCTGTTGTTGGTCTAGAAGTTTGAAAATGGATACTCATGATCAACTTTAGAGACATTCCAATCAAGTACTGCTTGATGTACCTGTAGCAGAAGACAGCAGAATTAGAAGAAGGTGAAAGAAATAGAAAGCTGATTATTAGCATGTATTATGGACCTTTTAAGAAGCTTGGAAATAAGGGACAATTGATATTGATACTTTCATTTTCTGTGGGAGGGTCAGAAAACGTAGGATTTTCAGAATGGCAAATAAACATTGGCTTCAACTTAAAGTCACCAGCTTCATTAGCCTCTAATAAGAGAGTTAGTCTGTCTTTTGAAGCTTTGAAGCCAGGCATTGACTTCTCCTCTCTTGCTATGAAAGTCCTAGATAACATCTTTCAATGTAAGATTGTTTCACCTGCAATTAAAATCTATTGTGTCACCACCTTCATCAATGATCTTAGCTTGATCTTCTGGATAACTTGCTATGGCTTCTTGATCAGCACTTACTGCTTCACCATGCACTCACGTTATAGAGACAGCTTCTTTCCTTAAACCTCATGAAGCATCCTCTGCTAGCATCAAACTTTCTCTTGCAGCTTCCTTACCTTTCTCAGCCTTCACAGAATTGAAAAGAGTTAGAGCCTTGCTCAGGCTTAAGGGAATGATGTGGCTGGTTGGATCTTCTATCCAGACCACTAAAATTTTCTCCATATCAGCAATAAGTCTGTTTCATTTTCTCATCATTTGTGGATTCAGTGGAGTAGCACTTTTCATTTCCTTTAAGAACTTTTCCTTTGCATTCATGACTTGGCTGTTTGATGCAAGAGGTCTAGATTTCAGCCTATCTCAGCTTTCAACATGCCGTCCTCACTAAAATCCTTTCTAGCTTTTGACTTAAAGTGAGAGACGTGAAACTCTTCTTTCACTTGGATGCTTAGGGGTCTTTGTGAGGTTATTAATTGGCCTAATTTCAATACTGTTGTGTTTCAAGGAATAGAGAGGCCCGAGGAGAGGGTGAGAGATGGGAAAATGGGTGGTCAGTAGAACAGTTAGAACGCATACAACATTATCAATTAAGGTCATTGTCTTATTTGGTCATGGTTGGTGGCACCTCAAAACCATTACAACAGTAACATCAAAGATCACTGATCACACATCACCATAATAGATATAATGATAATGAAAAAGCTTGAAATATTGTGAGAATTAAAATATAACACAGAAACAGTAAGTGAGCACATGCTGTTGGAAAAATGAGGCCAACAGACTTGCTCCACGGGTTGCCACAAACCTTCAATGTGTAAAAAACACAATTATCTGTGAAGTGCAGCAACATGCAGTAAAGTGAGGTATGCCTGTACTCTCCCAAGAGTTTCTTTTTCTGGACTTTACTTCCTTAGATTGAGGAAGTAACACCAGCCAGAGTCTGCTTCGACTCAGCAATGCTCTTTCCTGAGAAGGCCTGGGGCAGCTTGCTTAGACCAGGCCTGTCTAGACATCAAGCTGGTCTTTTAATATCACTCTTAAGCCAGCGAGTATGAGCTCAGAGGGGAAGGGAAAGGAGTGTCCTGCCTCGGTTGGCCACTCACACTGGATTAATGTAAGCACAAGGGATTGTTGCCAAAGTGCAGCCTGGTTCACAGGAATACACAGACACAAAGCCTCATGGTAACAAGCACAAACATTTTGCCTGGCCTTGTCTCCTCTGTGTATCTCCTTGTGGGATACCTGGAATATCAGGAGTGGACTATCTGTCCAAGTCATTTCTCTTTATTTCACTTTGCCCCAAATAAACACGTATTTTCCTGTAAGACTTCCAAACAGCCTCTACTAATCATATACTACAGTATAAGAAATCATATGTTAAGAAAGTGAAACAGCCTACAATCTATCACCTTAAATAATTGCTTGCCCTTAGCAGTGTTGACAGAGCATTGTGAGATAACAGAGCTCAGAGCCTAGGAACAGAAGAAATGAATTCAAGTTGATAACTTTCTCCTAGAAGATCTAGATGTTAGATTTGCCCATACCTCATAGAATTGTTCAAATAATCAATAAAATGGTTTTGAAACTGCATTTATGCTATAATACTCTATAAGTATTCTTTGAAATAATATTCTTATTGTCTGAAGAAGAAAAATCACTACATATAATATTTTGGTCTGAATACCCTTTTGAGCTAGGAGTTCCAAAAATATAGGGCAAGCATTTTAACATAGTATTTTAACACATACCATTTTAATATAGAATTTCTATTTGTGTAATGAAGTTCCAATAAATCAGTTGTTATATATGTTTTACATATAGGCCCGTGTCCTGGATACCAGAGAGGTACACATATAGTGGAGTAACAAACAGCACATCAAATATATATTGAGGGGACCACATATATACCTACACATATATGTACATATATATATGTATTTAGCAAGAATTTATTAGGTGTTGTATGTATATTTTAAGTAAGGTTGTGAACTCAAGTATATATAAGAAAACAAAATTATTAGTAAACATTACCTCTTCCATTCCCATATTCTGAAGGTATTTCCAAAGTCCTGAAAATGGTGGTGACACTGCCTTGCTCACAAAATTCAGGAATATGATAATTTGAGGGATCCTCAACAAGGCACAGAAAATACAGAGTATCTGACCAGTAGGAATTCTGGGAGCAATTGACTTGTAACCTGATGGATGCTAGGAGACAAATGCTCAATATGACTACTCCTTGGAACATGTGCTTTTGGTGCATTGTTTTATTTGGTGCATAATATTTTGTTATGACAGCCCCGGCAGCACACACAGCATTTAAGATCTTATGATCTTAAATGTATGATCCAGCCACTTTACACCCAGGAATTTCTCCTAAGGAAATGACCAGAAAAGTGAGAAAGATGGAAGTATATCACTGAAGCATTATTTGTGAGTGAAAAATTGGAACTAACATAAGTGTCTAACATTACAAGGAATTTACTGAGTAAAATGAAATGATAAAATACTTTTCAATCTTTAAGAACTGCAGTGTGAAAGTATATTCAATGATATGGAAAATTAATAATCATACATTGCTGAATTTTAAAAAGGCTTATGTTGTGTGTTCAGCTATAACCATTCATAACACCTATTTATGGGAAAAAGAAAAATGAAAAAAATGCTATTTAGCACATAGTCAAGCTTGAATAATCCTTTCTGTTACTGTTGGATGAGCCAATCCCTATTACTGCATCTAATTTTAATTTACACATATTGGTATTTGCTGCCTTAGGCACAGCACAAAATTTAACAAAGTCTTGTTTCTCTAAATTGTGAATTTGGGGTTGCTTTTGTCTAAACATATTACACACACACATAATGATGACGTAAAGAAATCTGTCCCTTCGTGCTTATGGCCCTTAAGTTCAATTTTTATTTTCAATGATATAAAAAGGAAAAAAGAATGCAACATCACAAAACAGAAAAAGAAAAAAGAACGCTATGCCAGAGTCTCACAGTTGTTCATGAGATTTGCACAAAAGTTCCCTTGGCTGCCTGTGGTCATATTTTAGACAGCCTGGCAATGTCAAAGCCATTTCAACAAATGAGAAGCTCATGGCCATTTGAAGTCATTTCTAAACTCATCATATAAATTCACAGTTTGCCTTAACTCCCATTTGGTTAAGAGAAAACAATTTGTTTTAAGAATAAAAGAAAAATAGGCTTATTGACTGTTTTCGGGACTGCAAAATAAGGGCTATCTCCATTCCTCAGGATAGTTGGTATTTTAATTCTATTAGGAGATAAAAATCGCAGAACATCAAAGAGAGTGGTCAAACGGTTTCACCTCCCTTAATTCTCTATTAAACAAGACCTTTGACCGCTGCGTAACTGCCTAAAGCTAGGATCCTTCAACTGCCCTGGCTCACAGCTGGAGTGGCTCACTGGGACAGGGGAGGAGATGACAAAATGCAGGCCCACCATTCAGCCAGGCCTCTGTGAGCACCACCAGGCTCTGCACCGAGGGAGATAGGAGTCAGATCTCCATGTTCCTTTCTTCAAGGCAGAAACCACAGGTCATGGAGATATCCAGTCCCAAAACTCTTACCTTATGTGGGCCCCTGGATTCCAAGATTCTCCCGATTCTTTAACCAAAATATTACAAGCAAATGAGAATGATTTCTAAACAAATAGGATCATTTTGTTGGGAAGTTTGTAGGCATCACATTCACCTCCATAAGCGAGAACATGCAGGCTATTTTTAATAAGGGAAAATAGATCTGAGCATGCCATACTCAGAAACAGCAGTTATTACTTATTAAACTCCTATGTTGCCAGGAGAAGGAAAATTCCGTGGCAGTGCCGGAGGTCTCTGACAGTCTAAACTGGTGTTTTCCAGGAACCTCCTGAGTGTCTTCCACAGCCACTACCTTAAACTATGCTGACTGTTTTTGTAAACCCTAATGGTTCTCAGTTGATAACAAAATATGCTAGAATTGTCTGAAGTTTAGTAGAAACCTATAGTAACTTTTTGTTTTTGAATCACAAAATTCTCTAGGTAAGCTCTAGCTAAATTCCAGAGAAACTTGTGGACATTACAGTTCTATCAGGAGTCCTGGGGAGTCTGGCTAGTCTGGCTTTGCCACTTATCCCAGTACGTTGGGAAACTAGGTAGAAATACCACTGCTGAGTCTACCTACTAAAGGGAAAAGGTGCACAGAATTTGTTATGGAAGAGACAAATGATCAAAAATTCAAAATAAGAGAGAAGCTGCATATACTATTGAGATGCCATCTTAAAAATACAAGCAGGGTCTGGATTTCCAGGATGAAGGAGTTATGGCTCATGTAGATAAAGTTTCATGTTACTTTAAAAAATTTAAATGATTGGCATCATTTAAAACATTTTTTTAAAAAAGTAAACTAAAAATAAGACTTCTCTTTTGGCCCTCAAAAAATTAATTAGAGATATGCCCTGCTCTGTAATTTTCCCCTCACCTATAACTATCTTACTCCTTTGCATTCTCTTGCTGTTGTCTTTCTGTCTTCTGCCAGTATCGGGACTTATCTTTTATTTATTCTCATCAAATGAAGGAAAAACTGGTGCTATTATTTATATACATTTAGGAAAATACATAGGACACCAATCTATACAATCTTTTATCTACAGCACTCTTTCAACACAGACAGCAAATTTAAAACTCCAAAACAAAGCCCCTTCATCTCTTACCTGTAAAGATTTCAACTTCTGTAGTTGTGTCAGCATAAGCTGCTTTGGCCTCTCAAATGGAATTGTTCAGCACTTCATGAATGTCTGTCTCCAAAATTTGAAATATTTTTGCCCCCATCAAGTAATAGCTCACAAAAGCCATCATCAGTATGCATTTAGAGGTTTAAGAAACAAACAATTCTATTAGAAAATCAAATAGCAGTGGAATGAGAGGCATAGGAAGCTAAATTGCTTTAATTTAAAATGTCTCCACCCCTAAAACCAAACAGTAAACAACAAAAATAGTCTTCTGCCCATCAATAAAACAACAGTCTTGTGATTTACCAAATATATACAATATATCCCAAAATATTCATGACAAAATAAAATTTGAACTTCAATTGTGTTCTGACATGAAATAGCCTGGAATGTAAAAATGCAGGGGGGAAAATCTGTTTCTGGGGAATGTTATTAACAGTTAACTTATAAGTAAGAGGAGGAATGTGGTCAAGTACCACTGTTTATACTGGCCTTTTAGAAGCAGGTGAGTCCAAGACAGCTTATTCCTGGGGAAATGTTTACTGCAGATTTAAAATGTATATTATTAATTAGTTTGCCCAATCAAATGAATTTGGATGGATTATCTATCCTGAAGTCTCTTTTTCCAATCCTCACTTCCCATTACTCTCTGTGCTGCTCAGCATGAGCAAATAAAAACTTTTTACTTGTCAAAAGGTAACCATTATCTTGATGAGACCTGGCTGTAATATTAAGACAAAGAAGCCAAATAATTGTCTTGATTTTCAAGGCTACAGTAGCCAAAACAACATGGTACTGGTACAAAAACAGACACATAGACCAATGTAACAGAATAGAGAACTCAGAAATAAAACTGCACATCTCCAACCCTGTGATCTTTGACAAACCTGACAAAAACACGGGAAAGGATACCCTATAATAAATGGGTATCCATTTATTAAATAATGATAAACTGGCTAGCCATATGTGGAAAATTGAAACTGAGGGCTGGGAGAACTGGCTAGCCATATGTAGAAAATTGAAACTGAACCCCTTCCTTACACCTTATACAAAAATTTGCTTAAGATAGATTAAAGACTTAAATATAAAACCCAAAAATATAAAAACCCTAGAAGAAAATCTAGGTAATACCATTCAGGACATAGTCATGGGCAATGATTTTATTATGAAATCACCAAAAGCAATTGCAACAAAAGCAAAAATTGACAAATGGGATCTAATTAAACTAAAGAGCTTCTGCACAGCAAAAGAAACTATCCTCAGAGTGAACAATCTACGGGATGGAAAAAAATTTTTGCAATCTATCCATCTGACAATGGTCTAGTATCCAGAATCTGCAAGGAACTTAAGCAAATTTACAAGAAGTAACCCCATTAAAAAGTGGGCAAAGGACATGAACAGACACTTCTCAAAAAAAGACATTTATGTGGCCAAAAACATAAAAAAGTTCAACATCACTAATCTCCTGCCAGTCAGAATGGCAGATACCATCTCCTGCCAGTCAGAATGGTAATTATTAAAAAGTAAAGAAACAACAGATTTTGGTGAGGTGGTGGAGAAATAGGAACACTTTCACACTGTTGGTGTAGATGTAAATTAGTTCAACCACTGTAGAAGACACTGTGGAAATTCCTCAAAGATTTAGAACTGGGAATACCATTTGACCCAGCAATCCCATTACTGGGTATATACCCAAAGGAATAGAAATAATTCTATTATAAAGATACATGCACGCGTATGTTCATTGCAGCTCTATTCACAATAGCAAAGACATGGAATCAACTCAAATGCCCACCAATGATAGACTGGATAAAGAAAATGTGGTATATATACACCATGGAATACTATGCAGCCATAAAAAGGAATGAGAGCATGTCCTTTGCAAAGACATGGATGAAGCTGGAAGCCATTATTCTCAAACTAACGCAGGAACAGAAAACCAAACACCAAATGTTCTCACTTGTAAGTGGGAGCTGAACAATGAGAACACATGGACACAGGAGGGGAACAACACACACTGGGGCCTGTCAGGGGAGGGTGGGGTCAGGAGAGAGCATCAGGAAAAATAGCTAATGCATGCTGGGCTTACTTACCAAGGTGATGGGTTGATAGGTGCAGCAAACCACCATGGCACACATTTACCTATGTAACAAACCTGTACATCCTGCACCTATACCCTGGACCTTAAAATAAAATAAAATAAAAATTGTCTTTTTTTCCAAACAAATTCTTTGGAGATATCCTTGATTTTTATATAGCTGTCCCGTCAGATCAAATCTACCTGCCTACCAACCTCTTCCATCAGAAACTGAATTAGCTCTCAAGAGTACAAGCTGTCGGCACTATGGGAAAATTTTGTTATTGTGTGACTTATAACTAAAAATAATTCTTATACTTTGGAAATGCCAAAATAATCACAATTCAGAACTCTTCCTCAAATAGGTATATATATATAGGTCAATATTTGAATTAAAGCAAATACTTTAAAATACACCAATATATAGATGGATTACCTACATAAATTTCTATGTGTGTTTTCTTCAAAGAAAAAATTAATTTCCCTATGCATAGATAGTTCAACTTGTTAAAACAATAAAAGTGAGCATTTTAATTTCCTTCCAGATTTGTAGAACAATTATATTATTTACTAGCCTATGCTTAAAGAATAATATTAGTTTCCAAAAGCAAAGGGACCTAAGTTAAGTATTAATAGAACATATGAGATTCATTTTCATTTTTATTGTACTCTATGGCTAAGGAAAGTAATAAAAAAATTCTAAGATTCACCAAAAGCATATGAAAACATAAAATGTATTCAGTGATTTGTCAAGAAGCATTTCTTTATATTATTAGGAGTGAAAACAGCCCCAGAAAAGTCCTCACCCAAGAATAGACCAGAGCTTATTGAGGTAGGCTTTCACCCAGATAGAAGGACATCTTAAAGCAGTCCTACCTCTAACGAAATGTTCCTGTATCTTCCTTCCCCTCCATGGTACATTTAGGCAGTAGCCCATCAGCATCTGAGCGGTGTTGTAGAACCCTTTTAAATGATCTCATGTCAACCTCACTGTTCTTTCTGGAACCTTGAGAGCGGCTAATTCTACAGACAGACCTCTTTTAATAGTTTCAATATATTAGTTTCTTATTAGTGCTATAATAAATTCTCACAACCTTAGTGTCTTGAAACAACACAAATTTATAATTACATTTCTGGAAGTCATAAATTCAAAATGCTCTCAGTGATCCAAAGTCAAGGTGTCGGAAAGTATGTTCTTTCAGGAGCCTCTGGGGAAAAATGTTTCCTTGCCTTTTGTAGTTTATAGAAGCCATCTGTATTCCTTGGCCCATGCCTCTTCCTCTATCTACTGAGTTGGCAAAGTTGGTAGGGTATCATCTTCAAATCTTCAAAAAAGCTGACTCCTCTGCCTCTCCCTTTCACTTATAAGGAGCTTTGTGCATACACTGCATCCACCCTGCTAATACAGAGTAACCTCCCCATCTCAAGTCAGCTGATCTTACTTTGTCCCTTCCCAAGTGACACGACAAATCCACAGGTTCCTGGGATTAGACATAAACATATTTGGCGGGGCATGGTGGCTCACCCCTGTAATCCCAGCACTTTGGGAGGCCAAGGCAGGCAGATCACCTGAGGTCAGGAGTTCAAGACCAGCCTGGCCAAGATGGCAAATACTGTCTCTACTAAAAATAAAAAAATTAGCTGGGCATGGTGGCGCACACCTGTAATCCCAGCTACTCAGGAGGCTGAGGCAGGAGAATCGCTTGAACCCAGGAGGCGGAGGTTGCAGTGGGCCGAGATCACGCCATTGCACTCCAGCCTGGGTGCTAGAGCAAGACTCCATCTCAAAAAAGGAAAAAAAGAAAAGAAAAGGAAGGGAAGGGGAGAGGAGGGGTAAAGGGAGGGGAGGGAAGGGGTGAAGGGAGGGTTGTGTGATCTTAAGCAAACCACTTAATTTTTCCCTGCTTCAGTTGTCATCTGTAGTGGTGATGGTTTGAATCACAGCCCTGCCACTTGTGATCTTGCAAGTTTTTAACCTCTATAAGCTTTGGTTTCCTTTGCAGAGAGAACAAAAAGGATAATAATAACTAACTCATAGGTTGTGAAGATTAAACAAAACAATACAGTTAGAAATCTTGGCTCAAATTAGGGACTTAATAAATGTAACTGGTTTTTGGGACCATGTAAATTATTAGTATAGGGTCTGTTATATAGTAGGTGGCCACTAAATTCAAACAAGAACTATTAATAAGTAGTAACCAGTATTAATCATATTAATCATTATTTTTAACATAGGTCTTGCATCTTATTTATCTTGTTATTTCCCACAATAATTTTATAGTGATATATAGTGATCATATATCACTATTTATATTATATATAGGTAGGTAATATATGTCTGCTATATATGTTAGTCAGAATTTATTTGGTTAAAAGTGATATAAACCCATCTTAAATTTTCTTAAAAACAGACAATTTACCAGCCAACACATTTTTAAACTCTAGGCATGGATGACCATTGAAGCAGATGCTGTTGGTACTTGCCCAAAAAACTACCTCTCTGTCTGAGAGCTTTTATCTGGCTTTGGGGACAGGCCCAGGCACAAAGAAGGGCAGGGCAGAAGTGTCAGAGAGTTAATGCCCCTGAAAGCAGCCATAAATCGATACGGGGAGTTGATGAATAACTTCTCTAGGCTCCTCACCTCTCAGAGGGAATGACTCTGAAACCTGTCCTACACTGTCCCACCAAGTTTCTTCTGTGGGATTGAGCCCCAGTTGCCCACCATATCAACATGCTTGAAATTACATTTTTATTGTCTTCCTTTACTTCTCAGTCTCCTTTCCCCACTCTCTTACCAGTATTTCCTGGGTTCACCTCCAAAATACATTGCTGGCACTCAAATTTATAACACTGCCCCAATACTTAGGCAGCACCCACCTCCCAGATACTGCTCTTAAATGATGTCAAAACCAGGTCTTAATAAGGCATTCTACCTTAGTCTTAGGGGAGGCAAATAATCGATTTAATTGTGGTGTCCTTCTTGGACATTAGGAATCTATTAGGAATCTTGAAAGAGTCAAGTGAAGAATGCTGGAGAGGTGGGAGTGGAGATTTTTCCCTGGAGCTGGGGCAGGGGTAATCTTCCAAGGAACATGTGGAATTCTGCAGCAAGAGCCATCACATACAGCCTGGGGAGGTTGTCCATAACCTAACTCCAGAGCCTACCATTTACAGAGACCCTGGGATGAAGGGTAACCCCTGGAGTTGTGCTGTGCCCCATCTGCATCTATATATGGAGGCCCTCTCTGTAGCTAGCCCTCAGATCCTGATATAAAAATGAGCATTTGAGAAGGGAGCTCACCAGGAGCATTGTTAATAATAACAAGAAATTAGAACGACTTACATGTTCATCAATAAGGTGTTGGTTAGTAAATGGAATCTCTAGCAAACTTTTTTAAAAATTTATTTTTTACTTTTGTGGGTACATAGTAGGTATATATATTTATGGGGTACATGAAATGTTTTGATACAAGCATGCAATGAGAAATAATCACATCACAGAGAATGGGGTATCCATCACCTCAAGCATTTATCTTTTGTGTTACAAATAATCCAATTACACTCTTTGTTATTTTAAAATGTATAATTAATTTATTGTTGACTATAGTCACTGTGTTGTGCTATCAAATAGTAGATCTTATTCATTCTATTTTATTTTTGTACCCATTAGTCATCTCCAGCCTCCCACTACCCTTCCCAGCCTCTGGAAACCATCCTTCTACTCTCTGTGTCAATGAGTTCAATTGTTTTGATTTTTAGATCTCACAAATATCTAGCTAACTTTGTAAAAGGTGATAAATCTATATATGACTTAGAAAGAGATATGGCTATGTAAAACAGAAAAGGAAGGGTATAAAAATGTGCTGATTTTATGTTTACATTTGTGTTTAAATGGATCAGCAAGTATGTTTTCTTATTGACTCAAAGTGATTGCATCTAAAATATGATAACAAGACAGGATTCTCACTGCCGTATCTCCCGATGCCAATCTCCAAGGTAAGAGGCCCTTTAAAACCTTAATGTAGGCTTCCAGTAGGCTACCTGTCATTTGTCTAACTCAGGTCTGGAATCATGCCACCCTGTTTTTGCAACCAGATATGATAGACACAGTTTTTGATAAGCAAAGATCAATATGCTAGCTAAGATTAAATATAAATGCAAAATGTTGAGTGTATCTTACCATATGAAATGAGATATAGCTTCTTCTGTTTTGTGAAGTTGGCTAGGAATTAGGATCACATTTGCAGAATAACTGATGCAAAATTTCCAAATTCTCCAGAACCGTGTATCTGTCTGCCAGCTCTGATTTACCATCTTTAGTGGACTTAGAGGCTAGATATGATTACTCAGTTAGGGGCTTGTTCTATACACAGTGGAATCCTTGACACAGGACTCATTTTGATTATCTTCTTTCTATGTTTGAATTGGTGACCCCCTCCCCAGTTGTACTCCATCTGTGGCCAAGCAAGTCTCAAGTCTAGTTTGAATCATCTGTCAGACTGTGTCTTTTCATTCCTTTGTGAATGGAGAGGTCAAGGATTCAAGAAAGTACCTATCCATACTTCAGCATATTTGCTGTGCCTGTAAAGATTATGGATCCTCCAAAATAAAATTTGGTGAACCAATCATGATTTTGGTTGGTCATTTTTAGGAGTGAACTTGACATACAAGGGAGAAGGTTAATCAAAATTCAATAGATTTCTTATTTTAACTGTATGATAAAACAACAAAGCCCTCAAGAAAAAAATCTAGCTGAGAAGTTGTAAGGGCTGTCACCTGAATCTAAAAGATTTGCCGAAGTTCTTAAGCAAAAATGTGAAGCTGATCCAGCCAAATGCCAAACAGCTGCTTTATACATACAATTGGAACAATGTCGGTTTGTTCAAGATGCAACAGAAAAGGTTGATATTTAGATTTCAAAATTAAAAAGTGAAAATGTGAATTTCAAAATTGAAAAGTGAAAAATGATATAGGATACATATAACTAATGAAGACATGAAAAATTCCATGTTCATTAGTTATATGTATCCTATATCATTTTTAACAGTTCGTACTTAACATGTATGTTAATGCTGTTTGAAAAAAATAAGGTTTTGAGTTTTCTAAAAGAACTCTAAACTTAGAACTCTAAATTTGTAGATTTAATATAAACCATTTGGGCTTTTAAATGGCATTTGAAGGCCTCCATGCTTTAAAAACTGTTTGGAAAAGATACCTTCCAAGCAATCAATTAAAATACTTGAGAATATAAAGCTTCCATTTATAAAAGGAGTGAAAACAAATATTTTTTCCAAACTTCTGTTTGAGAGAATACGTATAAATGTTTTTTATGAAAAACTTTTTAAAATGTAACATTTTTCAGTTTAAAAATAAGTTCCTAATTGATTCATCTAAGACATTATTATAAATTAAACTCTTAAATTTAAAAAAAAAATTTTATACCAACAAATCAAAGGCAAATATAAATTAAACTTTTTAAATAATACTTTTAGGGCCGGGCGCGGTGGCTCACGCCTGTAATCCCAGCACTTTGGGAGGCTGAGGCGGGCGGATCACGAGGTCAGGAGATCGAGACCATCCCGGCTAAAACGGTGAAACCCCGTCTCTACTAAAAAATACAAAAAATTAGCCGGGCGTAGTGGCGGGCGCCTGTAGTCCCAGCTACTTGGGAGGCTGAGGCAGGAGAATGGCGTGAACCCGGGAGGCGGAGCTTGCAGTGAGCCGAGATCCCACCACTGCACTCCAGCCTGGGCGACAGAGCGAGACTCCGTCTCAAAAAAAAAAAAATAATACTTTTAGTTTTAGATACTTTTGTTTCTCAGTGTAAATTTATACCAAAAAAATTTAATTCCCATGTATTTGGGAATGATAGCATGCCAAAGTGCATTAAGATATCTTACCTATCTTACTTATCTAATTTGGAATATAGGTCAAGGTGCATGTAACAGGGCTCCAAAATAACAGTGTTTTGAATTCGCCAGAAATTATTTCTCTCTTCTCCACCAGTCTGGGAGTAAATAGTGTGATACTAGCTTAGGACATCTACCCCATGAGGTCATTCAGGGACCCAGGCTCCTTCTCTTATTGTTGCACCATCTCTAGTATGCTCCACTGATTCTCATGGTCCATAGTAGCTCACCACCTCATCCACATCATCCACAGTTAAAACAAGGTCGAAAAAATGGGCAGTGTAGGGCACACCTGTTTCACTTTAAGGTCACAAGCCTAAAGTTGTGTACAACAATATCATTTATACCCCTTTGGCCAAAACTTAGTCTCATGGCCACATCTAGATGCAAGGGAGACTGGGATTTGTCAAAAATTCAAAATATCTCTCATAATAGGAGAAGAAAGGAATGGATGTTGGGAAGAAATAACAAGAAGTCTCTTCCACAGACTGCCCCTTTAGCCACCCATAAATATCCAACTACACTTGACCTGCCAAACGAAATTCTTTCCTTTTTCCCACAGGAGATACTCCCAAAGTCCCATCCAGTTATATCATCAGGTTGAAATTCCAGGATCTCTTGGTGATGGGTAGTTATCTCCAAGTGTGGCTCCTGGGGTCAGATCACCTACAGTCTAAGAGAAGGTTCTTTTTCTCCGCCAATGGTGATAGATTTGGCACCAAAAAAAGAAGAGAAGAAACATGACAGTCATTGTTTCCACAGTGGTAAGCAAATCCTTCTGGTCAGAGATTGTGAAGATCCCTGTCCTGGTTATGGAGCAAGTCTCTGGTTCAGCTTTCTATGGAAAACTCCCTGGTATCCATTGCTCCTAGCTCTAGGGGGTAATTCTTTGTCCATCAGCCCCTATGGCCACATCTGAAGGTCATGGGAGAGTTAATGCTCCTTGTGATCTACAAAGCTTGTGCAGCCTGCTTCTTGTTGGAGCGTGTTTACAAATCCAGACGTTGCTAAGAGAAACAAATCCAATATATATAAAATTATAAGTTCATACTTTCCAGTGCCAATCAAACACCAAAGGGTTCTTCCTTTCCTTGTGCCATTTCATGTTTGTACCACCTTTATGCCTCAGTAAGAGTCTTTTTCCCAGCAATATCAATCAACCTATCTATCTATCTCAATTCTAACATTCTAAAATTGAGCAAATAACTTCAAAATTACTCTATCAATACTTCAATACTTCTACTAACAAGAAACCTACTAAGTAATGTTTAGTATTTCTTCATAGTACTTCTTGTCCTTGGAATGTATCTCCCTGAGAGTGTACATCAAAGTAATATATTCAAAAGTCTCTTGTATTAATTTTTTTTATTCTGTGTGGTTATGTTAACATTTTTATACACATTGAGGTTCATTTGTTTTTATTTGTGTTCAATTTTAGGACTTTCTCCATACTTTCTGAGTTATCAGTTACTTTTGATCAACAGAAGTACCGCTAAAGACACATCCCAAAAAAAGATTATCAGGAGAAACTTGATTTCCTTAATCTTTAAGGAGCACTTCTACACTAAAAAAAAAAAAATACTAATAGAGTCCGGGCGCGGTGGCTGACGCCTGTAATCCCAGCACTTTGGGAGGCCAAGGCAGGCGGATCACGAGTTCAGGAGATCGAGACCATCCTGGCTAACACCGTGAAACCCCGTCTCTACTAAAAATACAAAAAATTAGCCAGGCGTGGTGGTGGGCACCTGTAGTCCCAGCTACTCAGGAGGCTGAGGCAGGAGAATGGTGTGAACCCGGGAGGCGGAGCTTGCAGTGAGCCGAGATCGCGCCACTGCACTCCAGCCTGAGCGACAGAGCGAGACTCCGTCTCAAAAAAAAATAAAAATAAAAATAAAAATAAAAAAACAAAAATCCTAATAGAAAAACACACAAAAGACATACACACAAATTAATTTTTAGAAGGCAGAAATAGCCAATGAATATATGAATTAATAGGACCTACTCATTGAACTATTTTGAGAGGAAAGTAAGATACTCCCGCAAAAAATGATAATGATTATGATCATTGTTCTCACAAGTAATCTTAAAACAATGTACCATTTTTCACATTTCAGATTAGACAAGTTTTAAAAAATATTTTTAATAAATGGTAATACATAATATTGGTGACAGTATTAAGAAAACAACTATTCTCATATACTTTTAGTGGAAATGGCAACTTTTATTATATTTTTAGAGGGCAACTTAACAATATGTATCAAAAGTTTGGAAGTTTTACAAACTCTTAGTAACTATATTTTAAGGCAATGATCATAAGAGTATAATCAAATAAATGTGATGAGATACATGTACAATGATGCTTGCATGCCAAAAAATAGAAAAGAGCTAGAAATAAACTAAATGTCTATCTATAAAGAACTGGCTAACTAAATTATGATGCACCCAGCCTGTTTTAATTTACTTTAGACACCCCGAATACTTCAACTGTTTTAAGTTCTTTTCACCACCAGACATTTTTTAAAAATTCTACTTATTCAGTGTAAGAACAAAAAGCCATAAATATTTGACAGTTCCCCCCAAACCATCTTACCCTGGTCCTAGTGAAAGACTCTTATGGTTCCGGGTATGTTTCCCTTCAGAATGGTTGTGTTTTACTCCTCGCAGATCATATAGGTCATTTAGTAAGTCCACAGGCTTCCTCACTTAGAATTATCTAGCAAAAAAGGGCAGGCAGTGTTTTGTCTGCCAGGTAGGATAGAGGTAATGCTTCCTGCAAAAGTCTCAGTAGGTCTGGGGCTCAGAACATTTGTGATATTTCTCCAGATTTCTATCCACTAGAATAGATAGCTTTTTCTTTACCAGTATTTTGTTTCAAGCCTATTGCATCAGAAGGGAAAGGGTCAATATCTCTCTCTGGTGTATATTTCACTGTAAGACCTAGGAAGAGAGGAGCAGGCCAAACTAACATTGGCTCAACTGTTTTATCTAGCATAGGAAGACAAGTCTAATAAATCAGAATATTCCTCAGCCTGCATCCTGCTGACCCTCACAAAGTTATCTTTTAATTCATGAGAATTCTCTTTTTTTTTATTATACTTTAAGTTTTAGGGTACGTGTGCACAACATGCAGGTTAGTTGCATATGTATACATAGTCTTAACACTGAATATAACTACAGCCCATGTTGTTGTATTTTTACGAGAAGAGAAAAAAACATCTGTGGAGGAAAGTTTCCACTTAAAGACAGAATCTTGTTCACCATCATAATCCCAACTCCCACGTTAGAGTGGCACCAACAAAATATTAAAAATTGTCACTACACTATAAAATGGAAACCTACAGAGCTATTGAAAGCCATGATGTAGATATTTTTTGGCATACAAATATACATCTGGTAAATTTTAAAGGTAAACAAGTTACAAACAACTCTTTATAGTATTATTCCATTTATGGAGGATCTCAAGATACACCAACATAATAGCAACATTTATCTGGGATTTTCTTTAAGCTAATAATTTTATTGTTATTTACGTAATCTCAATATTTTTAACCTGGTGGTTTTATTTTTATAATTACTGAGTTTTTTTCTAATTTTAATCATTCTTGACCTATACACCATTTCATCTCATTTTATAGCACTTTACCTCAATGTTTCATCTTATTTGTGTGTTCTTAGCTTATTTTATCCCCATATGGGTAAAGAACGACCAACAACTGTTAGGTTCCGTTCTACCAGCTTGGGAGTACAAAGTAAGTCAGCATCTCTGTTTAGGGCTTCAATTAAATGGTTCGAGTGTACATCTTTCTGACATAAAAACTGTCTCTCTTTCTCAGAGAGACTGCTTCAGTGATACCTCCATATGTCCCTGAGATGCTTTTTATGGTCTAAAGCATCAGATCGGAGCTGGAAACTCAGTGGGGCAGGAACAATTCCTGCCTTAATCCCACCAAGACTCAACACATCAATCCTCCTTGACAAACATTTTCTCCTGCCACTTTCTTTCTTTGGATGATTTTGCATTAATGGTTTATTGCTCTCTCCTGTCATTGGGTCCTGGTGACAGCTACGTGGACCACTCATCCCATTCAATTACTTTGAATATCTGGAAGAAGGGACTAGGATCTGGGCTTCTTCCTCCTCCAGATGCTCTGGGAATTCTCAGGCAAATTATCCCCTCTCCCCCTGAGTGACTCCAAGTCCCTTTCATCTGTATATTTTCTCACAGAAAAAACCATGTCAACTGCCTGGACAAGTCCTTTGTTACATATTTAGCTTTTTTTCTGATTCTAAAAATAATACATTCTCTTAATTAAAAATGTATGCAATAAAGGAATGTCCAGAGGGGAAACAACATTTAAATTATTATTAATTTCAATACACAGAGATAAATGCTACTAATATTTAGATGAATTTCCTTTTATTGTCTTTTATGCATATATCTACACATTTTAAACATATGGAGATTAAATCCAATGTGCATTTACTTAACATTTGCAAGAAATTAACTTTATATGAATATTCAATATATATTCATTAGCATTTATGTTAGAATTTTCTCACATTGTCTTCAAAAATATTTTTAATGCCTGCATAACTTTCCAGTAAATGAAACTACCATAATTTATTTAACTGAATTCTTTTTGCTGGATATTAAGTAGTTTTCTAGTTTTCTATATTATAAATAAAGTTAAAACATTATTGGACATAAATCTTTCTTTTTTCATCTCCAAATATATCCTAGGATGTGTTCACATAATGAAATTTACTGGTCAAGTCTATCTGTAAAACATTCTCCTTTGTGGGAACAGATCATAGAGGAGTTTACCTTTTTATCATCCAATGAACAAAGATGTTGCTTTAGTGTTGACTTTTAAAAAATGTATGGCCTAGCAGTTTGCTCTGGGATACTCTATTAATAGATAGTAATCTATTTTTTTAGCTTTACAGAGTTATAATTGATATACAAAATTCACACACATCTAATGTATATATCCTGATGAGTTTGGACATATGCCATATACCTATGATATCATCACCACTATAAAAGTACTAACCAGAGCTACCACCCCCCAAAATTTCCTGTATCCTTTCATGGGTTTTCTTTTGTTTGTTTTGGTAAGAACATTTAACATGAGATGTATCTTTTAGTTGTTGTTGTGGTTGAACTTTTTTAGATACATAGTCTCACTCTGTTACCCAGGCTGGAGTGCAGTGGCATGATCACAGCTCACTGCAGCCTCAAACTCCTGGACCCAAATGATCCTCCCACCTCAGCCTCCCAAGTAGCTAGGACTACAGATGTGCACTACCATGCCTAACTTCTTAACATATTTTAAGGTGCACAATATCCTATTGTTAAATAGTTACTATGTTGTACAGCAGATCTCTAGAATGTATTCATCTTGCATAACAAACTTTATACCCATTGAAAAACAATTCCTTGTAGAAATCCATTTTTAAAGTGTCTTTTTCAATCCTAAACTTGCTCCTTTTAATGTGAGAACAAAGCATTCAGATTGATATTTTCTTTCATTAAGACCAAACTCTCCCCAAAAGCTTAATCCTTGAATTGTAATCTAAAGGTCAAATAAATTAGTTTCTGGTATAAACCTACATCTGGTTCCACGTCGTGCTTTAGATGATTTCAAGTGAAACACCATCCAGAAGCAGTGACCTCTTTAAAGAAGACATTAAAGCAAGATCTTCATTGCCAGTTCTCAGGATAGATGTGATCTGGGATTTAACAAAGACTTCCATGGAGACTTCCAATGCCTGATGGGCAAAGGTTTCTCCTTGCATAATATGGAAAACCAAACTGTTTTCCCTTCTACACTCATGTCACTCTCAATGCTTCGCTTCTGACACCAGCTGTGTGGGTTTTTTCCTACACCAACCAATTCTCACACTCTAGGTGGGTGTCCTATAATTCAATTTAATTATGACACTAACTATGTGGAGTTCGTGCAGATCCCACAGGTTAAGGGCTTAGTCTCACAAGACTGCCTCTCACTTTAGACACCAATCACAAGAGGTGGGTCCTTGGGTTACCCACGACTTCTGTCTGACTTGACTGCAAATCAGTGCTTCCCACTACTCCATCGTCGTGTTCAATCACTTACTAGAGTGGCTCACAGAACTCAGGAAAACACTTACATTTACTGGTTTATTATAAAGGATATTACAAATAATGCAGACACACAGCCAGATGAAAAGGTACATAAGGTAAGGTATGTGGAAGGGGTGCAGAGGTTGTAAGCCATTTTCCCCATGTTCAGTAAGCCAGAAGCTCTCTGAACCCCATGACTCAGAGATTTTTATGGAGGCTTCATCACATAGGCATGATCTGTTATTAACTCAATATCCAACCCCTCTCTCCTTCCCAGAGGTTAGGGGGTGGGGCTGAAAGTTTCAAGCTTCTAATCATGGACTGGCCTTTCTGATGACCAGCCCCCATCCAGGAGCCCACCAAGAGTTGCTTCATTAGAACAAAAGATGCTCTCATCACCCAGGAAATTCCAAGGGATTAGGAGTTCTGTGTGAGGAACTGAGCTCAGAGACCAAATACAGAACAAAAGATGCACCTAGAGCCCTTATTGCTCAGCAAATTGCAAGAGATTTACAAGTTCTGTGGACCCAGCGTAATGGCTCATGCCCATAATTCCAGCATTTTGGGAAGCCAAGGCAGAAGGCTCGCTTTAGTCCAGGAGTTCAAGACTATCCTGAGCAACATGGCGAGACCTCATTGCTACAAAAAAAAAAAAAAAAAAAACCACGTAAATAGTGGGGCATGGTGGCACACCTGTAGTCCCAGCTACTGGGAGGGCTAAGGAGGGAGGCTCACTTGAACCCAGGAATTTGAGCTTGCAGTGAACTATGATTGCACCACTGTACTCCAGCCTAGGCAACAGAGTGAGACCCTGTCTCAAAATAAATAAATTAATTAAAAGAGTTCTGTGTGCAGAACCAGGGGCAGGGACCAGATATATATTTTGATTATGTCACACTCACCTGTGAACTACTTTGCCAAATATTACTGCTGCCTTCCTCACTCAGGTCTACCCAGCTTTGTTCCCCTGAGTTTTATACATGACAACTTTGGCTCATGTTTGGGAGTCTTAAGAAGTATTAACTCTCATTTTGGAAAACAAAATATTTGCAAACTATGCATCCAACAAAGAACTAATATCCAGGATGTATAAGTGACTTAAACAAAAAAACAACAAGAAAAAAACAAAACCCCATTTAAAAGTGGGCAAAGGTCATAAGGAAACACTTCTCAAAAGACATACAAGCAGCCAACAAACATTTTAAAAATGCTGAACATCACCACTATCAGAGAGATGCAAATCAAAACCACAATAAGATACTCTCTCATACCAGTCCAAATGGCTATGATTAAAAAGCCAAAAAACAACAGACGCTGGCAAGGCTGCAGAGAAGAGGGAAAGCTTATACACTGCTGGTGGGAATGTAAATAAGTTCAGCCAGTGTGGAAAGCAGTTTGGAGATTTCTCAAAGAACTAAAAATAGAACTACCAATCGACCCAGAAATCTCATTACTGGGTGTATACCCAAAGGAAGAGAAATCATTCTACCAAAGGGGCGCATGCACTCACACGTTTATCACAGCACTATCCACAATAGCAAAGATATGGAATCAGTGCTGGATTGGTGGATCAGATAAAGACAATGTGCTACATATACAGCATGGAATATGGAATACTGTGCAGCCATTTAAAAAATGAATGTCCTCTGCAGCAATGTAGATGCAGCTGCAGGCCATTATACTAAGTTAATTAACACAGAAACAGAAAAACAAATACCATATGTTCTCACTTATGAGTGGGCGCTAAACATTGGGACAAATGGACATAAAGATGGCAACAATAGACACTGGGGACTACTGGGGGAGGAGGGAAGTAAGGGGGAAATAGTTGATGAATAGAAGCCCAAACCACAACCTCATACAATATGTCCATGTTACAAACCTGCACATCTACCCCCAAATCTAAAATAAAATAGTTTCCACAAAGAAGTGTAACTCCCATTTTGAGAATTCATTTTGTGATGACTTACTTTAACCAAATAGGTTTTTTTGTTGTTGTTAGCACTCTACAAGCTGTTTTTGAGTACACGTTTAAGCAGCAAACTGCCCCTTGCCCCCAGGAAAAACCTTACATGGAATTTCAATATATGATAAAGATCAAAGCCCCCTACCCCCAGGAAGAACCTTATGTGGAATTCCAATATGTGAAAAAGATCAAAGCTACTCTGGTTGAAACCAGGCAGGGATTTTTTTCCCCTAAAACTTTACTCATCCCTATTCCCAAGCCAAGTGACCCTCAAGTCTTTTCAGAGAACCCCTAAGCTTAAAAGTCATAGGCCTATACCAAACCAAAATCCAGTTTGCTGAAAAGGGAACTGAGAGCAACCATCAAAGTATCCAAGTGTGTAGTGAAGCACTCCCAGGCAACTTAACTTTAAAAAAATAAAAGTCTTAAAAGTTCAATTTGACCAGGCACAGTGGCTCACGCCTTTAATCCCAGCACTTCGGGAGGCCAAGGCAGACAGATCACTTGAGCTCAGGCCTGGCCAATATGGTGCGACCCCATTTCTACTAAAAATACAAAAATTAGCCAGCTGTGGTGACGCATGCCTGTGGTCCCAGCTACTCAGGAGGCTTAGGTGGGAGGATGGCTTGAGCCCAGGAGGCACAGGCTGCAGCGAACCGAGATTGCACCACTGCACTCCAGCTTGGGTGACAGAGTGAGACCCCATCTCAAAAAAAAAAAAAAGTTCAATTTGTTCCATTTTTATAGCTGAAGCTCATGATGAAGCCAACAGCATGGTTATGTTGCAACAGACTTGTTTCATCAAGCACTTTCTTTGTGCCAATTAGCAGAGCTTACCTTGTTCTGGGTGTCTGATAATAATTCTGCTCCTGTTCCATTGGCATGAGTCAGTCAGTGTACCATACTTTACTTGGAATACACAGGAATGGTGAAATAAACATATTTATTTTAAATAAATATTTAAGTTGTGGTGGGCTGGAATTCAGACAGACATAGATTATACTGAAAGATAACACATTATTTACCAAGTGCTCGATGGCTTATGGGGTCACCTACCTTGTTCTATACTTCTAGAAAAAAATGCAGCAAGTTCTCCCAGGCCTGGAATCATTCATTCCTGTTCATTAATATTGTCCTAACCATGCAGTGACTTTCAGTCATCATACTGTGATACATTATGTTCTTTTGTTTGTCAAGTTATTTGTATAGTTTGTATAGTTATTAACATAGAATATACATTATAAGTCAATTCAATTATACTTTAGAACTTAGAGCCAAACCACAAAATATGGAAGCACAGTCTAATATACAAACTAAGATTAGACTATAATGCTCTGGGATTTTTCCTTGGGTTAGTTAGGATAGAAAGTCTCTCTTTAATTTGCATGGTCTTTCTGATTATGCCAGAGAATTCTGAAGCCATCATCTCCTAATTCTTACACATCCTGAATGTGTGTATGAGAAATGAAGACTATAGAGGCCCTCGAGTCTATGCGATTCAAACCTATGCTGTCTTAGACAGCAGACATATAGTTGTCACAACAGGATGAAAGATTGATTAACAGAGTAATTTCAACAGATCCAGTGAGCATGTAAAGTATTTTTTTTTAACTTTTAAGTTCAGGGGTACATGTGTAGGTTTGTTACATAGGTAAATGTGTGTCATGGGGGTTTGTCGTACAGATTATTTCATCACCCAGGTACTAAACCTAGCACTCAGTAGTTATTTTTCCTGATCCTCTCCCTCTTCTTCCCACCCTCCATCCTCCAAAATGCCCCAGTGTGTGTTGCTCCCCTCTATGTGTCCATGTGTTCTCATCATTTAGCTCCCATTTATAAGTGAGAGCATGTGGTATTTGGTTTTGTTTCTGCATTAGTTTGCTAAAGATGATGGCCTCCAGCTCCATCCATGTCCCCGCAAAGGACATAATCCTGTAAAGTATTTCTAATGGCAAAATATACAAAAATGTGTCATTACACATTGCAGGAGACAAGGTAGCCTGCTCCCAAACAAGGGCACAGATTCCCAGATTCCCACAGGGTAATCACCAGCACCGAGTGAGGATTCTACCAGACATGAGAGGTTTCCCTTGCCTTTCTTATAGAAGGTTCTGCAAGACCCTGCTGACCCCCAACTCCTAACACACTTTTCGACCTACTTCCAGCTGGTCTGAACACTACCTGCTCACCAGGTGCAAGGAACTGATAAAAAAACAACCCTAGCACATTGCTGAATGTTTACTGTGAAACAATGGAAATGGGAGGCCAGTTTGCCAGGCACAACATCCCCTGGCAGGCCCACTTGCAGTCCAGTCTGGCAACATGGTCATGCAGACAGAGTGAAAGGGCTTTTAAGATTTAAAGTCAAGAAATGGTACCAGGCAGTGCAGAAGACAGGAGATGTCACCTAATCGTTTTAAGGATAGTAAAACTTCTTGTCCTGTAGTTTCTGTAAGTCAAGGCCTAGCCAACTGGCTTAGGCGTGGTTCATCATTCATTCATTCACTTATGAATGACATGCTTTTTAGCCCTTTCTGCAGTATATAATGAATAGTAGAACCAAGTTCACATAGCCTGCCCTGTGCTTGTTTTGGGATATCTATATAAAAGCAAGACTTCATTAAAAAGGACTGCATAAATGGGAGAAGAATCGTTTGGAGTTTTAAATAAATGTACATAATTTACCTTTAACCACATACTTAAAGGCAAGATTGGAAACTAAGAAAAAAAATCACATTATTTCTTAGATTTAAAGGACAAATTTAAAAAAATTTTTTTTTCTTAATTTAGTGTGGACTATGGTGAGACTTAGTGTTAATTAGCAGATAGAAATTGAACATGGCACACAAAAGCACAATACAGGGAGACTTGTTAGAAGTCAGTGTCAGGAAAAGCAAACCTCAAATAAACAAGTCCCTAGAACACTCTGTAGCACATAAGTATTTGATTCTTTGCCCGGCTGGTTCTTGTATTAGCGAAATCCTGTGCTGCTCTGAACATGCACCGGGCAGCATATAGAGATAAATGGTTTCTAACGTGTTTTGGAGACAGCAAAGTCTGCACCTAACCAGATTTTCCTGGAATCCACCTCATTTGTAGGATGTTGACAACCTCAAGATGATTGAAATAAAAAGTTTCATAGTAACAAATAATTATAGCAATGTAACATTTTCACTCCTTACTCTTCTTTTTCCCTGAGCAAACGAAGTGTGTTTTGTATCTCAGGTCTCCAAATACTATTCACAAAATTTAATTTATTTCTGTACTCTGCCACTCACATTGTTTTTAGTTAATGTTATCTGTTCTTCTGTTTTATTTTTATTATTATCTAGTTCAATTTTTTTCTTTTTTTGAGACAGGGGTCTCATTCTGTCATCCAAGCTGGAGTGCAGTGGCATAATCATAGCTCACTGCAGCCTTGACCTATTGGGCTCAAGGGATCCTTACGCCACCATGCCTGGCTATTTTTAAAATTTTTTGTAAAGATGGGTGTGGAGGGTGGGAGTCTCGCCATGTTGCCCAGGCTGGTCACAAACTCCTGGCCTCAAGCAATCCTCTTGCCTCAGCCTCCCAAAGTACTGGGATTACAGGTATGAGTCACCATGCCTAGCCTAATTCAATTTTCAAAAATTAGTTCTCAGTTATTAGCATAGTAAATGTCAATGATTGCTTTTGGCTGAAGTAAGAGCAGCATCTGTGGGAAATCTACAAAGATGATGAAATTATCCTGCCACCGGGCGCAGACAGAAGAGCAATAAGATCTCCAGAGAAAATCTAGCATTATTTTATGACAGAAAAAAAAAACGGCACATTCCAGGATGTCTGGCATTTCTACTGCATTTATCTACTGCTTCAGTCCTATCATAAGGGCCACCCAGAACACTGTAATTCCATTTTTGTCCCCCCAAAATCTCAAGTGTATAGGTAACTTGAGAAAACAAAACTCTGGAAAGTGAACCCCTTCCGAGCAAAGATCACTTCATAGAGGAAAATTTAAAACACCTGATGGGATCACACTCTAGAAAAATGGGGAGTCTGTGAATTCTCTAATGTGGCATACTCTACATATAACCAAAGGAAGCTCACAGACCCCAAATGTGGCCAGAAAATATCACTTATTTTAAAAAGACAGAATGAAATTGACATAGAATAATTATCCTTTTCATTCTTCCAGCATAGCAGAGTCCTTTCATCTACTGTGTAACTGACTGGAGGGTGCAGTTTATCCCGGGTGAGCTTTCCAGGAGGAGGCAAAAAAACCTCATTTTTGTGCACGTAGCCTCAGACAATTGATTCTTTTTGGATGGAAAATTAATGCTAGCTTTATATCACTAGTAGGAAGCTTTCTGTAACATAAAATGCAGGCACAAAGAAAAAGAGTATTTTTATTCTATAGTTCCTGTCCTCCCTTTTTCTAAACAAAATACTGCATGCCAACTTGCAAGTGAAGCTGCGCAAGCCCTAATTCTCCTCTTTAAAGCCTCGTTTGCCACGGGTGGCATTGGCAAGGATAAATTCTATTTTGCATACATGCCCAGTCAGGCTTTCTCTCAATCTTAGTAACATCTGGTGTTCCTCTAGAGTCTATCTGAGATCCATAATTACTTCTTTATTACGTTAATGACTGTAAATATCTCTTCCCCACTACCCTGCTTCTTTCAGACTTTTCTCTTTACTGTTGACACATCATTGTAAGAAAAATAAATAAGACAATTTCTAATTCCGTGGTTGAGATCTTTGCCTCACAAAATGATGACCATCAGGAAGAATCATTCATAAGTAATGGTCTGAACCAAGTGATTCTAATACCAAATGTAAGATCATAGCTCTCCTCAGAAACCATCAATCCATTGTTCTAGCTTTACTAGTCCATGTAGACCCAAGACTCCTCTCTCCAGGGACATATTTGGCTTTCGAGACTGTGAGGAAAATTTTTTGAAAATGCCAATAATTTGGAAAAAGACCACCCACTCTTTCGTTGCCTTACTTCCATGTTATCCTTTTGTTGGCAAGGAAGACAGATGTTCAAAGCAACATCTCATTTAAGCCTGGGAATATATTTAGCCATAATGGACCTGCCAACTCCCGACTCCTGGGTATGTTTATTTCTCTAACCAGCTGGGAACTCTCAAGCTGTAGCAGGGAAGACACTCCTTATGTATGGAGAGTCAGCTGCTACGTGAGCACCTCAGAAGTCACCAACAGCCTTTGTACAAAGTCATACAGGGATTTGAACTTCAACTCTTCTAAGGTCAAAGGAAATACACCAAAAGTCAATATTTGCATTCATGTATCTTTAGCCATGATAATAATAAAATATAAATTTTAAGATGGAAAAATCTGAGATCTCACTGGGCCTGCGACTGGGGCTTTATATAGGATCCTGCCTGACATCTGTGGACCATCTTTTACTTACTGTGCCCAGATATTCTGGTATATTATGGGGAGTTGTGAAGTAGCATTTCTCCTTGAGGGGTGTTTTGAGAGCTGCGTCGGCCTAAGTATTCTGTGACTCTTCCCCTCCTGTGATCTATGGTTAGATTGGGGACAAGAGCCTGGCACACACTATAAAACAGGAACTATAATTCCATGCCCCTCCACACCCAAGAATATGAGCACTGTGAGAACAAGGTCCTTGTCTGTGTGTGGACTGTATTCTCCCCAGTGCCTAGAATGGAGCCTGGCATTTACAGCAGGAGTTCAATAAGAATTTGTTGAGTGAACAAATGAGAGAAGACTTTAGGACAATCCATCACAAAATGCTTCTCTATAGGGGCGATATATAAATGTGGGAGGACTTCTAAGAATGAGCAGAATGCATTGCTTAGACTGGAGTGCATGGAACAGACATTTAGCAGAGATAGCCAGGGAAGGGAGAGTAACATTTCAATGAGTGGGGGGCTCTCCACTGAATGGGAGTGGGCTTGGGAATAGGAGCCAAGGCCCCCCACTGGGCCAGGGCCAGGTGACCTGCACAGAGATTCCTCTTTTTACCCTCTCCACAACCTGCGCTCACCCCTACTTATAGCCACTACCCCGAATCACTTCTTGGAAAGCCAGATATCAGTTCCTTTGCAACTCTGTCCCGAAGATAGGGCAGAGAGGAATGTGCAGCACCCCCCACCCTCCATCCCTTTGCACTTCCCAAGAATCTCTCCTGTTTGTCTCCTCTCTTACTCTCGAGAACTTTTTCTTTACTATCTCTCTGGAAGCACAGCATCATCTTATTAATGGGCTTGAACTTTTGTGGAAGAAGAGAAAAAGCTACTGGTGGTTGTTATTTCCCCACAACACAGATTCTTGGGCTGGGTGCTGTGGCTCACGCCTGTAATTCCAGCACTTTGGTAGGCTGATATGGGCAGATCACGTGAGGCCAGGAGTTCGAGACCAGCCTAGGCAACATGGCAAAACCCCGTATCTACCAAGAAATACAAAAAATTAGCTGGGCGTGGTGGCGTGTACCTGTAGTCCCAGCTACTCAGGAGGCTGAGGTGGGAGGATCACTTGAACCTGAGAGGCAGAAGTTGCAGTGAGCCAAGATTAAAAAAAAAAAAAAAAAAGGATTCTTGCAGTAGGCTTCCAATAGGGCCAGCAAATCTTAGCAAATCAGGGAGAAAATATCAGGAAAAATATAGGGAGAAAGTATAGGGGAAAATATAGGGAGAAAACAAAAACCTGAATAAATATTTCAAAAAACTAAGCTTCTAAAATTTCTATCAGTGGCTACAGGACCTCTTTCTGCTTTCTTAGAGCACAGTAGGTAAAACTAATAATGTGGAATTTGTGAAAATAAAAAGAGTTAGAAAGCAACCCCAAACCCTGAGATCAAGCCTGATGTGTGTCCTCTGGGGAACTTACAATCTAACAAAAATGCTGCCACACAACCAGGACCTTTCTCATCAATTGCCTTGTTAATTAAATATTACCGCAGGGGCCGGTCTGGAAGTAGGGCTGCATGTGTCTGAGATAATTAAATTGAGGAAAATACAAACTGAACTGAAGCAAAAAGATTTGATTTCATGCATGAGTCATCTCAAGAACGTGACGATTTGCCGATTTGAGAGATGAAATTAAATAACTCATAAAATTGTGACAAATCGAACTTCAACACCACCGATTTTCTCTCTGCATCCTGCTGTTTAGTCTCTTGGGAGTTTCCATGTCCTAGAAATGAAGAAAGTGTGCATGTGCTGCAACCTGCTTAATTTTGGTTTTTGGGTGTAAAATAAAACCACAGATAGCTGAAGCTCTCAGAGAATAGTCTTTGGGTTGCCTGAGGTTTAGCTACAGGATGCTTTATAACATGGTTTAGACTCAGTGAGCCCACTTTTCTGCCTCAGTAAGCTGAGAATGATGAATAGAATTAAATTCCTTTTAAAAATAACAAAATTATAAAACTTTCCCTGTCTCTGGGTTGTGTTTAAGAGCACAGATAAGTAATCTGGTCCTCCTGCTTCCATTCTTCACCAGCAAAGCCCAGAGTCTTCCCTGGAGAAGAGTGCTGATGACGAGGATTCATGTCTCACAACCCAGCACACAGGAATGATGTCACACAGGTAACTTCTAATCATACCAGCCAGTTTTTTACTTACCTTGGAAATGTTTATTTAATGCCCAAATCCATATATCAGTGGTTCTTTTCTCGTTGTTTTGTTTTGCTTTTTTTTTTGAGGGAGGTGGTTGGGAGGAACCTACAGAAAATATTATCTATTTTAGTGAGAGCTCTAATTACTTGAGCTCCAGTTAATTGGGGTTTTTCCAGGCTTTTCTGTTCTCTCCATATGGCAGCACTTTGTAGAAGAAGATAAAAGGGGAAGATTTTCCAAATTATAGCCAGAAGGAAGTACCAAGAGGGGCGTATGCATACATTTTAGTAAAGAAGAATTATTAATACTTTGATTCTGAAATCAATCAATCACCACCTGTTACCATATTTGCCACTTGGTATTCTAGGGAGCTTCTACTCTATGTTAAGATATAAATGGGAATCATTTTTATTTCTATGTTATGTTCTCATAGTTATTGGGGTGTGGGTGTGTGGGTGTGTGTGCCTAATCTGAGCATCTTGAACAGTCCTGAGGTCAGCAGTAGAGTAGGGGGTAGGAGGCTGCTGCTGGAAGACAGAACAGAGTGGCCAACCGTCTGCCTCTGGAGTGAGCGGGCATGAACGCATGGTGTTCTTCTGGGTGTTTTGAAGCTGCAAAGCCAACCTTACATAGAGGTGGAGATAAAGTGGAGGTGATGAATGATGGCTTCCCGTCTTCTCAGGAAGCAACACTTCCTCCATCTGGAGGGGCCTCATCTCTTGGTTTCTTTAGGATGGTTCCTCCCTTGGGGCAGTCATTCCTAAACCCTGCCTCCCAATCCCCTCAGCCATTCCCATGCCCCCACCATTCAAAATGCACCTGGTTCTACCCCTTTCTCTTAAAAGCCTGCTCTCAACTAGTTATCTATGAGATGTGATTTGCTAAAGCAAATTTGTGCTAGGGTTTTAGAGATTTTTAACAACTTACATATAACTTCTCCCAAATAACAAATTCAAATATAAACCCAAACTGTATTTTAACCTTCCTTCAACTTCTTCCATCTAAGCATCTGATGGTGAACTTTTAGAAATCTCAAAAGAAATAGGAAGTTTATTTTTTTACTTTGTTATTTATTTATTTATTTATTTTTGAGACGGAGTCTCCCCGTTTCCCAGGCTACAGTGCAGCGGCACGATCTTGGCTCATTGCAACCTCTGCCTCCAAGGTTCAAGCCATTCTCCTGCCTCAGCTTCCCATGTAGCCGGAACTACAGGTGGGCACCACCACACCTGGCTAATTTTTGTATTTTTAGTAGAAATGGGGTTTCACCATGTTGGCCAGGCTGGTCTGCAACTCCTGACCTCAGGTGATCTGCCTGCCTCGGCCTCCCAAACTGCTGGAATTACAGGCATGAGCCACCGTGCCTCAATAAGAACGAAGCTTAAAGAGAAATGAGAACTTTCCTGACCTCTCTGTTGTCACCATGAAAGTGCTAGCCTATTTCTATGAGCAAAACAGGGCCTGTGCAGCCTTCCCCAGTATTCAGGGGTAACTGTTGTTGTTCTAGGATTTATCATCCATTTAGCTGTTGCTTTAATCCTCCTATTAAAGTCTCAGAGGAGCAAAGATGTCAGCTTAACAGAGTACCATTAAGAGAGGAGGTGGCCAGAAAGCTACAACCAAACACTCACCTTCCATTTGTTTCTCACTTACTTGCAGCCTGTTTTTCATTGTGATTGCTGTAGTTGTTAGGAGCACCAAAGTGGGTCACCAGAAATGCAATCCACGCCTCAGCTGATCTGGGCAGAGTTAGAGTAACATGGAATCTGTTTATTTTAATTTATTTTAAAATGAATAAAGCCTTGTTTACTTTCTCTAGTTATGTTGCTTAGAAACCTCATAATTCTGACTTGAATCCAAATTACAAATGGAACATTTGGAAAACTATGGAAAAGTGTTCTTGGAACCCTGTCATCGTTTAAGGAACTTTTTCACCATGTTAATTCTGCATACTCTCACACATATGTACAACTGCATAAATCTAATTTAAAACTATTTATTTTGAGTTGCCAGCCTGTGTATCATAAAGGAGGAAGTATTTTTCTCTTTTCTCTAAGTTCTTGTCTCAGAAGATAAAAGAGACACTTCTATTAAGTTGGTGTTGATGGAAAGAAACTTTTTTTTTTTTTTTTTTTTTTTTTTGAGACAGAGTCTCGCTCTGTCACCCAGGCTGGAGTGCAGTGGCGCGATCTCGGCTCACTACAAGCTCCGCCTCCCGGGTTCACGCCATTCTCCTGCCTCAGCCTCCAGAGTAGCTGGGACTACAGGCACCTGCCACCAGGCCCGGCTAATTTTTTCTATTTTTAGTAGAAATGGGATTTCATCGTGTTAACCAGGATGGTCTCGATCTCCTGACCTCGTGATCCGCCCACCTCAGCCTCCCAAAGTGCTGGGATTACAGGGGTAAGCCACCGCGTCCAGCCCCGATAGAAAGAAACTTTTTATCCTTCTTTCCTCCTTTCATTCATTCTTCCTAAGGAAGAAAAGCAATTAAATCTATGAGCAGACCCTTCCTCTATCAAGCAGGGGACAATGTGTCAGCAACCAATACCCATGTATGGTCTCTTTTATTATTTTTGGCCTCCTCTCTCTAAAGAGATGGTCCTCCTGCAGCTACCCATGCCCACCTCTCCTCCCCACTGTAAGCCTGTTGGGGAAGGGCCTGCCCCTGCAGGGTTAAAACCAATGCTTGTCCAGCTGCTTTGCCAAGACTAGATTTGTAAATGCAATTCAGGGCACAAGGACTAAGAATTATATTTTGAACCCTGGGCCAAGCTGCATTCTGCATTCCAGCTTTACCAGTAATGAAGCTATTATTTTGGTTTCATATTCTTATGTTTATTTGCCAATCAGCCAAAAACTTCAGAGAAGGAGTGTATGTTTCACTCAAACCCCAACCAGTGGATGTAATAAAATCATGGAATAGTAGCATCTCTCTACTGAGAAGCAGGCTTAGCTGAGCAGTTCCCTCATATTCTATGAGCAAACTAAGAGCTGGGGGCATTTAGCAACTTGCCCAAAGTCATGCTGATAGTTAGTGACAAAAATGGGACAAAAACTCGGCTCTCTGGACCTTGGATTCAGTGATCTTTGCATTATTGTTATGTTACTCAGGGCCAGCCTTGGTCACATGCTCTTGAAATCTTTGTATCTGTCTCCTGTCATCACCTTTGGGAACTTCAACATCCAAAGCTGCCCCTTTAGCAACCAGATTACCTCAGTCTGACTTTCCTCATCTCCCACGCACTTTGCCACTACCTCACTCAAGCCAGTCTCTGAGAGTCACGCATAGAATACTGTCAATAATCGAAACTTCTCTACAGCCAAAATCACTAATTTAGATCCCTTTTGTTTTCTGATCCTTCTGCCCATCCTTCCTGCTTGCTAACTAAATCACCACCACTGCAACTGTTTTCCAGCCATGTTGAGACCTCCACCAATTGACTCCCTATTTTCTCCAAATCTTTTACCCTATCCTACTTACCCTTTCTCAATATCAAGCTTAGATTGGAGGGCCTTTCGCTTAAGACATTCTTCTTAGTTATTCTTCAAATCCTATTAACCTTCTCTCCTTTCATTAGATCCTAACAAATCTGACTATTCAACTTCCTCATTCCTTAAAATGGGCAGCTAAATATGCCTGAAGAAAATCGCACAGCCAGGAAAATCAATACCTCTATAATTCAAGGTCTTCAACTTCTTCTGTGATGGCAGCACTGCCTAACAATCCTATTGTATTTCTCTTGCCATCTTATTCCCATATCCTCTGCCATGATAATTGCAAAACTGCTCCATGTTCGTCAAACCTCTGAATTCCTTTCTCTCTCTTCACTCAGCAGCAGACACCTCCTTGTTTAGATAAAATATGAATCACCGGTGAGAGTTCCTCAACTGTGCATGGTCAAACTCATTCTCTTCTTATCTCATCACAATGGAGGAGGCAGGCCTGCTACGCAAAGGCAATCCCTCCCTCCACGTCCAGGAGCCCATCCCTCTCACAGCATACATCAGATTCTTGAACTCTTCACACATCTCTCAAATATCTTTGCTATGATGGAAGACACTGATATAATGGAATTGGTCAGACAGAATGTCAAGACAATTTGTCTCTTCCCTCTACCTCAGAATCTTTAGACTTCCTCTAGGGTCAGTCCTGGTTATTTTTCTCTTCCTAATTTTTATCCATCCCCATGTCTCCAGTGTTGACCCTTTATGTGTTGACCATCAAAATTATGTTTTTAGACCAGATCTTGTCTCTAAAGTCTAGACATATATATGCAACTGCTAACTAAGCATTTCCCCCTAGATGGCTGACAGGTAACTCAAACTTACCATGTTCAAAAGTAAAAACTTACTGTCATGATGGAATCTGTCAGACAGAATGTCAAGGGATACTGATCCAGCAATGTGGTACATTGTAATATTCAAAAGCATGTTGCCCCAGTCATATAAAGCCTCTCCCCCATAATAGATTATTTCAATATGATTTTGAGTATGCTAAAGTTTCTACCATCTTCAAAACAAGCATATAAACAAGCAAACAAAAGGCTCCCTCCACCACACATTATTCCTTATTACCGTAGCTTCTCAAAAAGTTGTTACACTCTCTGACTCCATTATGCTACCTCGCTTTGCTCCCTACGAGGCTTTTCACCCTACTAAGCTCACCAGCTGATGTTCCCTTTCTCTTTTCATCTTGCTTGGTCTCTCAGTAGTGTGTGTCCCAGCAGACCACTCCTTCCACCCTGAAACACAAAGCATTGAGCTCTCCTCATTTTCTTCTTGAGTCACAAGCCATCTCCCAGTCTGCTCTACTGCTTGATTCTAGTGGGCATTGTGATTACCTCTTCAGAAGCCAAGCAGGCTTAGATTGCAGGGCCTTTCATGTAAGTCATTCTTCTTAATTATTCCTCACATCCTATTGACCTTCTCTCCTTTCATTAGATCCTAACAAATCTGACTATTCAACTTCCTCATTCCTTAACATGGGCAGCTAAAGATGCCTGAAGAAAATCACACACCAGTATTGTCCAGGTATTGGGGTCTTGGGCTTCACTGTCATGGTCAACGAACAGTGGGGAACTGGACTCCATTCTTGATATTTGTGAAAGTTGTATGTGCTTCACATTCGTCAGCATAATCCCATTCTGAGGCTTAGCAAATTTTGTTTCAGGGTGGAGCATGTGACCCAATTCTGGTCAACAAAAACAAAGGCGTTACTAGGGGCTTCCCAAGAGAAAAACCTTCTCCTTCCTCTGAGACATCAACAATCAGACTCTCCTTTCTCAGGGTGGAAAAGAGAATATTAGCCTTGGAAATTGTAGACAGCCGCCATCTCGCAACTAGGTAAAAGAATCAGCCTTAGGAGGAAGCTAATACCACATAAGGCAGAGCCCAGAAATGGGAAGAAATTGGAAAATTTATGGCATCATTAAACTGCTGAATCGAATCAACCCTGAAGCCCATGTTGCCACTGGGCTTCTTCATTACATAACCTTTTACTCTTCAAGCCAGTCTGAATTAGTCTGATTATCTGCATCCAAATTCACTGTTTCTGATTCACTGACTGGCCTTTAATCTTTATACTTCCTCTAGGGTCAGTCCTGGCCATTTTTCTCCTCCCATTTTTTATCCACTCCCCCGTCTCCAGTGTTGATCATTTATGTATTGACAGCCAAAATTATATCTCTAAACCAGACCTCGCCTCTAAAGTCTAGACATATATATGTGACTGCTGACTCAGCATTTCCCCTAGATCAGCAGTCCCCACCTTTTTGGCACCAGGGACTGGTTTTGTGGAAGACAATTTTTCCACAGACTGGGTCGGGGGGGATGGTTTGGGGATGATTCAAGCACATTTATTGTGCACTTTATTGCTATTATTATTACATTGTAATATATAATGAAATAATTATACAACTCGCCATGAGGTAGAATCCGCAGGAGCCCTGAGCTTGTTTTCCTGCAACTAGGAAGGTCCATCTGGAGGTGATGGGACACAGTGACAGATCATCAGGCATGAGATTCTCATAAGGAGCATGCAACCTAGATCCCTGGCATACACAGTTCACAACAGGGTTCGCGCTCCTATGAGAATCTAATGCTGCCACTGAGCTGACAGGAGGTGGAGCTCAGGTGATAATGCAAGTGATGGGGAGCAGCTTAAATACAGATAAAGCCTCACTTGCTCACCTGCTGCTCACCTCCTGCTGTGAAGCCTCGTTCCTAACAGTCCACAATCCGGTACTGGTCCATGGCCCAGGGATTGTGGACCCCTGCCCTAGATGGCTCACAGGTAACTCAAAATTATCATGTTTAAAATGAAAGTTATCTACTCCACCCACCAGTCTCCCCAGGTACTCACACACAGCCTGTTTCTCCTACCAGGTTCCCTGGCTTAATAAATGCACCAAGACTGAAATTTAAGAGTCATCTTTGTCTCTTCCCTCTATCTCACCCCTCCAACCCATATTCAATTACCAAATTCTGTCAATTCTACCTCCTAAGTAACTCTAATCCATCTATTTCCCTGCATCTTTATCATCTCTACCTTAGTCGAAACCTCCAACATCTTTGCCTGAAATATTCAATAGCTCCTTCTATCCAATCTCCCTGCCTCTTTCATTGCCCCCTCTAATGCATTATTCACTTTGCAGCCTGAAGGAACTTTGTAAAATGGAAATCTGATCATGATGCCTCTCTGTTTAACCTTTCAGAACGTCCAGAATCATTATAGTTAATATCATCATCTCACATGAATTCTGCTCCAAAATAGTAATGACGGTAGCAACTGTAATAGTCATAGCTTTTTGTTTCATTTATTTGGTTCATTTGTTGAGCTCCTGTAGTGCTAAGTTACAAAACTTCATTTAATCTTCCCAACAATACCATGAAAAAGATACTACATAGCATCCTCTTACATGAGAGGAAACTGAGCTGTAGACAGAAGATTAAGTAGCATTCCAGAGTCACCCAGCTGGAAATAGTAGAGCTGGGACTTGAGCCCAGGTTTGCTTGATTCCAGAAATTGAGCTCATAATTGATACTCAATATGACCTGCAAGCCCCTGTATGATGTGGTTTCTCCTCACCTCTTCATCTTTATCTCAGGAAACTCTTCCCCAAGTTAATAATCCAGACACACCAGTCTCATGTTACTCAAACATGTGGCCCTTCCTCACTAGTTCTCTCTGTCTGGAACATTCTTCCTCTCCCTGCTTCTCTGAGACAGGTCAGGCATCAGAACTTGCAGATGCAATGCCTCATAAACATCATCCAAGACCCGGCTCTTTACGTTCTCTGTTGTGCCGTCCACAGCCTCTGTTTCATCCTAAACTAGGTTCTTCTCACAGGCATGAGATGGCTGCTGGCAGGATGTGGCAACATGCTTCCTTGTTCATGTCTGGTTGAAGAGAGAGTTGGTGTCTTTTCCCCAACCATGAAACAACATTTCTTCCCCTCAATTTGGGCCAATTTAAGTCATGGGGTCTCTGTTGCTGAACAAATAACTGTCACCAGAAGTATGCCATATGTGACAAGAGGCATGGAATTACTAATGTAACTTAGACCAATATTCATGTATCCCAAAAGCAGAGGCCAACTCCCCAAACTGTATTGCTGTGACATAATGGCTAAGGGGGTGTAATAAATGTTGAAAATATTATGCTCCCAGCATAATATTCTCAACATCAACCCTCTGCCAAGTTAGGTCCCATTAATTCTTCATATCACACTTTAAAATTACTAATTGATTCAATACATGTTTCTTAGATGCCAGACACTAAGTGAAGCAATAGGTTTGCAATGGTGAACCAAAGAGACAGGATCCCTGCTCTTCTGGAGTTTACAGTTTAGTGGAAGGGACAAAGATAACACAGGCAGACATGTAATTGCAATGTGTGATAGATGCTCTATGGGAAAGGAGGTTACTAGGAGAGACAATAACAGGGATTGAAATTAAGATTTGGTGTTTGAAATGGCCATACTGAAGAAATACATTCCGCTCAGATGTGAAAGGTGGATAGAAAGAACCAGCAAGTAACAGCAAGTAGAAGAAACAGCAAGTGACACAGCCCAAGGCCACTGACAATCTAATCCCTTTTCACCTTTACAAGTCATTTGCCTCTTTATTTTTTTCCCTTCCAAATGATATAAACATCTGTGGAAAATTAGAATGTAAATTTGTAAGACCTACATATCAGGGGTCCCCAACCATCTGACCACAGGCCAGTACCAGTCGGTGACCTGTTAGAAACCAGGGCACACAGCAGGAGGTAAATGGCCAGTGAGCAAGCTTTACCACCTGAGATCTGCCTCCCGTCAGATCAGTGCGTCATTAGATTCTCATAGGAGCACAAGCCCCATTATGAACTGTGTATGTGAGTGACCTAGGCTGCATACTCCTTATGAGAATCTAACTAATGCCTGATGCTCTGAGGTGGTACAGTTGCATCCTGAACCACACTCCCACTGTCATCTGTGGAAAAATTGTCTTTCACAAAACCAGTCCCTGGTGCCAAAATGGTTGGGGACCACTGCTATATGTTATAAACATAAAGGTATTACTAATAGAAGGTAAGAGTGGAAACTAAGGGGGAATGGTTGAGAGAGGGTCAGGTAGCTGATGTTCCATCTTACTTAGAGAAGAAATGAAATACTGACTAAACTAATGGGACTAAAAATAAAGGCATAAATACATTATTTAAGACAAAAAAAGATAAACTTCTGGTTTAAGATGGCAAATTAGACACAAGCTTGCTTTCGCCTTCTGTCCCTTCCAAATCTCAGCGAAGTAAAAATATAAAAGTACTAAGATGAAGAAAATTATAACAAAATAGCAGAGAACAGAAGAGGGAGGGAAAGACTCTGTCCCAGGACTTCAAGACCATTTGATGTTGTGGTTAACATGTTTTAGTTATTACTAATAGAACATTTTATATGCACTAGTAATAGAAGTTTCTCTGCTTTCTGTCAAGTAAAAGTAACTAAGTGAACAGTGTTCTTCTTAATTATTCCTCTTTTTTTCCAAAGTAACAAATGCCTAGACCCAAATCCAGATGAGAAAAACCTAGCCACATGCTCCTTCTAATACTTCTTGTGTCACATTCTCACAATAGACTATTGCTTATCTCTAAAGTAGAAGAAACCAGAAGTACTCCCTATAAAGATTTAAGAAATGCTTGACTATTTTGCTAGCTTCATTTGAAATCAGATGCTGTGATCTACAGTATTTATCAAAGAAAAATGTTTTTTAAATGATACCTTTTGGCTAGGCACGGTGGCTCACACCTGTAATCCTCAGCACTTTGGGAGACTGAGGCGGGTGGATCACCTGAGGTCAGGAGTTTGAGACCAGCCTGACTAACATGGTGAAACCCCGTCTCTACTAAAAATACAAAAATTAGCCAGGTGTGGTGGCGGACACCTGTAATCCCAGCTACTTGGGAGGCTGAGGTAAGAGAATCACTTGGACCCAGGAGGCGGAGGTTGCAGTGAGCAGAGATTGTGCCATTGCACTCCAGCCTGGGTGACACATTGAAAACCATAAAATGTTGCTGAAATAAAGATGCAAATAAAGGGAAATACATGCTGTGTTCATGGATTGGAAGGTTTAATATTGTTAAGATGTCACTATGACCCAAAGTGATCAACAGATTTAATGCAATCTCTGTCAAAATCCCAAAGGCATTTTTTTGTGAAAGAAAAATCCATCTTAAAATTCATACGATATCTCAAGGAATGCTGAATAGCCAAAACAATCTTGAAAAAGGACATAGTTGGACGTCTTACACTTCGTGATTTCAAGATACATTGCAAAGTGACAATAATGAAAACAGATTGGAACTGGCATAAAGACAGACATATAGACTAATGGAACAGATTAGAGAGCATAGAATAAACTCAGGAATATACAGCCAACTGATCTTTGACAAGAATGCACAATGGGAAAAAAAGATGATCTCTTCCACAAATGGTATTAAGAAAACTGGATATCTACATACAAAAAACAAAAACAAAAACAGGAATTGGACCCCTTCCCTAAACCATATGTAAGAATCAACTCAAAATGGATTAAAGACTTAAATATAAGACTGAAACTGTAAAATTTGTAGAAGAAAACATAGGGAGAAATTTCTTGACGTTAATCTTAGCAATGATTTTTGGATATGATATCAAAAGCATAAGCAACAAAAGTAAAAAGAGGTAAATGGAATGGCATCAAACTAAAAAGATTTTACATAGCAAAGGAAATAACAGAATGAAAAGGAAACTTACATAATGGGAGAAAATATTTGCAAACCATCGTCTGATAAAGGAGTTAGTTTCCCAAATACATAAGGAACTTCTACAACTCAATAGCAAAAAATAAAATAAGTAACCTGATTTTTAAATGTGTGAAAGATTTGAACCAACATTTCTCCAGAGAAGACATACAAATGGCCAACAAGTATATGAAATGATAATCAACATCATTATCAAAGAAATGCAAAATCAAAACTACAATGAAATATCACCTCACATCTGTTAGGATGGCTACTGTAACAAAAAAGATAACAAATGTTGGCAAAGATGTAGAAAAATAGAAAACTTTGTACATCACTGGTGGGAATGGTGTAACAGCTATGAAAAACAGTACAGAGGTTTCACAAAAGATTACAAACAAAATTACCATATGATCCAGGAATATACTTCTGGGTATATATCCAAAATAATTGAAATCAGAATTTCAAACATATCTGTACTCTCATGTTCATTGTGGCATTATGCACAATAGGCAAGATATGGAAACAAGTGTCCATTGACAAAGGAATGGATTAAGAATATATGGTACATATATAATAGAATATTAGCCTTTAAAAAAAAAGAAGGAAATCCTGTCATGTGGGACAATATGGATGAACCTTGAAGACATTAAATAAGACAGTCACAGAAGGACAAATACTGCATGATTCCACTTGTATGATGGACTATTTGATAGTTTTACTATTTGATAATAGTCAAACTCATAGAAGCAAAGAATACAATAGCGGTTGCCAGAAGTTGAGGGGAGGAGAAAACAGGGACTTGTTTAATGGGTATAAAGTTTCCGTTATGCTGTATTAATAAGTATTAATTAATATAGTATTGTACACTTCAAAATTTGTTAAGAGGGTGATTTTGTGTTAAGTGTTCTAACCACAAAAAATAATAAAAAACAGAAGGACACAAGGAAATTTTGGGAGGTGTTATATCTTGATCGTGATGTTGCCATGGGTGTTCACATATGTCCAAACCAATCAAATTACACACATTAAATATGTGCAGTTATTTGTATGTCAATTATACCTCAATAAGCTGGATTTTTAAAAATGGAGATGGAGAACAGATTAGTGATTACCAATGATTAGAGAAGAGGAAGGGAAGGAGAGAGATGACTATGGCTATGAAAGGCCAGCATGGGGAATCCTTATGATGGAACTGTGTATCGTGACTGTGGCAACGGTCACACCAATCTATATATATGGTAAATTTTCATAGAACTACAACACACAAACACACACAAGAATAAGCACATGAAAAATTAGTGACAATGTGAATAAAACTGATAGATCATATTCATGTTAAAATTAATAATAAATTCCTTTTTTCTCCTGTAACTTCAGACTCACCATTCATTCACTGATTCATTTGTCCACTTAACAAATATTTGCTGAGTATATTGTATACCAGCCACTATGCCATGGGCTAAGTATGCAACAGTGAACAAGTTCCACTTGTTGAGAGTATGGTTCCAGCCCTTGTGGAGCTTACAGTGTAGCATGGATGGGACAGGACAAAATTAGGTAATTTTATAAGTAATTCATCAAAGTTGTGAGATGAATGTCCATTGTTTTGATAACATAAAACAGGGAGACCTCACCTGGTCATTTGAGTCAGTGAAGGCTTTCCTAAGAGAGCACTGCTTAAGCTCAAACTTAATGAGTAAGCAGAAGCTGGATAAATAGCTGGAATATTGGTGTTGGGAGGAGGAATTGTTTGAAGCAAAGATAACATATGCGTTCCCTCAAATCTTGCCTTGAGCTGGGGAATAACATGGCTTATAGGAAGTGAAAAGTGTTCAATAAGACTGGAGCAAAGACAATGAAGGGGAGAGAGCTGCCGTATACAGACAAAGAGGTAGTCAAAAACTAATTCATCCAAGCAGACTCTTGTAAGCAAGTGCATGACCTTAGGAGAGGGTGGCTGAGGAGCAGTGAATAAGGTCATTGGAGATGATAGTGTCAGGGAACTAAGACATCATGAAGTTGTATTGGATTGGAGGGATCATGGCAGATGGGAGGCAGAACTAGTTGGCAGCTCTGACTCAGATGGACAGAGCAGCGTGTGGAGGCTCGCATCATGAATTTTTGCTCCAGAACAACGGCAGGAATAAATCAAGAAACCTGACAGGACCCACGGACCCCATGAAGGAAGCAGTTTGCTCCTACAGGGCCCAGGAGACACCCCAAATACTGTGAGTGCCCAAACTGTGGAAGTAGGAAAGGGAGATCATCCACCCTCAAAAACACACTCCCACTGGGGAAACTGAGGGCATAGATTATGGGAGAAGAGTTTAACCTTACCTGGAGCTGGGTCAATTTAGAGAGCTGAGCAAAATACAGGAGTAGAGGAAGCAGCGGGAAAACCTTGGGAGCTCGCTGGGTCCCCTAGCAACCCATTTCTGCCTGGCCTCACAGGGGTCCTCCAGGAGAGCAGCCAGACGTTCTGGGCAAAAGGCCACAGGGAGAAGGAAATCTCCAGCTGAACTTTGTAAGAATTTAAACTGATTGGGAAGCCTCCTGGCCAGAACTCCATGGAGGCTGTGAATCCAGTGTGCAGACTCCACAAGCTGGGGAAGTAGGAAAGCCATATTTGCTTTTGCAGCTGTGAGATGGGTGGCCTGGGGCAAGTTCTCAGCCCTTCTCACCCACTGCCTGGAAACAGACTTGGTGCTGTTGGGTTGGTGGGGGCACAGTGGGAGTGAGACCAGCGCTTCAGATTGTGTGAGAGCTGGGTGAGGCCTTGACTGCTGACTTTCCCCAACTTCCCTGATAACCTGCACGACACAGCAGAGGCAACCATAATCCTCCTAGGAACATAACTCCATTGACCTCGGAACCTCACTCCCATCCCCCACAGCAGCCACAGCAAGACCCACCCAAGGACCAGAGTCTGAGCTCAGACATGCCTAACCCTGCCCCCACACAATGGTCGTTTTCTACTCATCCTGGTAACTGAAGACAAAGGGCATATACTCTTGGGAGTTCTTGGGCCCCCCCCAACACCTGTTCCTCTCCATACCACAGCTGATGTTCTCTGGAAAGCACCACCTCCTGGCAGGAGGCCAACCAGCACAAAAATAGTACATTAAACCACCAAAGCTAAGAACCCTTACAGTGTCCATTTCACTCCCCTGCCATCTCCACCGGAGCAGGTGCTGGCATCCATGGCTGAGAGACCCAAAGACAGTTCACATCACAAGACTCTGTGCAGACAACCCCCAATACTGGCCTGGAGCCTGGTAGACTTGCTGGGTGGCTAGATCCAAAAGAGAGATAACAATCACTACAGCTTGGCTCCCAGGAAGCCACATCCATAGGAAAAAAGAGGAGAGTACTACATCAGGGGAACAGCCCATGGGACAAAAGAATCTAAACAACAACCTTCAGCCCTAGACCTTCCCTCAGACAGAGCCTACCCAAATGAGAAGGAACCAGAAAACCAACTCTGGTAATATGATGAAACAAGGTTCTTTAACACCCCCCAAAAAACTCACACTAGCTAACCAGCAATGGACCCAAACCAAGAAGAAATTCCAGGTTTACCTGAAAAGGAATTCAGGAGGTTAGTTATTAAGCTAATCAGGGAGACACCAGAGAAAGGTGAAGCCCAATTTAAGAAAATCCAAAAAATGATACAAGAAATGAAGAGAGAAATATTCAAGGGAATACACAGCATAAATAAAAAACAAGAAAATCTGCAGGAAACAGGCCAGGCGCAGTGGCTCATGCCTGTAATCCCAGCACTTTGGGAGGCCAAATTGGGTGGATCACGAGGTCAGGAGATCGAGACCAGCTTGGCTAACACAGTGAAACCCCCATCCTACTAAAAATACAAAAAATTAGCCAGGTGTGGTGGCATGCAGTTGTAGTCCCAACTACTCAGGAGGCTGAGGCAGGAGATCACTTGAACCCGGGAGGCAGAGGTTGCAGTGAGCTGAAATCGCACCATTGCACTCTAGCCTGGGCAACAGAGTGAGACTCCGTCTCGAACAAACAAACAAAACAAAACAAAAAAACTTCAGGAAACAAAGGACACACTTATAGAAATGCAAAATGCTCTGGCAAATCTCAGCAATAGAATTGAACAAGTAGAAGAAAGAAATTCAAAGCTCAAAGAAGGTCTTCGAATTAACGCAATCCAACAAAAACAAAGAAAAAAGAATAAGAAAATATGAACAAAGCCTCCAACATGTCTGGGATTATGTTAAATGACTAAACCTAAGAATAATCAGTGTTCTGAGGAAGAAGAGAAATCTAAAAGTTTGGAAAACATATTTAGGGGAATAATCTAGGAAAATGTCCCCGGCCTTGCTAGAGACCTAGCCATCCAAATACAAGAAGCACAAAGAACACCTGGGAAATTCATCGCAAAAAGATCATTGCCTAGGCACATTGTCACCAGGTTATCTAAAGTTAAGACCAAAGAATCTTAAAAGCTGTGAGATAAAAGGACCAGGTAACCTATAAAGGAAACCTGTCAGATTAACAGCAGATTTCTCAGTAGAAATCCTACAAGCTAGAAGGAATTGGGGCCCTATCTTCAGCCTCCTCAGACAAAACAATTATCAGCCAAGAATTTTGTATCCAGTGAAACTAAGCTTCATATATAAAGGAAAGATACAGTCTTTCAGACAAGCAAGTGCTGAGAGAATTCACCACTACCAAGTCACCACTACAAGAAATGCTAAAAGGAGCTCTAAATCTTGAAACAAGTCCTGGAAACACATCAAAACAGAACCTCTTAAAAGCATAAATCTCACAGGACCTATAGAACAAAAATACAATTTAAGAAACAAAAACAAAAAACCAAGGTATATGGGCAACAAGTAGCACAATGAATGGAATGATACCTTACATCTCAATACTAACATTGAATGTAAATGGCCTAAATGCTCCAGTTAAAAGATAGAGGATTGCAGAATGGATAATAATTCACCAACCAACTATCAGCTGCCTTCAAGCGACTCACCTAACACATAAGGACTTGCAAAAACTTAAGGTGAAGGGGTGAAAAAAGACATTTCATGCAAATGGACACCAAAAGTGAGCAGAAGTAGCTATTCTTATATCAGACAAAACAAACTTTAAAGCAACAACAGTTAAAAAAGACAAAGAGGGATCAAAGAGGGATATTATATAATGATAAAGGTCCTTGTCTAACAGGAAAATATCACAATCCTAAACATATATGCACCTAACACTGGAGCACCCAAATTTATAAAACAATTACTACTAGACCTAAGAAATGAGATAGACAGCAACACAATAATAGTGGGGGACTTCAATACTCCACTGGCAGCAATAGAGAGATCATCAAGAAAGAAAGGCAACAAAGAAGCAATGGATTTCAACTATACCCTGGAACAAATGGACTTAACACATATATACAAAACATTTCATTCAACAACCGCAGAATACACATTCTATTCAACAGCACATGGAACTTTCTCCAAGATAGACTATATGATAGGCCACAAAACAAGCCTCAATAAATTTAAGAAAATTGAAATTATATCAAGCATTCTCTAAGACCACAGTGGAATAAAACTGGAAATCCACTCCAAAAGGAACCTCTAAAACCATGCAAATACATGGAAATCAAATAACCTACTCCTGAAGGATCACTGGGTCAAAAATGAAATCAAGATGGAAATTTAAAAATTCTTTGAACTGAACGACAATAGTGACACAACCTATCAAAACCTCTGGGACACAGCAAAGACAGTGCTAAGAGGAAAGTTCATAGCCTCAAATGCTTACATCAAAAAGTCTGAAAGAGCTCAAACAGACAATCTAAGATCATACCTCAAGGAACTAGAGAAACAAGAACAAACCAAACCCAAACCCAGCAGAAGAAAGGAAATAACCAAGATCAGAGCAGAACTAAATGAAATTGAAACAAACAAACAAAAAAGTACGAAAGATAAAACAAAAAGCTGGTTCTTTGAAAAGATAAATAAAATTGATAGACCATTAGCAAGATTAACCAAGAAAAGAAGAGAGAATATCCAAATAAGCTCAGTAAGCAATGAAATGGGAGATATTGCAACTGACATCACAGAAATACAAAAGATCATTCAAGGCTACTATGAACACTGTTTTGTATGTAAACTAGAAAACATAGAGGAGAGAGATAAATTCTTGGAAAGATACAACCCTCCTAGCTTAAATCAGGAGGAATTAGATACCCTGAACAGATCAATAACAAGCGCAAGATTGAAATGGTAATTTAAAAATTACCAACAAAAAAAGTCCAGGACCAGAAGGATTCAGAGTAGAACTCTACAAGACGTTCAAAGAAGAATTGGTACCAATGCTATTGACACTATTCTCAAGATAGAGAAAGAGAGAACCCTCCCTAAACTATTCTATGAAGCCAGTATCACCCTAATACCAAAACCAGGAAAGGACATAACCAAAAAAGAAAACTACAAACCAATATCCCTGATGAACATAGATGTTCCTTAACAAATACTAGCTAATGGAATCCAACAACATATCAAAAAGATAATTCACCATGATGAAGTGGGTTTCATACCAGGGATGCAGGGATGATTTAACATATGCAAGCCAATAAATGTGATACACCACATAAACAGAATTCAAAACAAAAATCACATGGTCCTCTCAATAGATGCAGAAAAAGCATTAGAAAAAATCCAGCATCCCTTTATGATTAAAACTCTCAGCAAAATTGGCATACAAGGGACCTACCTCAATATAATAAAAGCCATCTATGACAAACCCGCTGCCAACATAATACTCATGGGGAAAAGATGAAAGCATTCCCTCTGAGAACTGGAACAAAACAAGGAGGCCCACTCTCACCATTCCTCTTCAACATGGTATTGGAAGTCCTAGCCAGAACAGTCAGACAAGTGAAAGAAATAAAGGGCATCCAAATCAGTAAAGAGGAAGTCAAACTGTCACTGTTTGCTGATGGTATGATTGTTTACCTAGAAAACCCTAAACACTCCAGTTTCCAGATACAAAATTAATATACACAAATCAGTGGCTCTTCTATACATCAACAGCGACCACACTGAGAATCAAGTCAAGAACTCAACCCCTTGTAAAATAGCTGCAAAAATAAATAAATAAATAAATGAAAACCAAAAAAAAAAAAAAAAAAAAACACCTTAGGAATACACTTAACCAAGGAGGTGAAAGACCTCTACAAAGAAAACTACAAAACACTGCTGAAAGAAATCATAGACAACACAAACAAATGGAAACACATCCCATGCTCATGGATGGATAGAATCAATATTGTAAAAATGACCATACTGCCAAAAGCCATCTACAAATTCAATGCAATTCTCATCAAAATATCACCATCATTCTTCACGGAATTAGAAAAAAACTATTCTAAAATTAATATGGAACTGAAAAAGAGCCTGCACAGCCAAAGCAAGACACGTAAAAAGAACACATCTGGAGGCATCATATTACCTAATTTCAAACTATAGTATAAGGCCATAGTCACCAAAACAACATGGTACTGGTATAAAAACAGGTACATAGACCAATGGAACAGAACAGAGCACCCAGAAATAAACCCAAATACTTACAGCCAACTGATCTTTGGCAAAGCAATCAAAAACATAAAGTGGGGAAAGGACACCGTTTTCAACAAATGGTGCTGGGATAATTGGCTAGCCACGTAGGAGAATGAAACTGGATCCTTATCTCTCACCTTACACAAAAATCTACTCAAGATGGATTAAGAACTTAAATCTAAGACTTGAAACTATGAAAATTCTAGAAGATAACATTGGAAAAACCCTTCTAGACATTGGCTTAGGCAAGGATTTCATGACCAAGAACCCAAAAGCAAATGCAATAAATACAAAGATAAATTGCTGGGACTTAATTGAACTAAAGAGCTTTTTCACAGCAAAAAAGAACAGTCAGCAGAGTAAACAGACAACGCACATCATCAAAATCTTTAGCACTCATCCCGTAATCTTCATTAACTCCCCAAAGCCACCCAACTAATAGTAGTAGTGATAAAATTATTGATATGGGCAAGAGATCAGTTGCTGTGTGAAGGCATCTTTTTTTTTTTTTTTTTTTTTTTTTTTTTTTTTTTTTTTTTGAGACGGAGTCTCGCTCTGTCGCCCAGGCCGGACTGCGGACTGCAGTGGCGCAATCTCGGCTCACTGCAAGCTCCGCTTCCCGGGTTCACGGCATTCTCCTGCCTCAGCCTCCCGAGTAGCTGGGACTACAGGCGCCCGGCTAATTTTTTGTATTTTTAGTAGAGACGGGGCTTCACCTTCTTAGCCAGGATGGTCTCGATCTCCTGACCTCATGATCCACCCGCCTCGGCCTCCCAAAGTGCTGGGATTACAGGCGTGAGCCACCGCGCCCGGCCGTGAAGGCATCTTAATTACTAGCTCAGGTTGATTCCTGGGCTAGGCACTCAACCCTTTTGATAGGACTCTTCTCCATCTCAGGTTCTCCCTCTCTATTGGATTCTTCCAGATTCCAGCTAAGTTCAAGTATTCCTCATTGTAATATTCTCCCTTAACCTTGTATCCACTCTGGCAACTGCTGACTCTTCACAGCTAAAGTTAGTGAAAAGCTGATGGCAGTGGAAGAATGGTTCAGAGTTGTCTCTGGGGTCAAGAGAAGGACTTTCGCTACAGAGTCCTGTTGAAGATCCCTGTGAACCACCTACCTGAGGTCATCCCTAACACCCTGTCAACTCCCACTCCCACAGCAGGTTTTGGGAGTCTACTGAAATTATACATTTTTTCTCTTTAAGTCTGGCTTATAAAGAGAGACAAAAAGCTGGGAAAAACAAAGAGAAACTTCTATTCATTAAAAAGGTCGAGGAGAAACTTCCTGAAGGCATGAAGTTGGTCAGCTTTATCTGTCTAGTTACAAAGAGGTAGCCACAGAAGACTGCCATTTATCCAAGTGAGATGAAATAGAAAAATATAGCAAAAAAAAAAAAAAAAACAAACCCAAGCAGAACATAAATAAGGCTAGAGCCACCTGATAGCAGATTTGAACCTTCTGCAAATGACATTAATGGCTGAGGGCTGTTTCACTCACAGCACAACCTTGAATGGAGAAAATCACCTGCCAGAAATTCAGGTGCCATTGAAAGAAACCCAAGTGCATGAATATTTTTATATTAGAAAAAGACAAATTCAGGAGAGCCATGTGTTGGATGCAGAGCCCCAGAAGATTGCAAAGCAATAAAATAGAAAAACAGGCAACCAAAATTGCAGGTCTAAAAGGATGTAGCATTCCTTGTCATAGTGAAGGAGGAAAGAAAGCAAGCAAACAACTAAAAGCTAAAAAGTTCAAAGTCAAATAATATCTGAAAGAAAAGAGGCTGATTATAGATGGTGACTCTATAGCAAGACCAGAGTCATAGGACCCCTCCTGCATTCAGACACAGGCACAACCTCCTTCATTAGATGTAAGTCTGCAGGAAAAACACAAAAAACAAAGACTGTCAAAGGTTAATCTTCCTACCACATATATTCAATTTCCAGAACTTTATCTCCCAGAACTTTCTGATAACATTCAGCAGAAAATTATAAAAATTTTAAAAGAGGCCAGGTGCAGTGGCTCACACCTGTAATCCCAGCACTTTGGGAGGTCGAGGTGGGAAGATCACTTGAGGTCAGGAGTTCGAGACCAGCCTGGCCAACATGGCGAAACCCCATCTCTACCAAAAATACAAAAATTAGTTGGATGTGGTGGCACAAGCCTGTGATCCCAGCTACTCGGGAGGCTGAGGCATGAGAATTGCTTGAACTGCGGAAACAAAGTTTGCAGTAAGCCGAGATCACACCACTGCACTTCAGCTTGGGTGACAGAGTAAGACTCTGTCTCAAAAACAAACAAATTTAAAAAGAGAGCCAAAGGAGGAGTGAGGATTCAGATAGCACAGCAAAAAATGAAGAGAAGTTGGAGGACTAACACTACCCAACTTCAAGTATTTCTCTAAAGCTATGGTAATCAAGAAAGTGTGGTATTGGTGAATTAATAGACAAATAGATTAATGGAACAGAATAAAGAGCCCAGAAATAGACCAACATAAACATTGTCCACTGATCCTTGACAAAGAAGCAAAAGCAATACAATGAAGCAAAGAGTATTCTCAACAAATGGTGCTGGAACAACTGGACATCGATATGCAAAAAAGAATCTAGACACAAACCTTACATCCTTCACAAAAATTAACTCAAAATAGATTATAGACCTAAATGTAAAATGCAAAACTATAAAACTACTAGAAGATAACGTAGGAGAAAACCTAGACAACTTTGGGAATGGCAATGACTTTGAGTATGGCAGTGACATTTTAGATACAACACAAATGGCATGATCTGTGAAAGAAATTATTGATAGGCTGGACTTCATTAAAATAAATTTTTGCTCTGCAAAAGCAATGTTAAGAGAATGCGAAGAAGAGCCACAGACTGGGAGAAAATGTGTGCAAAAGACGCATCTGACAAAGAACTGTTATCAAAAATATGCAAAGAACTCTTCAATTAAAAATGAGTCAGTGACTTCAACAGATAGATACCTTACCAAAGAAGATATACAGATGGCAAATAATCACATGAAAAGCTGTTCCACATCATGTGTCATCAGGAAAATGCAAATTAAAACAATGAGATACCACTGCATACCTAGTGGAATGATCAAGTCCAGAACACTGAAAGCATCAAATGATTAGGGGGATGAGGATCAATAGGAGCTCTCACTAATACGCAAAATGGCACAGCCTCTTTAGAAGACAATTTTGAGGTATCTCACAAAACTAAACATACTCTAACCATATGATCCTGCCATCGTGCTCCTTGGTATTTACTCAAAGGAATTGAAAATGTCCACACAAAAACCTGCACATATATGTTTATAGTAACTTTATTCATAATTGCCAAAACTTGGAAGCAACCAAGATGTTCTTCTGTAAGTGAATGGATAAATATGCTGTGGAACATTAGACAATGGAATATTATTCAACACTAAAAATAAATGAGCTATCAAGCCTTGAAAAGACATAGAGGAAACATAAATGCATGTTACTAAGCGAAAGAAGCCAATCTGAAAGGCTGCATACTGTATGATTTCAACTATATGATATCCTGTAAAAGATAAAACTATGGAGGCAGTAAAAAGACCAATGGTTGCCAGAGGCTAGTGGGGAGGGACAGATGAATAGGAGAAGCACACAGAGTATGTTTAGGGCAGTTAATCTACACCATGATAGTGTAACAGTGGATACATGTCATTACTTAACTGTCCAAACCTGTATATACAACACCAAAATTGAGCCCTAATATAAACTGTGGACTTTGAGTGACTATGACATGTCAGTATAGGTTCATCAATTGTAATAAATGTACCACTCTGGAAGGGGATGTTGATAGTGAGGAAAGTTATGCATGTGTGAGGCAGGGGGTATTAGGAAATCTCTCTACCTTCCTCTTCATTTTGCTTTGAATGTTAAACTGTTCTAAAAAATAAAACCTAAAAAATTGATGAGCGTGTATATTAACCTAAGCATATTGAATCTTTAATGTTTATTTCATTTGTTTATTTATAGAAAATATTATGCATCTCCTTTCAATGACCAAAGCTTTATCCTTTGTTTTGCAGTTATATATAAATGGAAGTCTGTAATTCGATTTTGGGGAAATCAATAAGATCAGCATATGCTGTGATAAATTATTAAATATCATCCACCCCTGCTGACTATACTTTTTCAGTAGATGGCAATATGACCTTTCCTTCTATCTCTGTGATAAAACCATTGGTAAATCCAATAGGCATTTTTAGTCCTTGCTATTTTAAGTTCTCTACAGCATTTGGTCCTTTTGACCACTCCTTCTTATGATATTCTCTCACATCCTTGTCTTTCCAGATGCCACTCCATTTTGGTTCCCCGTGTACCGCTACTGTAATTCCTTCTTCTAAAACTGCTCTTTGTACTTATTTTCCCTCCTTAGTTCAACCTTCAAAATATTTTAGGGTTCCATGCTTAATTCAACTCAATAAGCATTTTTGAGTGTCAAATAATGTGCAAGGCATGAAGGTCAGTACTGTAGATACCAAAATGAATAAGTCATGCAAATCATGGGAGAAGCATACAAAGAAACAAGTATAATCTAACCTCTAAGTGCTACAATAAAAATATGACTCATCCACGGGGTCACAGAGGGTAAAGCAGTAAATTCTGTCCCCTTCTCTCTTTACCCACTCTTCCTAGGTGTTTTAATTGAGTCTTTTCAGTTATAAGAGAGGTTCACAGAGATGATTCAAATAAGGAAGAGTTTGTTTTAATGACACACATGGGCAATAAAGAACAAAGGTGTCTCATAGGAATGAAAGAACAGGGGCGTGCTCTGTCTTCCTGTGCCACATCACTTGTGCTGCATGATGCTTTCTGCTTTCTCACAACTTTAGTTTGCACACAGTCCATAATGGTTCTTTCTCTATCTTGCAGCATCTTGTCAGTTTCAGCAACCTCTACTAATTGCCACATTTACTCAATGTTTATCAGTGTAAACTCCTGATGGGAAAAAAAAAGTCTTGATTGGTCCAGATAATCTTTTTGCACTAGGCTTTGTCAGAAATCACCAGCTAGCCTAAGGATTGAGAACTAAAAATAAAATCCTAAGCCCCCCAACCCACTGAATGGACCCCCTGTTGTCCAAGGGAACCCCAGAGAAACCTTAAAAACTGAGTTCCTGGCCATGATGGGTCAGGAGGTCAGATAAGCCTCATCATACCCTCTCCCTTTTGCAGTTTAGACCCAACAACTTGCCAGCATTAATGTTAAAATAAGGCTGACAGAATGGACTCTTTATGGCAATAAGATACCAAATTCTAAATAGGACCTAAGGCCACACCAGGCAAGGGTTAAGTCATGCACTCCTACACTTAAAGAGTAAACTAGGTTCTAACTGCCACAAGGTTTTTCCTTACTCTGAAGCTAAACAAGCACTGACCTCAAGATAAGCAATATTGAAATAACTGCAGCTCACCCACCATCAGATGCTGACTGACTCCCTGTTTCACAAGCCACAACTACAGCTTCGATTGAACAAGAGACTGATTTCTGTAACTTTCTCCTGATTAGAGACCACCAGCCATGGACTGGCTCTGGCAGGTTTTACAGGCTGTGTACTTGAGTGCCTCCCTGTCTCTGCTTCACATTTGGACATATCTGGCCTAATTGTAATGCATTTAAATGTTAAGTCTCCACCTCAGGGTGAACATGGGTTGTATGTAAAATACATGTTTACTCAACCTGAATATGTATGATGACCCTCATCATGAATATTCATAGCTCCTCTATAACCCATTGAATATGTATACTTGGCCAACCTGTTCGGTATAAATTCCTGTCTCATCTTTCCCTCCCTTGAAGTGCCTGTTTCTGGCCTTTGGCCAGAGGCTATGCTTCCCAGCCTTTCAGAATGGCCACCTTGCAGGCTGTAGCCCTTTATAAGATAGCCTCCTTTCTAAATTTGTAAATTCAGTAATTGCTTTTCTGTTAACAGAATGGAATCCACTTCCAATCCAACCCTCTGTGGTTAGAAGTGGAGATGAACATGTGATAAAGCCCATTTCAATACTGTCCTGCTTGCAAATCCTCAGAGACTTAGAAAAACTCTATTCTCATTAGCATGACCTACAAGGCCCCAAATGATCTGGCCCTGGCCCACCTCTCAAGCTTCATTTCATGATGAAGCTCCTAGACCATGTCAGGTTCTTTCTGCTTAAGGCCCACTGCATATGTTGTTCCTGCCACCTGTATCATGAACTAGAATGTGAGCTCCAGGAGGCAGGGACCTTGTCCATCTTGGTCACCATATAATCACTTATGCCTGGCACAATAAGGACTCAAAAAGTACTTGTCAAGTGAATGTTGAAATAATGGTAGAACAACATTGTCTAAGGCTCACCTCTACAGCGGAGGCTGTGGTTAGGAAGACATAATTCCTGAAGCCTAGGTCATTGGCTGAGCAGACGTCCTCCTGTTTTCCACTGCTAATGTTTTCCACACCTATATATTGTCAGCCGAAGTTCTAGTCTCAATTTCAGACCTGCATTTCCATCTTCCTCTGATCTTCAACTAGACACTCCATGGTGATGTCAGGCCTATTTGTCCCTCAAGCCTGTACCTCTTTCCATATTTCTTCTTTTTTATGGTTTCCCCATTTGGCCACTCACCAAAATCAGAAACCTCATGATCTTTCCTACCTGACCTCACTCACCACTTAAACCAATTCTCTTATAAAACTCTTCTTATTTTCCCTCCTGAAGTAGCTTTCAAACCTGTCCTTCCCTCCCTGATCTCATTTCCATTGCCCTAGTTAAGGCTTCACTGTCTCTCAACTAAAGGACTGGAAGTCTCTTCCTGCTGTTTCCCAGACAATTCCCCCTTTTTGCCTAATCTTAGTCACAACATTGCCATCACAGCAATCTTTTAAAAACATAAATCTGATCCTGATTCTCCCCACCTTAGAAACCTATGTTGATGTCATGGTCAAAATAGTTTACACGGTTTTTCATAACTGGTCCCTGCCTCCCTTTCTGGCCCTATTTCCCCCCTTTTGCTCAGCCCCTTGCATACTGTTCCCCAGTATTATTGAATGCCTTGCTTTTTAAAAAATTCCTTATGTGTATGTGCATCCTGTTTCTTCTACTTGGAATGCCTTTCCCACCCATCTCCCCTTAACCTAAACTCCCAGGAGAGCAAGTCAATCTTCAAACACTTACATGGACAAACTGTGGAAAAAAATGATGAAGGAAGTTGAAGAGAAATAACAAATAAATAAGGTTGTTGCTATGCTTAAAGTCCCTAGGAAAAAGTAAAAGAATTTTGAAGAAGTGAATTCCAAGTGTCTGGGCATTTCACCCAGAGCATGCTCCCAAAAGCAAAGGGGAAGATTATCTATGAAAATACTAAGCACTATCACAAATAATTGAAATCAGCACAAATTCCTGTCTCCTCTTTCCCTCCCTTGCAGTACCTGTGTCTGGGCTTTGGCCAGAGGCTATGCTTCCCAGCCTTTCAGAATGGCCACCTTGCAGACTGTAACCCTTTATAAGAAATAAGGTCTTCTTTCTAAATTTATAAGTTAAGTAATTGCTTTTCTGTTAACAGAATGGAATCCACTTCCAATTCGACCCTCTGTGGTTAGAAGTGGAGAGTGTACATGAGATTACACTGACTAAAATGGGAAAAAAAAAAAGAGCTAGCAACTTCTGTGTTTCTGTGGAACCCAAATGAACATTCATCATCAAGATCAGAGGTACCCGTGGTGTGAGACTTTAGTTCCAAAAGATATTGTAGGATCTCCACAGTCCCTAAGTTTCAGTGGCTCACCTGTTAAGCTCAATTCGAACCTGCACTCAGTAAATAAATTGGTCTGCAGCATAGTTATGCCAAAGAAGCAAATTGTCTTGATAAATAACTCATATTGTACAATCATTCAGAAATTGTGTAATCATATGCACAAAGTATCAATTTATTAAATCTGTACAGTTGAAAAACATTTCAAATAGGCAAAAAAACTTACTGTACACTTTAAATTATTTCCTCCATGAAGCGAAACGAAGAAAGAGACCATGCACTTTTTTAAGAGGGTTATGCTATTAACAGGGAAGACTAGATCATTTTAGGTCATATTAAAAGAAGGAAACAAAGGGTCTACTAGTGGCTCATATTAAATAGGGAAAGCAAGAAAACCAACATAGATGTCCCCTGTTTTGTGAAGCTTTTCTTTACTCTTTACTACAAGGTAGAATTAATGCTCCTTATTATCTACTTCTGCATCTTATAAATATATTTATTATTGCACATATCTCACTCTACTGTGATTATGTACTTACATATCTGTTCCCTTTACTGAACTGTAAGCTATTCAAGGACAGAGACACTTTGCACCGTTTGTACTCTCCATGTCTGTTCAGTCTGGAGCCTCTAGCTGCCTGATGAACTAACTATACTAAACTAAAGAAGGACTCTTCTTGTCCTTCCAGAGAATGTTACTGGCACAGGAATATTCTCAGCTTAAGTAAAGCATATGCATTTATTTTATTGACTGGAACTCTAAGACCTATGTAGAGGCAATGTCCAAAACACAGCCAAGTTCCCTGACAGTCTTTAAATCAAGAGTTCTCTGTTTTCAAAAATCTGTCCCAAACTCTTGCTGCCGTGCTCTGCAAACTCTTGGTGATTGCTTGATGATCTCCAGCTGTTTTCACTTCCAAGATTTTAACTTTTTCTTTTGTGGACCAAAATGCACTGAACAGCTTATAAGGAAATGGTATTTTGAGTGAAATTATTTCTTGTATTTACCTCCTAATTTTAGGTGGCCTTCAGCACCATCCACCCCAAACATAACCTGTCCTCTCTCCCACCATCCATGCACTAAGTACCTGTGAATTCCATCACTGCTGATTCCAATGGGACCCAGAATTCCTTCCTTATGTACTAGCTCAGCACATCCATTCATCGCAAGGCTTGTTGGCAATGTTGGTAACTCTGCTTTTCATCATATAACTTTGGTGCTGTATATCATTGGGCAGTTCATGAACTTGAATTTTCTATGAAAATACCACCGAAGAAGCACAGTCCATCAATTGTTTCATGGAAAAGCTAGCAAAAGAATTAGCCAAGGATGGCTTTGCCCAAGTCCCAATAACTCAATAGAAAACATTCTTTTTCCATGATAGAATGTCTACCTATCTTGATAAACTCATATTCTCTCTGCATATTCTTTGCCTTGGATGTTTAACAAAGTATCAACGCCTGGAGAAAAGAGCAGAAAGCTGGAAGCATGAGTCCAGGAGTTAGACTCAGCTTGGAACTTGCTCTGTAATCCGAGTCAAGTCACCTCCTTCTTCAGGTGTCATTGTGGATTTCACCACACAAGTACTGAGGCTAGGAAAACAAAAAGTATTAAACCTGTGCTAAAGGTACTTTTACATAGTGTCAAGGACGATGAATGGGTCTGAGAATTTTCCCAACTTGAAATCTAATAAGCTGGTCAGCCACAATGTCATGGATGCTGACAAAAAACATGAGATTCCTGGGTCAGAGGCAAACAGAGCAAGCAGCATGAGAGTCAGCATATTTGAATCAGCACCTCTTGCTCCTGAGCTGTACAGGAGTGACACACATGTACCCAGAAGGAAGCCTGAACACGGTTGCATTTTAGGATAGGAATTCTTGAGTTTAGGGAATCTGAATCTTTTCCAATGGGCAATAAGCATGCCTGCTCTAGGGGAAGACATTCTATGTGCCAAGGCTGTTTGCTATACAAACATCCTTGAAGAGACAGTCCAGAACAAATGGCAACCAATACTTTGCTCACAAAACATGCCGCAATGTGAGAGATCCTTTAAGAATTATCTCCCAAAATCTGGCAACCTGTATATATACAAAAGAGGCAAATTATACTTATATATCACTTTACTGGGAAAACTGTTTCCAGAAGATATACTTAATTATGGTCTTTCTTTAGAATTTAAATTTAATGCAAATAATAACAAGCTTTCCCAGTAAACATCTCACTTTATAAATGGAGGCTTATTCTCTCAAATGCCAAGCAATAATATTGTATTTAATTAATGGGGTATCATGCTTATTAGAACCTATCATTATTTGAGACTCCAATATGGACCAGATACTGTGCTAGTTTTGTGATTGATCTGTATTATTACATTTTATGTTAAAAAATTACTGCAAATTAGACATTATTTTACAAGTGTTGGAAACTGAAGCTAAATGATCAACATCTAGGTACATTTGCTTCCTAAAGCCATGCTTTTTCTACTAACCTGTGTGGTTGGCATGGTAGCCAACAAATAACACATGGAAATTGAAGTGGCCTGAAACCTAAGTCGTAGTCATTGACAACTAAGGTTTACTGAGTGCTGCCTGAACTCAGTCATTCTCATTTTCTAAGCCAGCGCATCAATCTCATGTGTATGGGAGATACCTGAGGAGTAGGTGAAGACGCAGATTCTTAAGCTTCAGCCCAGAAGATTCTAGTTCAAATGATCTTTGTTGAGGCCCAATAATTTCTATTTTAAACAAACTCTTGAAAATATTTTAAATGCTGGTGGTCCTTAAAACTCATCTGAAGAACACTAGGAAAGAATAAAATCTATAAAAAGAACGATATAAGAGCAGTGACAAGGTGGCCACTCTAGAGCAGATTTATAGTTTTACAAAATGTAGGGGTGCCAGTTAATTTGAAGAGCTACTATAGAAGCTAATCAGAAAGAGAAATTTAAACAACAACAAAAATAGAAACACACATTATTATCAACCAAATGTGGGACTGGATTATGAAAAATACAGGGGAAGATAATATCCAAAATATATAGATATAGAAGTGACCTGGTTTGTTATTTTATTATTTAAATTAAGAATTCTAGATCCCAATCTTTTCATAAAGATTTATTTCTTACTTCCCAAAGATTTTATGAGAAATAGAGCAGACCAGCATGCAGGGAAATGCCATGAAATTTGCAACCTCTGTGAGCCTCAGAAAAATGGGAATAATAAATTTGGCTTTGTAGGGGTCTTATAAAGATTAAAATTATTTTTCAAGTATCTAATATAGTATCTAGCACACTGTAGGCACTCATTAAATGTAGTGGAGGTATGCGCTTTTCTTCTGTTTTTCCACCAAAGTCACAAATGAGTGAGAAAGCAACAATTGCTAAGTCAATCCTGAGTCAAGCTTGGCACCAAGGCTGATTGTGAAAGGTTCTTGTCCTGCTTCCAGCGCCTGATTTGAGATCTGAAGCAGGAAGGGGATGCTGAGAGCAGTCTTGCATTCTAAAGGTGAAGGGTTTCCGCCAGAGGGTAGAACTTTGCTTTTCATGGATACTATGTCATCATGTACTAAAGTTTGGTATATTCTTCAGGTTTGTCTCTAATAGATGTGAATACAAATCAGTGATATTTAATGATTTCATATGTATTTTGTTCAATAGCTAAATCTAATTCTCAAGGATTAAGTAATTTTAAATGAAGGATATAAGATACGATATAAGAAAAAAGAAAGGTTGCAGTATATATTGGGTTGATATCTAAAGCTTGTCATTCCCTGTCTGAAAGCTGCAATATATAATCCATTTGCTTTTTCATTTCCAGTGTTCAAATTCTATCTTCAGCATAGTGAGCCCAAACAAAACCAATTCCTTTCATGCCCTCTACTGGATATTTGAAGTTAAACGTCAATAACACTGCAAAGTAACCAAAATAATGATACACATAATATCCAGAATGTTCTTTTATAGCCTCTTTAAATAAAAATTCGTTTACATTGGTTCACTGGTATCAGATTTCCTTTTTCTGCCTAAAATGCAAATTTCAGAGTCACTTCTTCGTATTATATGGAAATTATTTGTTGAGGGAAAAGGAGTGAATAAACGTAGTTTGTATAACTGACACCTTTGAGGTGTCTCAAAGGAACAGCGGTGTCATTGGCTGCTGTGATATTTAAGCTTCCTTTTTGTTTCTGTCCTGGTTCAATAGTAAAATCTACCAGCAGTTGAAATCTGTATTAGAAGGGTGGGATGGTAGAGCCCACAACTGAAAAAATTCTCCATATTAGCTGTTTCCATCAGACAAAACCCATCAGAAGGAGGGCAAAGAAGTTCTTTGCTTGGTGACCTGGCTGTCTATAGCCATCTTTGCATCCACTTTAAGGGTGTCTGGAAAGATGTCCCCTTGCTCCCAATTCAGCTCACCTACCCTCTCCCAGGGCTTTGTTTTACTCAGCAGTGCCATACCAATTATTAAATTTGTAAAATTTCCATAGCAGTTGTTACGTGGCCACTGCCCTTAGCTACCGTCTGCCACTCACCATGCCTTGACTTTCCCACAATCAAGAAATTGAAAGGTCAAATCCGGGTCTACTCACTCCAGGAAATTTCCTGATCCAATCCACCCAGACACCTAGATCCTTCAGGCCCTACACAGGCCTAAATGGGTGTAGTCCTGTCTATGTCAATCTGGCCTGAAACATCAGCACCAGAGATGTTACTGCAGAGCTACACGTCAGCAGGACCAAGGAAGAAAGGAGGTCCCATGTTTTTCTCTCTACGTAGCAATAATAGGTAAGATTTATGGAGAACATATTACATGCCAGCTATAATACGCATTGTTTCATTCACTCTATAACGGCTCTATTTTACAGATGAGTAAACAGAAACATCTGATAACTTCCACCTAGTGCATGGAGAGCTAGAATTTGAAGTAGGGCTGACCAATACCAAAGCCTGATGTCTAGTGAAATTCACACAATGCTGCAAATCTGAAGACTCTGCAGCAGATTTTGTAGGTACTTTCAGCAGAGGAGTTTCAGAAATGCTTTGCACAAACACAGGTTCACCAAGTGAGTGATCACACGGGAAGACCACGTGGGAAGGTGGGTAGTCTCAGTCACTCTCAGTTGCACCCTTTACTTCAGGGAGGGCAAGGGAACAAAACTTCGGATTACCAATGATGTAACTCCCATAAAAACCAAGTAAGAAAAGTCCCCCAGACTTCTCCTTCAGCTTGTTACTTAATATTGGGTGTTGAAGGATCTTTGGGGATGGGAGGAGGAACAATCATGATTCTCATGCAAATATAAAACATGCTTATGTCAAACTTTCATTTAACTCATTAATTAAATGAGGTAACAGGTAAAATAATAGTAGAAGCTAATAACTCAACATGAAATCCCATAGCTCAATTGCATGGTGATTGAGAGAATAAGACTTCATTAACAACAGGTTCAGAGAAAGCCAAAAAGCAGAGACATTTATAGATCAGGAAGAGTGAAATGGATTTGCAAATGGAAACAAAATTGGTGCTTTTGTGTGTGTGGACAGGGAGGAGTCAATTAACTTTCCACTGGACAGAATTTATTTATATGCCTATGGGCATATTTGCATTGCTATCAGTTTTGTACAAGTTAACTTTGATCCCTACAAAATTATAAAATAGCCTAGTCAAAGACAAAGGTGCATATTTGGATAGGAACATAATCCCCAGTGGTTATAGCATTACCTGGAACATTACCTTGAAAAAACATTAATCCTGATCAATCTTGTTTTGTTTATTCCAATGTCTTTTTTTTTTTTTTTTTTTTTTTTTTTTTGGAGACGGAGTCTCCCTTTGTCACCCAAGCAATTGTTCGTGCAGTGGCAAGATCTCAGCTCACTGCAACCTCCATCTCCCGAGTTCTAAATGATTCTCCTGTCTCAGCCTCCAAGTAGCTGGGATTACAAGCGTGTGCCACCACACCCAGCTAATTTTGTTTCCTAACATGGATCAAGTGGTGAAAAAAATCAATAGAACTAATTCTTTAGCACTGACCTACGTTTATGAGCAGTTGCCGTAGGGTTTGGATTGGGGAATGAGCAAGAAAGATTAGGAAAATTAAAATTTACTCTCTCCAGCCTCATTCTCAGGAGAGTATTTCAGAGATGAAATATAAAAGCAAAGATCTGTAATCCCAGCACTTTGGGAGGCTGAGGTGGGCAGATCACCTGAGGTCAGGAGTTGACCAGCCTGGCCAACATGGTGAGACCCTGTCTCTACTAAAAATACAAAAAATTAGCCAGGCGTGGTGGCATGGACCTGTAATCCCAGCTACTCTGGAGGCTGAGGCAGGCAAATTGCTTGATCCCAGTAGGTGGTTACAGTGAGCCGAGATTGCGCCACTGCACTCCAGCCTGGGTGACACAGTGAGACTACGTCCCAAAAAAAAAAAAAGCAAAGATATGTTCTCATTTATTAATTAATGTAACTAGTTCTTATTGACACCTACTATATGCCCCACTCTAGAAAACTGTGGGTCTACATGGGTTTCCAGTGAACTAGTCACGTAACCATGACTACAAACATTTAACACCAAACAAGATAAACTACCAATCCAAAAATGCAGGGTGGAAAATTCTGTTCACCTGTTCATCACTTAGGCAGTTTACTCACCCATTTGTTTTTTCATGGCTGACACAACATGTCTGTGAATTTTTCCCCACACTCTTGCTCCAACTACTCCCATCATCCCCAGCTCTAAGGCTGGAGCATTCCTGGTCATTTGAAGGTCTATTAGAATAACCCAGTAAAGTAGTTAAGTCTTAAAGATAATATCACATCACAGTAGGCCTGGGATAAGATTTTCTCTGATAGCAAAATCATAACCCTTTCCAAAAAAAAGTACAAGCTGGAGGCCTTCTTTCCAGACCTTTGATCTTCAGCCTTATTATCGAAGATTTTATTTAGACTTGGTTTTATTAATGTAAACGTGGGTGAGCCAGGGTGCCAATGGTGGGCAGAGAGAAAGATGACATGTATCTACCAGAAGGTGGCAGTGTTGTTTCTCCAAACATCTCACAGGTCAGACAGGCTCTAGAATGTCAGGATTAAAAACTAGGTGAGGTTATTTCTTGACCCATTCTATAATTAATTCACACATACCATTTACAATTAACAATATGGTCTCAATCTACTGCAAGATTCATATCAAATAATTCCCAAAATATACACAGAGGTAAAACGTCATCAAAATAATTTTCTTTTAAAGTATAATATGAGTTGACAGAAATGTATTGATCATCACTTTGTGCAAGTTTTCCTGCTGAAGTTCTATGTAGAAGACAAATGGAAATAAAGGACCTAAGCCTTTAAGGAATTTGGGATATACCTGGGAAGAAAAACTATATTCATAAAATCATCAGAATGTCTCTCATTTGAAATTCCTGGCCCCAATCTAATTAGGTGCTTCTAGATCTTTCCTCCTCTTAGACACTAAACTAGTCAATTCCCATCTAACCCTTAGGTCTCTATTCATCCTTAGCCTATCATGGACATGCTTTATTTACCCCTTTCACTTCTTTGACTTGAAGTATCTCAGCACTTTACATTTCTGGCGCTGGAAGGCAAAGAAAACAAGTCTTGAGGTAGCCCTTTCCCAGCGGAAACCAGGGGGACATTTCTCAACCCTTCTTCCCTGAGAGCCAAATAGTTCTGAACTCTGAGATCTTGGTAGGATGCCTGACTTGAGCCTTGCAATTCTCCCAAGGCTTACTAGACAATGTGACATTTCCCACAGAAACCCCAGCAGCCTATCTACATTGAACAAAATTTTGTAGCCAACCTTTTTTTTTTTTTTTTTTTTTTTTGGGATGGAGTCTTGCTCTGTCGCCCAGGCTGGAGTGCAGTGGCGCGATCTTGGCTCACTGCAAGCTCTGCCTTCGGGGTTCAAGCCATTCTCCTGCCTCAGCCTCCCTAGTAGCTGGGACTACAGGTGTCCGCCACCACGCCTGGCTAATTTTTTTGTATTTTTAGTAGAGACGGGGTTTCACTGTGTTAGCCAGGATAGTCTCGATCTCCTGACCTCATGATCCGCCTGCTTCGGCCTCCCAAAGTGCTGGGATTACAGGCGTGAGCCACCGTGCCCGGCCAGTAGCCAATATTAAAAAAAAAAAAAAAAAAAGAATAAAAAGGCTTATATTGCTTATATTCCCCACAACTTTAACCATTTCACAACTACATTTTAGTATGTTTACTAATATGTTATAAAAAAGAAGGGTTAGTATTCTTTATATTCTCCTCAGCTTGCCTAAACAACAACAACAACAATAATAATAGTAATCAGTAGTCTATTGTAGGGTCTTTTTCTCTATCATGCAAGGGTTCTTGTTTGGTTGTGATTAAATGAAAGTCACTGTATGAACACCACGTCTATATTACTACCATGACTCAGAAAGCTCATTAACTGAATATCTCTGACACAATTTTACATATCTCTGGAAATGACATAGTGGGGATAGGAGGAGTGGTTAGTTGTGCATTAGTCTATTTTACCACATTTACAGACAAAACAAATACTAGAGTCAGCTTACATCTACTGCTTTCTCTTCTCTCCACCATCTCTCAGATTTTAGGTTGTTTTATTAAAGTTCATTGCTGAGAACACAAAGGCTGATGCCACAGAGGGGAAAACGCCAGATCCACCACCGAACAGCTAAAGCCATATGCGCCTGCTCCATGAATGCCCATTTTTCATCTTTAGTGGGCTTCAAAGTTAAATAGCACAGACAACACAAAGGAAAATATGACCGCAGCAAAAGACAGAAACTACACTGTGGCTACAATTAAATCTTCATACCAATCATGCATTTTTAATGTGAACGTTTATGGAAATTGTCTCTTGATGTTTAGGTGGTGTTTTTCATCATTGGTTATTTATGATGCTTTGATCCTGGAAACATGAGCTAAATGAGAAAGCCAGAGAAAGGGATTCACTTAACAACGGATAACCTTGTTGTATCATAAATTACAAGAAGAAAGCCAATCATCTTTCAAGCTGCATCATCATAAACAAACTTAAAAGAAGAAGCTACCAGGATTCATGGCAACTTTTTTGCTTCCCAACCTGGAATTCCCCAGTATGTGCTGTCTGACTGGTTTCTGTTCTCTAGTAGGGATAGATCCTTTGCCATGTTGATTAGCTTAATTGTGCCATTTTATTATTTGGGATGTGAACATAGAAAAAAATTTTTCAATAAAATCGAAGAATTAATAGTTAAATGCCTTCAGCCAAGTAGAAATAGTTTAAGGGAGAGGGAGGTGATGGATATTAACATAAAATTAGGTCTGAGAGTAGAAAAAAAGAAAGGGCCTGAGAACCCCAGGAGCGAAGCTGGCTCTGAGCCTGTTCAGTTCTTCAGTGTTGATTCAGGTCTCTCAAAGTTAGACCTACAGAGGGGTCTTTATTCTGAAATATGAATGTGATATTCCTAGGAGAATATTATAAATCTGCAGTGGACGTTGTCCTGGGATTAAGCTTCTTCAAACAAATTCACCCATGTGAAAGTAACTGAACCCACATGCTGAGCCTCAAGGCGAGACCACCATTTATTTGATTGTACCTCTCCCAAATTATGTGTCTGGCCAGGCACGGTGGCTCACGCCTGTAATCCCAGCACTTTGGGAGGCCGAGGCGGGTGGATCATGAGGTCAGGAGATTGAGACCATCCTGGCTAACACGGTGAAACCCCGTCTCTATTAAAAATACAAAAAAATTAGCCGGGCGTGGTGGTGGACACCTGTAGTCCCAGCTACTCAGGAGGCTGAGGCAGGAGAATGGCGTGAACCCGGGAGGCGGAGCTTGCAGTGAGCCGAGATCGCGCCACTGCACTCCAGCCTGGGTGACAGAGCAAGATTCCGTCTCAAAAAAAAAAAAAAAAAATTATGTGCCCTTGGATGATTGCTTAGGACACATATTGATATCAATATGCTTAGGACACATATCATCCAAGAAATTCTGCCATTTTCAGAAAAGCTAATTGATGTTTGGCTCTGTGTCCTGGAAAAAAATGGATTAATCCCCACTTCACACTAGGGATAATCTCTAAAAATATTATAAACATATTGAAGATGCCTGGAGTAAATAGAAAAGCTAGGAACTTGTGAGGCAGCTTATTTCCGTATCAGGAGGAGATCCCGTGACCATTCACATGTCTAAAGGAAACTTTCCAAGTTTTGCTTTTACAAAGCCAAGAAATTTTGCACCCCATGGTAAATAAAGTGCAACAAACAAGGTAAAAGAACTGTCTTAAGTGGTCTCATCAACTAGTTACCCACCAGGGATGACGGCTCCTGGCTTCCCTCCAGCCTGTGAACAAAGCCAGACCTCCCAGATCCCGGGCCCTGCTGACGTCTACCTTTTCTTAAGTCCATTCTTTAAGCAGCATCTTCCTGCCTATCAGGCCTGGGCACCCTCCGAGGTAATGCGGAGAGCCGGAAGAGAGCTCTACAGAAAGGGGTGAAATCATTCATGGAATCTGCAGGAATTGGCATATTTTCTGAAATGGTTCCATGCATGACTTTATCACACATATTAGCTGCCCTGGCCCAAAAGGCAGGATCGTTGTCAAGACGAGATATTCAGTTCACTGCAGAGGATGAGGACTCTAATAATAACAGTTAAAACCATTTCTGGAAGGATTCTATAATAACACACTTAGCTAACCACCTTTGAATCCACATACATAACATAAATAAGTGGAACTTTTTAAAAATGAAATAAAGTCACAGTTATTTCTTATTCTGAGTTGTGTTACATGATCCTGTTCACCTTGTGAAAAATCGTCAAGCTCTCCACTTAAAAGTGTGTGCATTTCCATATACTTCAGTAAAATGTTTCCTTTTAAAAAAAAAAGGCAGAGGATTGCTTTAGATATGTTATCATCAAATTATGATCTGTAGGGCAAATCCTGCCACCTACTGCTTTTGATGACCTGTGATCTACAAATGGTTTGTATATTTTTTAATGGCTGGAAAAAATTAGAAACATATTTCATGGCACTTGAAAATTATATGAATTTATTGAAACACACTTACATTCGTTCCTTTACATATTGTCTAGGGCTGTTTTTGTGCTACAACACCACAGTTAAGCAGCTGCAACAGAGACGGTATGGGCTGCAAAGCTTAAAATATTTATATTATTATATGTTATTTATAAATATAAATATTTGTATTCATATCTGTCCCTTTACAGAAAATGTTTGCTCACCCTTGTTCTAAATTAAAGGGCAAAAGTTATAGGACAACCATATGCAGTGCATGATTCTTGATGGTCCTAGATCAGAAAAAAAAAAAATCTATAAAGAACATTTTTGGAAACAATTTGGGAAATGCAAATATGTTTTGTATAAAAGACAGTACATTTATAACAATGTTAAATTTCCTGGTGTGATAACAGTATTGTGGCTATGTGAGAGGATGTCCTTGCTCTTAGGAGATACATACTCAAGTATGTAGAACAGGAAGAGTCTAATATTTGCAACTTACTTACAAATGATTGGGGGAATATATACAAAGAGTGCACAAATGTATCACAAATGTGATAAAATGTCAACAGTCAATAAATGTAGGTAAAGGATATAAGGGTTTTTATCCTCCTATTCTTTCAGCATTTCTGGAGGTTTGCAAGTTTCCAAAATAAAAATAAATACAACCATAAAAACGATCATTTAAAAAGAACTCACCAGTCAGGATGTAAATGATTGATCAGTGGCACATGCTGAGGGTCAATTAGTTAATACAAGTGGTTTGAGGTTTGCATCTAAACCTCTTCAGCAGTTGTATTTTGGGGGTTGTCATCTATCAGCCCACAGTTCTCATCCTTGTGGCTTTTCTGAATTCTCCTTTCTGTTTTTTCTGAGCTGATTCCAGACGGCGAGGGGCTTACCAAAGATTTACTTGTTATTTGATCTCCACATTTGTAGCAAATATGATAGTCAGTGTTTATCCTGTCTTTCAAGAAACTTTTTTTTTAATTACCCACATACAATGTGTTTTTTTTGTTTTTCCTAGTGGGTCATAGAAATCCATCATTAAGTGTCATTTTGCCTTTTAAGAATTATTTAATTCCTTGAAGATTTATTATCTCTTTAATCAGAGCAGATTCTTAACACACCAGTAATGACCAGTAATGTACCAGTAATTACACACCATTTTCAACCTATATTTCATCTGTGTATTTTTATGGGAGTTTCTTTTCTAAATTATGCTTTTGTCTGTGGGCAGTAGTTTTGCGGTTTAGGAACCAGCTGATATACAGTTTATCTTGAAAGGCTACATATGGATCTGCAAGGGCTTTGAAATTCCATTCAGAAGCACTTGCAGGCAGGGACCATAATGTATTGCTGATTCTGGAATGCAGTAAATGTAATTGTCACTCTTCGGGACCAGTCCCTTGACTTCCATGTCAGGTTGGCTCATTGTAATATAAAATCCATTTTATCACATTTATTTTGTCTCAGATTGTCAAGCAGAGGCTGTGCAGGTTGTGGATTCTCAAGGAAAAGAAAACAGCATTTGTTTTATTAATAGAGTTGATGGTTTCTTCAAAGCAAAAATGTAGATCAGAAACAAATTATGCTTTGCCCACTGGCTGAGATTTAAAATATCTCTCCAACTGTCACAGAAAAGAACTAGACTTAATTCAATGTAAAATGCATGAACCAGTTTCTAAAAATAAAATTGGAAGCACTTTAGTTGCTATAAACTTCATTCCAGGAAAGTGAGTTATATGAGTATTTTATATTGTTTTATGGGACTTGGAGATTAAAATGATTTTTGGTTGACATCGTGTCGGCTTCCTATTTGAATCAGTCCAGAATGAAGCTGAATAGAATTATAGGGGAAAAAATGAATGACCATTACTGGCAGTAAAACAACCAGGCTTTGCCAATAACATTTTAAACACATATACATACACTTTACACCCCCTCCAAATTTTTTATTGGTTATGTCCACATAGACTGAAAGTTCTACACCAGTGGTTCCTCTCAAAGCTCATTCCTGATGACTGAAACTGTTTTATGGCGTGGTCAGCTCCACAGTTTGGAGGAAGGGGGCAGTAATCATCTCTCTGTGACCCTCATATCCCCAAACTCCCATTCAAAGTCAGCAATAGGTAGTATTAACTTCTTCCTCTGCAAAGATTAAGCTCTGATGGAAATGAAATATTTGGTGAGCCCTGAACAGGGCTTTCGCAAAAGGAAGTGCAAAAGTTAAACAATCAGTCATAGGTAGTGGAATAATAGTTTATATATTTTTTCTTCTTGGCAAGTTCTTTTTATTGTCCAGTACTTCTGTCGTTTCTACCGAACCTTAACGCTAGGGCTTATTATCCCAATGAAGAAGGAACACCAAAAATCCCAGCATGAACGAAAGAATCGAATAATGGGCTCGAAAGCCTATGTTGAGTTCCAAAATAGGTTTTAGGCCTATGGCAGAGACAGATTTGAAGGAGGTTGGGGGAAGGTTTCTTAAGCTCCAGAAGGAAAAATACATGAAGCACTCAGAACATAGTGTTTTACAACAAAGTCTAATCTCTGATTGCAAAAGAACTCGTCCCAAAATATAGAGAGATGATAAGAAGACTTGAGGGAGGGAGCTGGAGAGAACATGGGGAGTCAACCAGCTAAAGGGAGTTAGTGATGTGGTCTCTGTAAGAGGGTTCCACATGCTGCTCCCTCTGGGTCCAAAACCCTAGAAAAGAAGGGATGATGGAAACCTTCAGGAAGATGCAGGAAGACAAGACAGCAGAGGACTTTGTGTCTGAATTGCTGGGAGGAAGCTGCCTTCCAGGGCACCCCATGCCAACATGGAGTAGCTGCACTAAAATGGAAAGGATGAGTCAGGTTCAAGGAGAAAGGAGATGAGACCCCACCTCATACACAGATGCCACCTTGAAGGAGCCCCTGCAAGTGATCAGGGACTTGAGTGAGCACAGAGCGAACTAAAATATCAACTTGCAGAAGAGAAAGGGAGATTCTCACAGTAGAGGCTGTGGGATGGGCAGCCACAGTCAGAGTTGAGACGGAAAAATTTTGCTGAGTTTCAGAAGCTAGACAGCCACCGGCCAATGTTGAGGCAGGAACTATGGGAAAGCAACAGGGGAGACGCCAAAACCCAGCAGAGCAATGGTCCTGCAGTGAGCCTGTTGTGAGAACAGGCTTTGAGTGACAGCAACAGTGAATGCCAGTGGAGAAGTAATTGCAGATCAAAGGTTTCTCTGAGAATGTCAAGGTTATGCATAAGTCCTCCAGAGCCTCTGACCACTCCCAGGGAGATGGGAAGGAAAAGGAAGATGAGGTGAAACAAAATGACTAGGTACCCCCAAAGAGACTGAGTTTAAGGTAAATGCAGTGGTTCTCAACCAAGGACAATTTTACACCTCCAGGGACATTTGATATGATCTGGAGACATTTTGTCGTTGGCACAACTAGGAAGGGCAGGAGGCTGCTGGCATCTTATGAGTGGAGGCCAGGGATGCCGCTAAACATCCCAAAACATGTGGGACAACCTTCACAACAAAGAATTATCCTGTCCAAAATGTGAAGAGTGTTGAGGTTGAGAAACCCTGAGCCAAAGTAACTGAGTTACTACTGTCGGCAGAAATGAGACTATGAGAAATGTTTTAAAAAGAAATTTACACTTTTGCACACCCAAATTCCTATAACTGAACACACACACACACACACAATAATACAAAGATGGAGGTTTGAAGAAAATGGGGGAGTGGAAGTTAAAATGGTAGTACACAGCCTAAGAAATGTCAAATTTTTTTTTAAGCTCACAACAGCACTTTTTTTTTTAGGCAAGGAGAAGTCTTGCTGAAAAGTTACAAGCAGTCAAAACGTGACTGTTAGTGGCACTATTTTGACCTTGTAGATTTTGCTTCTCCTTGGTCAAAAAAAGGGTATGCACACTACACTTTCCCCAGCTGGGCAAAAAAGAGGGCAGAGGAAACTGGAATAGACTTCTACTCTACTGACACTGCTCCTCAGACCCAACATCAAGCTAGAAAAGCCCTGGCTGCTCAGTCTAGTGGTTGTTGTTCCACCACTGAGTGACACAGGCCATGCTATATTTGCAAGAAAAAAATGAGCAGGAAAAACAAGTGTAGGTCACTGGGGATGAGCAGGCATCCACCCCTTCAAAACTCTGCATGGAAGAGGTAATCCTTATAAGAGGCACAGCTTACCAAGGCACAGACCCTCCAGTTCTTGTTGTAGCTGAATAAGATGGTAATATCCTGGCTGCTTGGTTCAAAGTCTGTGACTCAGCAGTGCATTCTGGTATCACAGACCTGGGGATCACCATCAAGTTCCTCTGCCTGGGGAACCGGATCCAAACCTGGATCGCCTGGCTATGATCACCTGGCTATGATTGCCTTGATCTTGGGATCCTCCAGGAGGGAAGGGTCCTCAGCCTTGGCCCAGAGGCTGTCAGGAGAGCCAAGGGGACTACAGGCAGTCACCATAATGCCTTTAGAGTGGCAGTACTGGATTAACTTCTGTGTGAGGCACAGGTGGCACTCCATTTGGTTAACTGCTGGCTTATACTTTAACCCAGGTTTGTTTAAGATCCTCTCAACCTGGAGATGGTTGAAGGTGGAGATGCCAGTAGCTTTCACCAGCCCTTCATCCACCAGCTCTTCATGGCCACCCGTGTGTCCACAATGTCAGTGTCACTGGGAACCATGTTGCCTGACTCATCCAATGGGAAGGATTCCTTCCCACGCTTAAAGCTGGCTGGCCAGTGAACAAGGTAGTAGTCCAGGTAGCCCTGCTTAAGGTCACTGAGCATCTTCTGACAGGCTCCTTTCACCAGGCCCTTCCCATGGTATGTGCACCAGAGTTTGCTGATGATGAAGAGCTCCTCACGCTTCACCATCTGCCCCCTGAGCTTCTCCTGAATGGCCACCCCTATCTCATTCTCATTCTCGTACCTGGGCTCAGTGGATGTGGCGGTACCTGATATCAATCGCCACCTTCACAGCCTTGGTCACCTGGCCTGGAGGGGACATTCAGATGCCCAGTCCCAGGATGGCCATCTTGGTGCCATTGTTGAGCATGAGGTGGCTGGCCATGGATGCAGTGCTTCCCAGACCCCTTCCCAGAAACATGCACAGAAACTTCAATATTTAAATATTAGGTAGGAAAAACCAGTAAAGAAAGACTTGGAAGAGGCCAGGTGTGGTGGCTCATGCCAGTAATCCCAGCACTTTGGGAGGATGAGGCGGACGGATCACAAGGTCAGGAGATCGAGACCATCCTGGCTAACACAGTGAAACCCCATTTTTACTAAAAATACAAAAAATTAGCTGGGCGTGGTGGTGGGTGCCTGTAGTCCCAGCTACTTGAGAGGCTGAGGCAGGAGAATGGCATGAACCCAGGAGGCGGAGCTTGCAGTGAGCTGAGATTGCACCACTGCACTCCAGCCTGAGCGACAGAGCGATACTCTATCTCAAAAAAAAAAAAAAAAAAAGAAAAAGAAAAAGACTTGGAGGAGGGACAGCAAGGTACAAAAGACACCAAGAGAGTGTATATTATCACAACAGCTAAGGAAAAAGGACAGACGAGCTCAAGAAGGACAGAGTAAACTGTGTAAAATGCCCTAAGAAGTCAAGATGATAAGCTAAATGTATAGATTAGTTGAATTCTGCTTCTTGTCTATTAGGGGAGGTGGGGAGGAATGGGATCCAGAGAACACATGAAAGGATTCACTTTAGATGGAAGAGATTCCTCCTCCACTGGAACAGGAGAGAAGAGAATAGGTGCTAATACAAGTAGGTTTATAAATTGTATTGCAATAAATTGTGAATTTCCCACTTAGGAAGCAAAAAATCATCTGCTGAAATTGAGAGGAAGAGAAGAGAAGCCAAAGAGTGTGGAAGGTTTGAAATGGCAATTATAGAGAGTGGTGGGCCAGTCAATTAAAGAAACTTGGTAGGATGCACGGGCAGCACGGAGTGCCCAGTTGAGGCTGGTGACTATGAAACTGTAGTGACAATGGGCACCTGTGTGTGATAGCGCCCCAGCACTTCTCAGCTGCTTGATGCAATCACAGAGATGACAAAATAGCTAGATTAGCCAACAGAGGGTTTGGTTAGGATCAGTGGTTATTTAACTGGGATTTGTGTCAGAATCACACTGGGAATTTTTTGGGAACACTCACACACATGCATGGACTATGTCCCTAAGATTCCAGGCTCCATAAACCTGATGGTTGGCCAGGACATTTGTGTTCTGAGGAAGTTTCCCAGTAATGTGCAGCAGCAGTTAGGAACCACTCATCAGTTCAGGTGCAACTAAAGAAGACTGACAAGGGAGTGAGCAAGAGTGATATTGGAACAATGGGCAGTAAAATCTAAGCCAAATTCAAGAGAAAGGTAAAGACACAGCGTCTCACAGGTAGGGTTAATGCAGAGATCAATAGGTAGGAGATCCCATAAAGTCAAATAACAGGACCTATATAGAAAGAGTGCTTATAGCAAGTCTTAGAAAGGGCAAATTTAGGCTGGGCACGGTGGCTTATGCCTGTAATCCCTGCGCTTTGGGAGGCCGAGGTGGGCAGATCACCTGAGGTCAGGAGTTCGAGACCAGCTTGGCCAACATGGTGAAACCCCGTCTCTACTAAAACTACAAAAATTAGCTCAGCATGGTGGCGGGTGTCTGTAATCCCAGCTACATGGGAGGCTGAGACAGGGGAATCCCTTGGACCCGGGAGGCGGAGGTTGCAATGAGCTGAAATTGTGCCACTACACTCCAGCCTGGGCAACAAGAACAAAACTCCATCTCAAGAAAAAAAAAAAGGCAAATTTAGAAGACATTTTTATTCTCATCATAACTTTTTATGGAGAAGAAAAAAATAACCTATAATCTCCCATAAAGCAGTGTTTTTGGGCCAAGCGTGGTGGCTCACACCTGTAATCCCAGCACTTTGGGAGGCCAAGGCGGGCAGATCACGAGGTCAGGAGATTGAGACCATCCTGGCTAACATGGTGAAACCCCGTCTTTACTAAAAACACAAAAAAATTTAGCCCGGGCGTGCTGGTGGGCGCCCGTAGTCCCAGCTACTAGGGAGGCCGAGGCAGGAGAATGGTGTGAATCCGGGAAGCGGAGCTTGCAGTGAGCAGAGATCATGCCCCTGCACTCCAGCCTGGGCAACAGAGCAGGACTCTGTCTCAAAAAAAAAAAAAAATACAAAAAATACAAAAACATTAGCCAGGCGTGGTGGCATGTGCCTGTAATCCCAGCTACTCGGGAGGCCAAGGCAGGAGAATTGCTTGAACCTGGGAAGCAGAGGTTGCAGTGAGCCGAGATCGTGTCACTGCACTCCAGCCTGGGCGACAGAGCAACACTCTCTCAAACAAACAAAAAAAAAAGGCAGTGTTTTCTTGTAAATGATGGCCCAGATATGCTTGCTATTTCTTTGGTACTAATTAACCACTGAAATTTCCGCAAATTGATTAGGTCATAGAATGCTGCCCATGGTGGTTATAAGCATTTCCCCCATTATTCACAGATGTCTGCCCACAGTGGACAAAGAATAAAAAGAGGAACACATTTTAAGTATGGAAAGAGAAAATCCATGATGAGAAAGGCTGTCCCTACACTGACAGCTGGAGCTCCTGGGGAACCTTTAATCACTTTACCTTAAGCCATGGTTTCTTGTCATCCAAACTGCAAGAGAGTAACACTAAATAAGAGACAGAGGTTGTGACATTCTTATACAATTCATACTTTGCCATTTTCCTGTAAATTTACTTTTATAATTCTCCTTATAGTAAATAAAGTTATCCCTAAAAAAGAACATTATTTTAGGATGGAGGCAATAAGAACACTTTGAATAATGAGATCCTTAGAAAATGAATTCGGAGAATTTTCACCTCTGGATAATAAATTATTTAGATAGATCATCTCTTTAAGACCAATGAATCTTTAAAGTTGTCTGCTTCTAATTTCAAGAATATTAGCTATGATCTGTGATATTCTCATCCCCCAGCAGCCCTTCTGCCCAACACTACCAGCAAGGAAGATTGCTTGCGCATTGGGTTCAGTGTCTAACTCCGCTGGCATAGTGGAGACTGAGCCTGTGCACTGGCCTGAGGGGCTGAACAAAGTCTGTGAAGAGAAGAGAACACCCTCTGAAAATTGGCCTCCTAGCCTGGCCTAAGGGTGACTTCGCCTGTCACACTCTATGGGGTTGGCCAATGGTGAAGTAGTCCCTCCTTGTAGCATTCCCTCAGGGACAAGTTTCTATATTAAAATCTAGTGGCTTCCCGAGCTTTGTTTTGTTTTGGTTTTTTTCCCAGGATTGGGTCCAAACTCAATGGCAGAGAAGACTCTTCAGGGTCCAGCCGCTGGCTCCATCTCTAGCCCCTCTCCTATCACTTTTCTCTCTCTCTCTGAAGCCTGCACACCAGCCACACCAAGTGACAGTATTTTGGGGTGATAACATGCTCTCATGACTGTGTTTTGTACATACGTCTTATACACAATCCCCTAAACCTCCCGGTTGGGAGACAGAGATTCTATTCCCAGCTTTGCCATCAACCATACAGGTGACCTCAGTTTCTCTGTCTATAAAATAAGGGGATTAGAGGCTTAATCATTGCTAAGTTGTGGCCTATGGTTCAAATCTGGCTCCATACAAGCTTAGACATGCATTGTGTGTGTGTGTGTGTGGGTGTATCACCCTCCAGTCCAGCCTAGTCCCCCACTTTCTCTCTTCTATACCTAGCAGTGTTACACATTTACATCAGTTTCTGGCCCTTAAAGGTACATTAATAGGCCAACAAGAGGCCAGATGCTCTCTAAGGTTTCTTCCATGTGAAATAAATTAACTCCAAAAACACAGGCTGAAGCAGATGGTAAATGTGCAAGAAATGCATAAAAGACCTCAGCGTCAGGTACTAGAGACCCTATCAAATAGTCCTGGACTGACACCAAGACCTTTATAAACAATCAGATTCCCTTGACTGATCCCATATGGCTAACGAATTTGCTTTCTTTTACCACGTGGCTTAGCAGGTATTAGCACCATCGCTCCCGGGATGGTCTGCTTTTCCACACAAAATCAAACTGATTTCTCCACAGAACACCTGTTCCTTTTGAAGCTGTAACCCAATGATCAATAATCTTTATTTTCCTTCCTGAATAATAATTTACAAAAGAGAAAACCGAGGTCCTACTATTTCTCATTTTAACACGGACTAGTATCTGCAAGTTTCTGTTGTAACAGAGGAAATCTGGAGCCCATTTCTCTCAACCACTTGAGTTTGACAGGATCATGAACCACTGGAATTCCAGTCCACCCTGGGGAAACATGTTGTTCAGACCTGTGATATATGCTCATCTACTCCCAACATCCATTTCCTTTGACATAAAGTATATGGCCTTTCCTCTGACCAAAGCCCACTTCTTCTTAAACTAGTTTGAACTTTTTTTGCACTAAACTGCATGCTGATCAGGTGTGGCAGAAACAAATAAATCATCCAATTTTCCCAAAGAGAAAAGGCTATGACGAATGCTAAAAGGCAGAGGGCTGGATCAGAGGGTCTCTTAAGACCCCTTCTAGCTCATCTGTTTTATAACTCTAAGTTCATTAAAAGATTGTGCCAAAACAGTGGATGCCTCATAGTAATTCATGAATAGAAATTATTACTGAAAAAGAAATGTAGGCCGAGCGCGGTGGCTTGTGCCTGTAATCCCAGCACTTTGGGAGGCCAAGGCAGGCAGATCATGAGGTCAAGAGATCGATACCATCCTGGCCAACATGGTGAAACCCCATGTCTACTAAAAATACAAAAATTAGCTGGGCATGATGGCACATGCCTGTAGTCCCAGCTACTCGGGAGGCTGAGGCAGGAGAGTCAATTGAACCCGGGAGGCGGAGCTTGCAGTGAGCCGAGATTGCACCACTGCACTCCAGCCTGGTGACAGAGCTCCATCTCAAAAAAAAAAAAAAAAAAAAAGAAAAGAAAAGAAAAAGAGGGCCAAGGGCGGTCATACCTGTAATCCCAGCACTTTGGGAGGCCAAGGTCAGGAGTTCAGGACCTGTCTGACCAACATGGAGAAACCCCATCTCTACTAAAAATACAAAAATTAGCCGGGTGTGGTGGCGTGTGCCTATAATCCCAGCTACTCAGGAGGCTGAGGCAGGAGAATCGCTTGAACCCAGGAGGTGAAGGTTGCAGTGAGCCAAGATCGCACCACTGTACCCCAGCCTGGGTGACAGAGACTGTCTCAGAAAAAAAAAAAAAAAAAAACGGAAGGAAAGAGAAAGAAGGAAAGAGAAAGGTAATTGTCTGTGAATACATTAATACACCTTCCTCTCCAAAAATGAAAACAGAAAATCACTGAGCATGTTCACGTGGAGACAACAAATTCTGGACATCAAAGGAAAGGTCAAAGTAACATGGGGCTAGAATATGCAGAGTGGTGCCCAGAGATTTGAGAATTATGTTCAGGTGATGATCTACAGCTCTGAAGACTCCAGACCTGAGATCTTCGGGATGATTTATGACTGCAGAGCTGTGTGCAAGAAATTTATTTGGAAGTGGAGCAAAGAAAGATGAGCTAGTGTCTCAATAAGTGCTTGTAATCCTGTGAGAAATAGCTAAGTCCTTTTAAAATTTATAACAAATATATGAACATTTCGGATCTTGATTACCTTTTGGAAATGAGTACATACTGTGACTGAAAAGATAGGGTGGGAATACATGCAACCAGAATCATGGTGGTTTTCAATTAATCTCATTCCTTTGACAATTTATCTTTTATTTCTGAAACTTATTTGGCTAGGCATTATATCAACTAAGAACTCTACAAGTTGACTATATGGTATAATCACAGAACTACATTCTAATAACTGTTCATCTGCACAGCAGTCAAAAGGGCTGCTTTGCATGCACGTGGCAAAAGAGATCAATATGAGAAAGAAGAAAAAACAACAAAAGGGAAAGAAGAGTGAATGGGAGGAAGGGAGGGAGGAAGGAAGGGAGGGAGGAAGCCAGGAAGAAAAAAAAGTTTTTTAAGTTAAGCAAATTATTAACTTATTCCATCTCCAAAGTTGAAAAAGATCAGACAGTTACTAAAATAAACAATTTCCCCCCCAAATCTATTTTGGTTCTTATTTTTTGAACTTTTTTCCTCTATTACTTCAGTAAGTTGTACCTTTTGTTTCTATAATTTAGTGGTTACCCGAGAAATATAATACCATACCCAGGCTTATGAAAGACTAAAGTGAATGAAAATCTTTACCATGTTCTCAAATGATACAAAGCTTAAATTGTGCTAAATTAATAAAACCTATGGAAAGAAAAGAGAGAAGGGAAGAAAATAAAGAAGGAAGAAAGGAAAGTGGGGGGAGGAGGATACAAGAATCGAGAGAGAAATTTTCTGAAAAGATGTTTTAAAGAATGGCCTTAAGAAGGCAGACATCAAAGTCCTACAGATAGGGTAGAATAAAATGTGAGCTCAAAAAGAGAAAGTGCTTTGCCCAACATCACACAGATAGGAACAGAGCCAGGACTTGAACAAAATCTAGTACCCTTTCCCATAATCTCATGCTGCTTCACTAGAGACTGCTACTCAGTGCATGTGGCTTCCAAAGAAGTCCCAAAGGCAGGCTGGGCACGGTGGCTCACACCTATAATCCCAGCACTTTGGGAGGCCGAGGCAGACAGATCACCTGAGATCGGGAGTTCGAGACCAGCCTGACCAACATGGAAAAACCCTGTCTCTACTAAAAATACAAAATTAGCTGGTCATGGTGGCACATGCCTGTAATCGCAGCTACTTGGGAGCCTGAGGCGGGAGAATAGCTTGAACCCAGGAGGTGGAGGTTGCAGTGAGCTGAGATCTCGCCATTGCACTCCAGCCTGGGCAACAAGAGCGAAACTCTATCTCAAAAACAAAACAAAAAAGAAGTCCCAAAGGCTACTGCTAAAACACCTTTGCAGGGTTTGCAATGTTTCCCGCCACCCTCACCTCCTCCCCACCCCCAAAAGAATGACAGCATTGGCAAATTGATCAAATAGATGTATTTGCAACCAAACAGAACTAAAACAGACTTTCATTCCTAAATAATAACCCTGGGGGAAAAGAGTCTACATGACTGATGGCCATTTGGAAAACTTAGTTTTTCTTTTCTGTATAAATAAACATCATTAAGTATTTGCATGGTACATCCAGCGCAAATCAAACATAGGTGATGCCAATGAGCCCTCTTAAAAATGCCTTTTTCTGCTTTACCCATCCTTCTCTATATAATCAGCTCTTTGGGAAATCCAAGTATACACTGGTATGGCATAACAAGCCACACCTTGGCCTTCCACTTCATTTCTTTTTCCCTAACATGAAATGGCTGCTATCAATTTTAACAGCTCTAAAATTTTTCTACCTGTGTTATTGCATTATGGTTGTACATTACAGTGAAATGTACATTACAGTGAAATGAAAAGGAGCTTTTGAAAAACGTCTGGATGAGTTTATGGATGTTGCTTCACGAGGATTTGAACTAATTTGGTCACGGGAGAAACTGTTTTAAGGTAATATGCAAAATATGTCTGTATTTTAACTATTAAATTTAAAAAATATTTGCAGCACATTTGTCTTGTAGTTTGGGTATATTTTTCCATTAAATGTACACAAGGAAATAGAGTAAATTAATCTTTTGAATTAAAAAAAAATTCATTTTGTTTCAAAATTGAGCCCCAAAAAAGATTCCAGAATCTGATTTATTAAAGTTTTAAGGGATTAGATACAGTTCTACTCAAAAATCAGGGGAAAAGTACCACAGTAATGAAATCACCTTGCATGAAATAAACTATATTACATAAAATTCTACCAATGAATAAGCATCAGGAAAAATATTACACAGTCAGTAGGGTCACAAGGCTGAGGGAAATAATGGTAAATTCAAATGTTTTATAGTTTGAGCTTAGTCACACTGGGATTCATGAAAAGTGCTAAGTAAAACAACTGAGCCCCCATGTCTGAGAGTCTAATAATAACTATTATAGTTGCCATTTACAAAGCACTTACTATGCTAAGTACCTTACACACATTATCCCATTTAATCTTCACAATAACTTATGAAGTGGGTAATATTTTTATTTCATTTTCATAGATGTCTAACTAAAGCTTAGAGAGATGGTCCACAGTTACTCAGATGATAAACAAAAAAACTCCTGCGTCAAACCATGTCTGACTCCAGAATATGAATTCTTCATTATTATACAATGTGAACTTTCTACTAAAGAAATCCATTGTTCATTCATTCAAACACTTCTGTTGATCAAACAGCCAGCAGAAGTTTTAACAAGTAATCAGATTTGTTTTTTATAAAGCTTTGCAGTGGAGTGAGGAATGGACGATGTAGAGGAAGAGATTGGTATCAGGGACACTGCTTAGGATGCTGCTGTAGCAGTCTGGGCAAAACGTGAGGAAAACCCCTACTTAGGCAGGGGCAGTGGAGATGCAGAAAAGGAACCAACCTTAAATATATTTTTATAATAATGTTAGTAAGTGTAGATGAGAAACTGCATAGTAAGAGGTGAGGGAAAAGGAGTTATTAAGGATGACCCTGTGTCTTCTAGCTTGGAGCCTGAGTGGTATCATTGACAGAAGGGAGAGTACAGGAAGACAAAAAGGCTGAGAACAAGCTCTGGAGGCCAGTGGAGACAATGAATTCAGTTTTGGTGCCTGGGGTCATTCAGTTATGTGTGCAGAGCTAATGATAGTCATAAGAGTCATTACCATGTGGATAGAGGTTAAAATCAAGGGAACAGGTGAAATCGCTCAGGGAGGGTTTATAGTGTTAGAAGAGAAAAAAAAAAAAAAAAAGTAGTAGCTGGAACCCTGTGGAACACCAGCATTTAAGGCCCGGGTGGAGAAAGAGGAGTAGGCAGGAGATTCACAGAGGCAGAGGACTGAGTGGTAGGAGAACTGGAGAGTGCTGTACTCAGGAAGCAAAGGGAGGCAGTTCAAGAAGGAAATGTACAGGGAAGCCAAGCAAAAGAGGATCCAATATAGCTCTTTGGATTTAGGCATTAAAAAGCCATTAGCACAGTAGAAATGGAACATTGGAAGTCAATGTCATCTCAGAGTCATCAGAGCCTGTTTGGGATTAGAAATAAACTACTTTTGTGCTGGAAGAAGGGTGTCAGAGTCTTACTATGGTTCTTAAAAAGTATAGGCCAGACAATTGGTGTTCCTACAAATTCAGAACTATGTGGTTAGCTGATTGCAGACACTGGCATTGCCTGATCTGCTTCCTTTTTAAATTTTAATTCAAAGTCTTAAAGTGAGACATCTTAGATAATAAATGCTTGATATCCCATAGTTGTTTTTATATAAGCCATAGGAGCATGTTATATACAAAGAATATATGTCCAGACACCTTGATTAATTTAGTACTCATATTATCTCAAGAGCTGCATCATTCAGAACTAGTCCTGACGGGACAGAAAACGTATTTTTGTTTATCAGCTAAAATGAAGCCATCACATGCCATGAAAGAGTATCAATGACCCACTGGGCCTGCCAGTTTTTAAATTATGTGATTTGTGATTAATGTTTAATTTGGGGATTCTCATGATCTAAAATTTTGTGCATTAAAGAAAAGTTTATTGTATACTGTACAATTTTAAATTGAAATAATTCAAATTCACATAAAACGCACCCATAGTGTTTAAATTCATGTTACTTTATTTGTTAAATGCCTAGAAAGGCTTTTTAAAAGTTAGTATTTTACAAATTTGACAGAGAACACATTTTTACTTTACTATATTACTTTAAAAACAAGGTTTTTTTGTTTTGGTTTGGTTTGTTTGTTTGTTTGTTTGTTTGTTTGATTTTTAGACAGAGTCTCACTGTTGTCAGCCGGGGCTGGAGTGCAATGGCGCAATCTCGGCTCACTGCAACCTCCGCCTCCCAGGTTCCAGCAATTCTCCTGCCTCAGCCTCCTAAGTAGCTGAGATTACAGGCACCCGCCACCATGCCTGGCTAACTTTTGTATTTTTTAGTAGAGACAGGGTTTTACCATGTTGGCCAGGCTGGTCTCCAACTCCTGACCTCAGATGATCCACCCGCCTAGACCTCCCAAAGTGCCGGGATTACAGGAGTGAGCCACTGAGCCTTGCCAAAAGCAAGTTTTATGCAAATGTAAGATGTATTAGTATTATCTTTAATCAAAATGTTGAAGTCACTTAATAACACCTTACTATTTGATATACTCTTCTAAGCTGATAGAGCTTGCAAGGCGTTTGTGTTAACTTTGAGCTAATCTTCACTTTGACAAAGCTGCCTAGCCCAATCCTGTGTTTTATGTGAAGGACATAAATTATGCTGTTTTACAGTTGAGACACTCGGTCTCTGAGAAAACTGAAAAGAACAACTTGAGTTATGGGCAAGTTAGAGATTAAATCAGACAAAGAATGGACAGATTTTTGTGCTTCCAGCTCTATTATTTCCTTCTTTGTTACACCACAAATAGGCTGCCTCTCTACCCATAACCAGCTCTACCAATTTGATGGAATTGAGTTGTTTATATATAAAAAGAAGTCCTCATTTTGTCATTTTCACTTGCAGCAACTAGTAAGATAACTATCTTACAAAATCTAGATCTAGAAGTATCTGTTACCTCAAAATTACATACGCCAATGATGTGTAATAGGTCAATATTAACATGTTAACAAAGTTAACATTGATGTTGACTGGAAATAAAATGGCCACATGAAGCAAGTCCAGATGCAAGCAATCTGTAGTCACACATAATAGGAGGGCTCTTTAAAGTTGGAAAGCCATTTAGTTTGAAGGCCTCAGAGGAGATGACTTCAACAACAGCAGTTGAAACAGAAGGAAAAAAAAACCTTTTCATTCACGTTCCAATTCTGCAAAGACTGAATTCTAACTGATTAGAGGGCATGTGACAGCCAAATGAGTTTGAACAATAGAACAGAGTGTGGTGGAGGGATTCAAGTTTGGGGCTAGAAAGCTGGAGTGTTGAATTTTCTTTAAGGCTTTGCCAATGACTTGCAGCCTGGCTTTACCCTAATTATTTATGCCCCCTCTTTCCCTCCAATGTTACAATCCCTTTGTCTATAGAAATCACAGGGAAAATTATTTGTAGCATGCTTTGTACAATGTATGCTGAGATAGCAAACTATGATAAAGAATTCTGTTCGTCCTAGCTGGAGATAAATGGACAGGCTAGACCACCCAAAGGTAACTTGGAACATTGGTAAATTTTTAACAAGTAATTATCTTCTTTCCCTTTTTTACATTTTATTGTGAAAAAATCGGAAAGTACAAAAAATAAAAATAGATAAAAATTCACCCATCATCCCTGTTGATATTTGGGATATGTCCCTTCAGTCTGTGGTGTGTGTGTGTGTGTGCGTGTGTGTGTGTCTGCATGTGCTTGTGACACTATTAATACATACACTCTTAAAGAGAAAAAGATGTGTTTAGTAAATTACAATCATACTCTACATTGTACTTTCTAGCTTGTATTTTTCACTTAATAGATAATATCAACTTTTTTAAAAAATAATCTTTGAGGACTTTTTGGTGGCTGCCATATTAATATGCTAATTGTACATAATATTATTTAATCAATCCCATCTTGTTAGATATTTAGGTTATTCTCAACTATTTGTTATTAAAAAAACAACGTGTATTAAATATCTTTAAATATGAATCTGTGTTTCTAATTGATTACATGATTAAGATAAGTTTTGGTTACTGAAATCACTGAATGAAAGGATATGAATATTCTAGGCTCTTAATATATATTACCTGATGGCTTTCCAGAAAGGTTATACCAAATTACACTTTAGTCAGTATTGTATGAGATTATACAATTCCCTAAACTTTCTCAAATAATGCTGCTTTCCCTTTTTTCATCTTTAATATTTGATAGGTGTTTTAAAGCATTTTTAAAAATTTATTTTATTATTAATGAGCAATCTTATTGAATTGGGAATTAGGATAAGTATATGTGAATTTTTCATTGAATCTCGTATTTTTCAAACTTGAAGACAAGATCTTTTATCTCATCAAAAGAGTGTCTTAGAAGAGCAAACTTCTGGCTTATACTTAAAGAAGAAAATAGAAACTGAAAGCCCCTGAGGATACTCAGATTTCTGCCAATGGTCTAGAACAGGGATGGCAAGTTTATGCAAATATATAATGCCTTTGTTCTCCCTCCTTTCCCTCCGTTAACTGGCAGACATCACTAATTTATCATGACACTTTTTTCGCAGTGAGCCTAGATGTACTCTCAGAATTCTTCCCCACACCACTACTGCTGATATGAGCTATTATCTCTCTTAGATGGCATTTAAGATGAAACCAATTTGCCTTCCTGGCCCAGAGAGCAACCTACATTTCCACAGGAAAAGATAAATGCAGGGAACAGTACAATGTTACGTGGCTGCTAGTCTCTTCCTCTGATCTATTTCTCTCCCAAATATACATCATAGAAATGCAGTATTAGCTACACATAAATTTTTCCCATTGTATATATTCCATTAATGTATACAATGTGCTTAGGAAAGTTCTCACTCCTTTTCCATGTCCTCCTTAATTTCTGAGATACTACTCCTTGAAGATACTCAATAAATTCCTGTGGCTATCTAACAATGTAATTGTCAGGATTCTATGCTCTTAGTAAGTCTAGTTCTCTTCAAAATCCATATAAATCCTTCCTCCAAAGTTTGCCCTCACTAGCCATCATTCAGTTATGTTTATTCTCCCTTCCAATCCCTTTCTATTTTAATGTCCCCTTTTAATGCTGTTGTTACCATTCCCTAAAAAGATACCATTTCATGGGATTTGGAATGGCCATGCCTGAGGCAAGTCCATTAAATAAGCATGCAAGAGTGTGAGTGCTGTGCAAAGCATCTTTAGAGAGAGATAAAATCATTCTTACATAGACTATCTATCTTAGAGAAATGGTGCTCTTTCATTTCGCTACAAAAGAAGTGAGCAGCTGGTAAATAGTAGGTAATAAAAGCTGCACTTTCAATGAACAATAGAAAAGACCAAGGTCAGAGGAACTGATGAGGAACAGCTAGTCAGCCTTTCTTATGACGGAGCTTAGCCTGGCTCCTAGTCTTTGCCTCTCTCTTCTTCCAGTAGCCTACCTTACCTACGACCAATCCTGAGCTTAGGCAAGAAGAATTTTAAGATGTTTCTGTTCCATTTGAAATTAGTTCATCTGGCTCTGACCTTGGGCATAACTGGTCATGAAACTTCCCATGTATTCAATGTCATTGGTGTACTTAACATTTTTGAGCATCCATTATGTGCCAGACACAGCAGTAAACAAGATAGATATAATGCCTGCTAGAGGCAATACAAGGGATAGTTTCGGGAGGCCTTAGATATACCATCATCTCCATTAGCCCCTTCCTCAACACAAATAAACTCCTAGTCCTTCTTTGTTTCTGTTTTTGTTTTCTGAGACAGCGTCTCACTTTGTCACCCAGGCTGGAGTGCAGTGGCACAAACACAGCTCACTGCAGCCTTGACCTCCCCTGCCCAAGCGATCCTCCTGCCTCAAACCCCCAAGTAGCCAGGACTACAGATGTGAGCCACCATGCCTGGCTAATTTTTGTCTTTTTTGTAGAGATGAGGTTTCACCATGTTGCCCAGTCTGGTTTTGAACTCCTGAGCTCAAGCAATCCACCTGCCTTGGGCTCCCAAAGTGCTGGAATTACAGGTGTGAGCTACCGTGCCTGGCCACTCCTAGCCCTTCTTTTCACTAGATTGTTACTCAAATTCTCTCCTGTAGAGGTATCGGAACTACCACTGGTCTGATTTTTGTACTCATGGAACTTAGATTTAGTGGGTCAAGCACCAACAAGTAAGCAGTCAGTGACAACCCAGTACTGCACAAGCTCTGACTATGGCATTACATGGTGCTGTGAATACTCAAGAAGGACATCAAATCCAAGTGTCACAGAAATGACATCCAAAATGAGGCCCATGGTGGTTAATTTTGTGCAACTCGATTAGGTTAAGCAATGCCCAGATAGCTGAAAACATTATTTCTAGGTGCACCTGTCAGGGTGTTTCTGGAAGAGATTAGAATTTGAATCAGTAGAGTGAGTAGAGAAGATCTGCCCTCATCCATGTGGGTGGATATCATCTAATCCACTGAAGGCCTGAAGAGAACAAGAAGGAAGTGGAAGAGTGAATTCTCTCTCTCTTTCTTGAGCTGAGGAATCCATCTTCTCCTGCCCTTGGACATTAGTTCTCCTGGTTCTCAGGCCTTTGGATTCCAGAACTTGCAGCAGCAGCCCCCTCAGTTCTCAAGCCTTTGGCCTTGGATTTGGACTTATACCATCAGCTTCTGTGTTTCTCAGGCCTTTGAACTTGGGCCAAATTACTCCATCAGCTTTCGTGGTTCTCCAGCTTGGAGATGGAAGATGGTGGCACGTCTCAGCCTCCATAATCGCATGAACCAATTCCCATAATAAATCTCCTCTTACCGATCTATGTAATCTCTCCATCTCTCCATCCATCTAACCTATTGTTTATCTGGAGAGCACTGATAGATACAAGACCTAAAGCGCGGTATGACTTAGGTAGCAAAAGAGGCAGAGGAGAAGACTCCTAAGCAGAGGATTCAGTATCTACCAAGGTCAGAAGGAAAGAAAATATGACATATTCTAAAAACTGTTAGTTTTGGAGGGTAAATATGAGGAGTGAAGGGTAAGAGAAACAGAGTAAATCTCAAAAGACAAGGATGGGGAAGTGGGCAGGGCCAGTCCAAAGAGGGCCATAAGCCATGCTATGCAGTTTGGACTCTATCCTTAACTAGACAAATGGGAAGTGAAACCAAGTTTGAAGCAAGCAAATAAACTGATCAGTTTGTGTTTAAAAAGACCACTCCGGCCACAGAAGTGAGAATGGAGAGGAGGTAGGCAAAGCTTTTGAGGAGGAATTCATCAGGAAGCTGCCACAGAGAGTAATGTGGCTGGAGCCAGGGTAGTGGCGATGGGGAAGGGAAGAAGTACAGGGGTTGTATTAGTTTGCAAGGGCTGCAGTAACAAAGTGCCATAAATTGGGTGGCTTAAAACAACAGAAATGTACAATCTCACAGTTCTGGAAGCTGGGAGCTTGAAACTAAGATGTCGGCAGGGCTATGCTTCCTCTGACAACTCTGGGGTGAAACTTTCCTTGCCTCTTCTAGCTTCCAGTGTTTGCCAGCCATCCTTGTTTCTCCTGGGTTTGCAGGCGCACCATTCCACTCACATGGCTGTCTCCTCCCTATGTGTCTTCACATCCACATTCCCTCCAGGTGTCTGTCTCTATATCCAAATTTCTCCTTTTTATAAGGACACCAGTTATATTGAATTTGGGCTCACCCCAATGACCTCAGTTTAGCTTGATTACCCCTGTAATCTTATGCTTGACTTCTGAGGTCCTGGGGATTAGGACTCCAACATATCTTTTGGGGGGACAAAATTCAACCCATAACAGGAGTTCTTTTTTAGTCCAAGCCCCATCTTTCCCCTGATGCTCTGGGTCAGATGGATGCCTTGTCCCCTGGGCCTGAGCCCTTGTCCTCCGTGATATGGCACTGGCTGGTTCTTCACAGCCCTTCTTCCAAAGGCTAGAGATGGGATCCTTGGGACTTTCCTACTGCCACTGCTTGCCAGTTCAGCTCTCAAAATATTGTTTGTATCTGAATTCCTCAGCCAAGGCTCTGTCCAGCCCCCACAATGCCCCATTCCCAGGATGTGACATTCCTGTTGCCAATTGACTTTCCTATCAGCTGTCATCTATTTTGTAACCCACTAGATCAGTATTTCTCAAAGTGTAATCCAGAGACCACCTGCAGCAGAATCACCCTGGAGTATTGTTTAAAATGTGGTTTATTTTGATCCACATAACCCCACTGAATCAGAATCTCTCTCTAGCTGTGGGGTCTGGGAATTCATGTTTGTAACATGCTGTGCTAGTGGTTTTTGTGAACACTCCAGGTTATTCATTCTGCTTACCTGGCTTCCTCCCAGCATTGCTGCAGGGTCTGCCTCCCAGGGTTGGCACTGTGTCTGTAAGTAGGGCTCATCCCAGGCCCATCTCCCTTTCTAGTCTTTCCCATGCTGTCCTGGTTAAGTTTAACCATTCCAAATCACCAACGTGGATCTCACAACCAGAGGAGGAAGAATAGTCTTGAAATAAATTATTCTTATGAAGAAAAGACTCAAGTATTGGAATTTCACTTGACCTGATGAGGGCAGGTAATTACACACAACTGATGAAAATTCAGTGAGAATAAAGTTATTTATTGATGGGCTCTAAGAATGCCCAGAAATGAGGTGGCTCACGCCTGTAATCCCAGGAGTTTGGGAGGCCGAAGCGGGCGGATCATGAGGTCAGGAGATCGAGACTATCCTTGCTAACACAGTGAAACCCCGTCTCTACTAAAAATACAAAAAAATTAGCCAGGCGTGGTGGCAGGTGCTTCTAGTCCCAGCTACTCGGGAGGCTGAGGCAGGAGAATCGTGTGAACCTGGGAGGCAGAGCTTGCAGTGAGCCGAGATCGTGCCACTGCACTCCAGCCTGGGCGACAGAGTGAGCCTCCATCTCAAAAAAAAAAAAAAAAAAAAAAGAATGCCCAGAAAAATTTAAAACTGGATAAGGTATCAACAGGAGAATCATATAATGATTAAGTATATATATATAAAATATTATGATATATAACATTATATATATTATACATGTATAAAAACATAAAATTGATAGCAGTGATAGACTATCCAGAGCCCTGACTGCTTCCCTCAACCCTGAACATTCATCATCACTCTAATTCAAAAGAATCATAGTCTGAAAGTTCTCAATCATCTGATATTTAAACAAGGAAATATACCTTCTGATGGTTTTAAGGATTTGGAGTTTTGAGTTTGACTCCAGTATAAGTGTGTATATGATAGATAGAAGTATGCAAAAATGTTCATTTTTAAAGCTCAGTTCACACATAAATTTTTAGTTTTTCTTTGAGGGGTTGAAGTTTCAACTCTATTTAACCCCCAGAAGAGAGCAGGCGGCAATCCCAGTGCAGAAGCAGCACTCCTACGGGTGCCAATAAATATTTGATGATGTTGATCATTTTCTTGCCCAAGGCTGAGAGAGTATCATCAACGGAGGTATAGATGATCATCTCCCCAGTGGTTTGCTTTTATTTATGCATAAAACTCATCTCAGACTTTTACTTGTTAATAATGTTATATGTTGTAATGGTAGAGGGTTTTCTAAGTGCTGATGCCTACCAGTTGTAGGTAAGTAAATCCTTCAGTATGGAGAATAGAGTTGGGAAACTCCAGAACAATGCATGGGTTGACAGAATGATTGATTTCACATTTAAATCGATGGAAGAACTAACGTAATTATTCAAATGGTTTAAGCCAAAATAAACCAATTTGGTCTACAATTATATGTCCTGAATATTTTAGTTAAATTGGGCTGTTATTCATTTCATTTGCCCATTTTATAAAGATGAACCCACCATAATTACACTGTTTAAAGAAAAAGATGCTTCCATGCAATTTTAATTCACCAAACTTGCATTTCTAATAGCAACAACAAGCAGCCTATATGCAACCAACATTTGCTATGCGTTGTTAATCTGTTTTTAAGCCTACCTTCATAATTAAAAAAAAAAACCTTTCTTGATGTTTATTCTGCCTTCTTTAAACAGTTGATGCTAAGGTGAGGGTGTTTTATAGTAATAGGCAAAGCCAGAGGTTGTTGAACCTCTGATACCATCAGAGACTTGACAAAATTTACTTGAATAAGAGGAGGCTTATCTTTCCTGCCTTCTCACCTCTTTTTTTGACCCTGAGCCTACCATCTACACAACACTTTCTATACTGAGCTTCAACTTATCATCCATTGTGCAAAACCTCTTATTGAAACCCCATTCAGGTTTCACACCCTCTCCAAGTATCCTATAAAATAATATATATAAATACTGCCATTCTCATTTTCCCTACTCCACTTCAAAAACATTTTCCTTAGCCAGAAATGAATAAAATCTAGCTGATGAAAGTAGTTCACATTAATGCTATATTGTAAAAGAGTATTAGATTAAATATGGAAGAAAAAGAATAAAATAGGCTTCTCAGTGGCCCTCTCCATGGTTATCTGCTTTCCCATGACAGATAAACAGGAAGAACAACTGGGCACCCCACCTTTGAAAGAATGCCTCCCCGCCTTCCTGTTTACTGCATACTTTGCAATACGCTTTCTGACTGGTTAATCTTAGCCTTTCTAATATGAATGTGACTGTACTTTGAAGATCTTATATGTAGACCTCAGAAAGAGTTACTCTTTCATCTACTCCCATGAAATGGTCCCTCTGAAACCCAAACAGAATGTAAAAAACTTTGATTTTTACTTCATTTTGTCTACTCTTATACATATAATAATCTTTCTGGTTTTAGATACTGTAGGTAATTTGGGAATCCCAAACTATGTAAATAACCACACCTTCTCTAAGTTTCAAATATCCACAAACTAAACTACTTCCATAAAAGACCTTTCGGAAAGAAAAGGCTAGCACTGAAAATGTGTGCTGTTTTTTCATTGAACTCAATTTAAAAATAGCCCCATACCATGTTGTTAATATTTGTTTTTAATGTGCAGCTATAAAAGAATTCACTGGGGCAAACAAAAGTTGACTTTTAAAAGGCCAAGGCAAGGCTAGGCCTGGTGGCTCATATCTATAATACCAGCCCTTTGGGAGGCTGAGGCAGGAAGATCCCTCAGGCCCAGGAGTTCGAGGCTGCAGCGAGCTTTGATGGTGCCACTGGACTTCAGCCTAGGTGCAGAGTGAGACCCTGTCTCAAAAAAAAAAAAAAAAAAGGCTGGGGGACAAGGTAATCCTTGTGTGTGTGTGTGTGTGTGTGTGTGTGTGTGTGTGTGTGTGTGTGTGTTGCAAACTTTATATATTTAAAAATTGTGCCAGCCGGGCACGGTGGCTCACGCCTATAATCCCAGCACTTTGGGAGGCCAACACATGTGGATCACCTGAGGTCAGGAGTTCAAGGCCAGCCTGACCAACATGGCGAAACGCCGTCTCTACTAAAAATACAAAAAATTAGCTGGGTGTGGTGACATGCGTCTGTAATCCCAGCTACTCAGGAGGCTGAGGCAGGAGAATCACTTGAAGCCAGGAGGCGGAGGTTGCAGTGAGCCGAGATTGCGCCACTGCACTCCAGCCTGGGTGACAGAGTGAGACTTCATCTCAAAAAAAAAAATTGTGATCTAGTGTCCTTTAGATTTCTTCTTTCTTTTTCAATGAGATACATTGGGATAGGTTCTATTTTAAAGTGTGTCTGAGCCTATAGAAAAGAAATAAAAACAAAGGGCAAGGATACTGGTTCCAGGCAAACTTTAAACTCTAAGAGCAAAAGTTACCAAACTGGCTTAACTTAGTGTCAGGCCAAACTCAGTTTAGGGACAGGGCCATGATACAAAACAATAACTGCACAAATAATATTTAACAAAGTAGCATTTTGAGTGTAAGTCTGAATTACTGTGGGAAGAAAAGTTTATAGCCTTTTTTTTTCTCCATGTCGAGGTTTATCAGCAGAGTTTCACAATGGGAAAAAGAATGTAACTGTCATATGATAAACTACATTTATACAGAAGAAATAACGAGCTTCATCCTGAAGATAAACAATTCAATACATAAGCATTTCAAGCTGATAAAACAAGGATAGATCAAGAGCAATCCACAGCTAAGCACTCGAGAGACCACAGGTAGGAATGCAGCCTGACCCCAATGCTGAATAAGAGGAACATTTGAAGTATTCCCACTACTATGCAATGCTAGAAGCCTGTAGGAAGCCTTTATCTTAGTAGTTGTGGTGGTTAGAATAGAGCCCAAAATACTGTAACAAAGAGACCCCCAAATCCAGTGCCTTCAGTAAGATGGGAGTTTGCTTTTTTCACACATTACTGCCCAGAGGTATAATAGTTGAGCATTCTGGGGCAAGTAGGTGGCTCTGTTTCAAGGACAGACAGGGAGGCAGGTTTGCTTTTATTTTGTTGATCCACCTTCTGTTAAGGTGTTGCCCTCAGCCTCATGACTGATGGTGGTTCGTTAGCAGCACCAGACTCAGAAGCAGGGAATGAAAAAGGAGAGGGCAACCAACCTCTTTTTCAAGGACATGCTCTGGAAACTGCATACATCACATATGCTCACAGCTAGACACAAAGGAGCTGGGAAATGTCATTCTGACACTGAACAGTCAGGTGTCCATCTAAAACACAAGGGTTTCCCTGCTCAAAGGAGAATGGATTTGGGGATTTAGTTAGCATTCTCTCCCATATTAGTTAAGGATGACAAGCTTCAGAATGTGTGTGTGTGTGTGTGTGTGTGTGTGTGTACATAGTCATACACAAGCATTCTTAAGATATATTAGGGGCTTATATGTAAGGCAATATTCCTTAATGGCTAAGATGGATCGAAGGTAGACTTTGAGGCTGGGAAGACTTGAGTTTGATTACATCCTGCATCTCTAACTGACTAAGTCTATACATCTTGGAAGCATTCATTTTCTTACCTATAAAATGAAGATAATTCTTACCTCATAAACTGGTGTGAGGGGAAAATTAAATAATGTGTATTGTTGTATAATAAATAATTTGTCCTGGATTCCTGGCAGGAAGCTCCTAAAATTCTTGGAATTTCCCCGGTGGTCAGTGTCTTTATTATTTTCATGAGCCCCTCGGGTCACACCTGAGTTTATGCTAATGAGACAGAGAAGGTCCAAGATGGGGACTAGATATCAGAAAGACCAACCATGTGATTAGATGGTTGAGGCTTTAAGCCCTGTGATATCAGCCAATCTCCTGATCTCTGGGGATGGGAGAGGGCTGGATATTGAGTTCAGCTGTGTGTCCAATGATTCAATATGTAATGAAGCCTCAGTAAAAACTCTAGACACTGAAGTTCAGTGGATCTTCCTGGTTGATCAACACATCGATGTGCCAGGAGGGTGACACATCCTGATCCCAGAAGGAGAACACATGGAAGCTCTGCATTCGAGACCCTCCCAGACCTTGCCCTGTGTGTCTTCATTGAGAGAGTCTTGATTTCCATTCTTTATAATGAAACTCTAATCCTAAGTGTAGTGCTTTTCTGAGTTGTGTGAGTTGTTCTCATGAATTATCACACCTGAAGTGGTTATGAGAATCTCTGAATTTGTAGCCAGTCAGTCAGAAGTGTGGGTATCCCAGGGACGCTTGAAGTGTGGCTGGCATCTGCAGTGAGGGTAGTCTTGTGAAGGGCTGAGCCCTCAACTTGTGGGGTCTGCATCAACTTTAGGAGGTTAATGCCAGAACTGAATCTTGTTAATTCCTCTTTGACATAAAGCACATGCCTTGGCTAGCCAGGTAAAGGCAACTTTGTGAGTCCAGAGCCTACTCTTCCTCATGGTGGCAGCCCTCAGAATATAGGCACAAGGTCACCTTTGGCTTGAATAGAACTCCTCCTTCTCCAGTCACTTCAGATTCAGAGGGGGTCATAAGCCTGTGTATTTTGTAAGGGCACTTGTGTAGGAGCCTTTAAATTGGAGGCAATAGACCAGATGATTTTGGAATATGTATACGATGCTTAAAGAGTACCTGATATGGGGTAAGAGTTCAATAAAAGCTATGGGCTATTATTGCTTTAAATTTTTGTTTTTATTTTTGTTTAGAGACAGGGTCTTGTTCTGCCCAGGCTGAAGTGCAGTGGCACAATCATAGCTGACTGCAGCCTCCAACTCCTGGCCTCAAGCAATCCTCCCACCTCTGCCTCCCAAGTAGCTGGGACAACAGGTACATGCTATTGCACATGGCTATTTTTTTTTCTTTTAAGAAATGTGTTCTTGCTGTGTTGCCCAGGCTGGTCTCGAACTCCTGTCTTTAAGCAATCCTCGTACCTCAGCCTTCCAAAGTACTAGGATTACAGGCATGAGCCACCCTGCCCAGCCTATTGCTGTTAATTACTATTATTATTAGGGTTATCATTACTTGATTGAATTAGTGAAATAAACCACTGAAATAATATTTATTTTTCTGTAATCCTTTCATCAGAGTTTTGTAAGGGTCTTCCTCAACATGTGGCTATCTCTAGGCTTCTTTCTAGAAACAGAAAGTAGCCCTCCACAAGACTACTCTCACTGCAGATGCCAGCCACACTTCAAGGGTCCCTGGGATACCCACGCTTCTGAGTGACTGGCTACAAATTCAGAGATTCTCATAACCCCTTCAGGTTTGATAATTCATGAGGGCCTTGTGTCCCTACCAAGTTAGCAAAGAAAACCCAGTACAGCAGCAGGCCTTGCCTCAGATGAGCAACAACCATCAACAGCCTCCAATTGAAAGGCTCCTACACAAGTGCCCTTACAAAATACACAGGCTTATGACCCCCTCTGAATCTGGAGAAGGAGGAGTTCTATTCAAGCCAAAGGTGCCCTTGCGCCTGTATTCTGAGGGCTGCTACCATGAAAAACAGTAGGGTCTAGACTCACAAAGTTGCCTTTACCTGGCTAGCCAAGGCATGTGCTTTATGTCAAAGAGGAATTAACAAGATCTAGGCAAGAAAGTTATAGGGAAGATATTTAAAACACGTATATATGGTAGGAAAAACAAAACATTTGATTTACAGTTTGGCAGGACTATGTTCAAATCTAGTCTTTGCCACCAACCAGCTTTATAACTTGAGGCACATTTTTTATCCCTCTGAATGTGTTTCCCTCTTACATAAAACTGGATAATAATGAGGCACTCATGAGGTTGTTGGAGGGAAGCAATGAAATGATGCATGTAGAGTGTTTACCATAGTGCCTGGCCCAGAGTGAGTGACTGAATGCATGTTACTTACCATCTCTTTCCCTTTATGGGGGCACAGTGAGAAAAATCTTCTACTCGCTTACTATTTAAAAAGCCCAGTGCAGAAAGCTTTCTAGGATCAGATTACCAGTTACTCTTTTCCTGAAAGGCAAGTCTTAGGTTACAGTTTTACTGTAAACATCTTCAAAACACTGCAGGCAGAAAAATCAAGGAGATTTGCAGTTCCTAGAAGGATTCATGATATCCCATGAAAGTTCATATTTCAAGGCTGATCTACTACTGGTTGATGGGATTCTCTCATCAGGGGTTTTCTTTCTCCATGTGGCTTCTTAGAAGATAATCTGACCTTCACAGTTTATTCCCCACAATTTGTCCCTTTACACAGATAGTGTTTTCTATCGCATGAACATTTAGAGACTATTCCTGTTCAGTATTTGCTGCAGGGAATGGAATTGAACTCTTCCATTAATGAAAAATCTTTTTATTTAGTCAGAACTTTTAACTCTTCTTTCCGCCTCTCCCCAGTGCTAAAATCCTGCCTGCCAATATTACCAAGGTAGGAATGACTGCAAAGTTCAAAACTGCTTTCAACAGATACCTATTGGTATGGTGTCACGGGTAGGTAGGATATGGATCCTTCAGAGGCATGTACTTTGTGTCATGTGCAGTCTATAAGTTGCTGGCCGAGGAAACATCATTAGACTAATACTAATCAACCAATAATTATGTATTTGTAATTAAGCATGGTTGCAAACATTAACTATAAAAATGTTCACTCTAGTATTTTTTAGTGTTCCTACTTCATAAAAAAGGTAGAAACAAACTAAATGCACAGCCCCTAAAGAATTGGTTAACTCAGTTACTGAATTTATGTGTAATAATAGGTCGCTATTTAGCTATTAAAAATGAAGTTGTAGAAATACATTTATTAACATATTTACATATTAGCAGTCTAAATGTGCCAAAAAGAAAAGAATAAAATTATGTTGTACAGTCTCATTCTTGCAAAAGAAAAGTTTATATATTATATATACATATAGACAATGAATATGCCAAGGAAAATAGCTAAAAGGATATGCACTAAAATGCAAGTGATTGAATTACAGTTGAGTTTTATTTTCTTTTTTCTACAATATAATTTCAGTTTTTTCTATCATGAATATGTATTATTTGCATACATTTTAAAAGCTATTATGAGAATAATTATTTCCTGATCACCTCACTAGGTTCAGTGAGATGTAAGAAAAGCATAATAAGGCTTCACAGTAAAAAGAGTTTACGTGCTAGAACAGGCAATATATTAGAAGCCTCAGCCAAACACTAGGGTGCTTACCTCCGTAATAAACTCTCCTGTGTGCGAGATAACCATGGACAAGCCGTATCCCTTTTCTGTACCTCACTTTTTCCATATGGAAAAGCACAGTGACATTCCACACCTCGATATGATATCACTGAGATTGAGTGTATACCTCTTACATGCTCTGGGTCACAGGAAAAACCCACATACTGTCAGCACTCTGGATTTCCATTAGTGATATCAGCCATGGGTTTGTCGGCATATTTATTTAGTATTTCTATTTATTTTGCTATTATTAGATTATGTTCTGGAAATTTTTCCATGCATCATGGAGAGAGGCTTCTCTGTGGGAAATCTTAAATTGGTAATCATTTCCATCAGGAGCAAAGAAGATGTTTTGCTTTTTGCTTCTCTGTTAAGGTTGAGGAGATCTTTTATACATCTCTGTACTGTTTGGTTTTGCAGTGCAGGCTTTTCTGAAGCAAAATTTCACAGATAGTATGGCCTCTGATCAGAGAGCAGGGTAATTCAGCAAAAGGGAAATTAAGAGTTTGCAATGGCTATTTAGTCAGTGTGCAGGCCACTAAAGAGAAAGTAGATTATAAAGTAGAGAAATATCGAAAGTTGCAGGTTGATCTTCAGCTTTTATAAAGAGTCGTTATAACTTCTACATAAGATTCCACGGTTCAAGAACTCTTAAACCTTTGCAATGTCTAATGATATGGAAAAAATACTTATCTAATCATTTAAGAAGAGCAAAGGGTGATTCCTACCAATTGTTTCTTGAAATTAACAGAATAAATCCGACACTGGGTATTTAAAACTGAATAAATATCAATGTTAATAAGCTTTAAATGGGTTTCCGAGACTCTTCCTGATTAACTGTATCATGCACACTTCTACATCTGGCAGAAAACTGAAGTACTGAAAATCTTACTCTGAGGTTGTAGATGATCAGTGTCAGGTACTTAATTACGATTCATCTTCAACTCCAATTTAACCATTAATTAAAGTAGGTATCCTTGACTTGACATTCAGTGCAAGAAAAGCTCAAAAAGAAAATGTATTACACAATTCTGAAAAGCCACTGCCTGGCTCCTTTATGTGTGTTGCTCACGGTAGCTATAGCAACCAGTGTTTAAGACAAAAACACACAAAATCAAAGTCCTAGGCTGATGTGACAGCTCTCAAATGGCTTTGTTCTGTGTCTAAGATTTCCCTTCCTCCTCTTGCATCATATTTCACCCCAAAGCCTTGAATGACTAACGCACCACTTGGGGATGGGCAGACCAATGTTCACAGGAACAAAAGGGAAAAGGGTGGGCTGGAGACAGGCTGTATTAGGACCACCTGTCCTTTCGGAGAAACTAAAATGTAGATGTCCAGTGCAGCTAGTGAGACTCAGTTCCCTCCGTGTTCTGCTGGGAAAGAGACTGTTCTGCAACAGCTGTTGCGTTGTGTCGGCAGTGCCTGTCCATCCCCCTCCAGGAGCATAGATGGGGTCAGCCCCTGCATTGCTCAGCCACAAACTCACCGTAACCTTCCCTGGGCTGAGCATGGGGTGGGAGGGTGGTTTCTATTTCTAGACTAAAAAAGAACAGATGACTTTTCATGTTTAGTTCTAAGTAAAGAAAGAGGAAGGGAACAGGGTGGGAGAGGGAGCTAGAATTAATACTCTGAGCATTTACAGAAAACAAATTGGGGTAGTGATTTTTATTTGGGCTTAAACATTTTAGTTAGTATTTCATTTATTATTCTAGCAGATGTGGGCCACACGTTCAAACAGAAAAGTGGTAAATAGAAACTATTCAATTTGGGCATTCATGTTTTCAACATAAAGGGACATGGACTATTGTATCCAATACTGGCCTAAAATGCTAAAAGCACACTTTTCTAGTATTCTATTAATTGAGAAAAATTAGGCCACCTCCAAAATATGGGAAATTATAGACCCCTGAATATCCCTTTTGGAAAACTACATCTGACATTACATTGCAGGGCATATTATCATGGCTGGAATATTTTTACACATGTAAACCCTTAATTGAATGACAAACTAATAATTCTCAAGAATTTCTTTAAAGGAAGTTTAATATTTTGGTTGGCAAATGTGCCCAGAGGAAGTATCACATTAATAATACTTGCTTTTAACACGGTTCATTTCTTTATATAGTCGGAATGCTTTATGGTGGATTAAATCCACAAATTGAAAAGAGAATGAATGCACTTGAGCTTTTATGACTTATTCTGTCTAAAGAATACTCTTAAGAAGCACAAAAATAAAACCCTGTCTCATGCCTGAGGGTAAGGTTAAATGATTAATGGCTTGAAAAAAAAAGAGAAAGTTACAATATATGTAAGGAAACAATCCATTAATCAGCGATGAGGAGAATATACAATATTGCTTTGCTAATGAAGATCGTAACTGTAGTCTAGCCTTGGACCTACTCAAATTAAGTTGGACCTACATCCAATGATGTGGGGATAAAAAATATAAAAAATTATTATCCATAACACAAATGCTCAATTTCCTCGGGCTCCTGGGTTCAATCACATATTTGGATGAGTTCTTTGACAGTGCTAAGTAGAGAAATGGCTTGTAGAAAAGAGTTCTAGAACTTTCCTAGATGTCTGAAGTGCTGCACATGACATTTATGCCAGAAAAGCTTATTTATTAGTTTCGACCCATGGTCAGTGCCAATGTAAGTAGCGGGTGAGGTGAGCGAACTAGGAGTCTCATTCTGTTGATCTTACCTGCATTTTTAGTATCAAATCCAAAGGAAAAGCAGCAGCATTTTAAGAGATACAGCTACTGGAAATACTTTATTTCGGTCAATTGGCAGACAAGTATAACGTGATTCCTTAATGCAAAGGGACAGATGCCTCTTAATGTAGCCATTAGCAAAAGAAGGGTATGTCTTATTGATTGCTATAGCTAAGAAGCATGCTGATAAATACAAAGTTGGCATTTATAAGGCATTATGCCTTGAGCAGTTCAGATATTCACCAGGGTGGAAACAGAGAACCAAATCAGGGGTTTCCACTACAAGTGACTTAGGCTGCTTGTCTGGCTCTTCTGACAGCCTTGGTCCAGAAGCAGAGCAACATTATAAATAAAAAGTACATAAGGGCACTAAGTGCAGGCACAAGGGACTTGGGTGAGCTGGAGAGGGGTTCCTCCTGTTAGGGTACCAAAATTCCCACCAAAGTGAACACCCTCCCTGTCTTGATCCACCGACAAGCATAGGCTTGGGGTCCAAAGAGATCTGATGTTAAAACATAATTGTTTGAACTGCACAAAGTACTCAATCTCTCTGAACCTTAACTTCTCATCTATAAATTAATGGATTTTTTGAGAAATAACAGGTAAAGTATACAAATTGCTTACTTAGCACAGTGCCAGGTACATATTAAGCCTTTTCTCTATCTCATCAATTTCATTCCCTTATTTATATCTCTGTTTTTTGTTTTGTTTTGTTTTGTTTTTTGTTTTTGAGATGGAGTCTCACTCCGTCACCCAGGCTGGAGTGCAGTGGAACGATCTTGGCTCACTGCAAGCTCCACCTCCCAGGTTCAAGCTATTCTCCTGCCTCAGCCTCCTGAGTAGCTGGGACTACAGTCACCCACAACCATGCCCGACTAATTTTTGTATTTTTAGTAGAGACGGGGTTTCACTGAGTTAGCCAGGATAGTCTCGATCTCCTGACCTTGTGATCTGCCCACCTCGGCCTCCCAAAGTCCTGGGATTACAGGCATGATCCACCGCGCCCAGCCTACATCTCTGTTTTAAACCTACATGGCAATATAAAGGCTGTTCGTTTGCATATCAATACATTCACTTAACTCAACATTTTATCAGTTGTTTGTCTTTTCTTCCCATATTTCCGCATTTGAAGACAAACCATGAAAAAAGCAGAATGGCATGGAGTTATTGTGAGGATAAAAATAGGTAATGCACATAAAGTGCATGGTGGAGGTGAGCATTCATACATCCATTCTCTCCACAAACAATTACTGAGCACTGGCAATATGTATGTGACTATGCCATACATAGTGGGGCACAAAGGAGAGCTAGAATTGGGTCCCTACATTCAAGCAGTTCACAATCTATGTGGAGTGGTAACAGGGGTATATTAAAGTATTACAGCAGAGTGGGACACCAAAAATGCTTTCCAAAAAGAGTCAATGCTCGAGTTGAATCTTGAGAGAAAGACAAATCAACCAGATTAGGAGTAGGGGAGAGTGGAAAGTGTGTTAAGGGGTTGGATAGGGGTGGGAAGGGAAGAAGTGCCAGGTAAATACAACATACCTAGAGCTTCTAAAGCACCTTTCAGTTCCCTGCTCTCAAACGTAAGCACCCAGTGATTGCCGCCCTCTGAGGAAAGCTCCCAACATGAAAGACTGAGCCCCAAACATAAAAACATACCAAAAAAAAAAAAAAAAACAACTTTAAGGAGATACAAATAGGGCAAAGAGAACTCTTTAAAAATCATGATTAATATTATAACTGAGATTACGGAAGATACCATACCCATGAAACAAGAACAGAATGCTATAAAAATTTTAGAGAACGGCCAGGCGCGGTGGCTCATGCCTGTAATCCCAGCGCTTTGGGAGGCTGAGGCGGGCGGATCACGAAGTCAGGAAGATTGAGATCATCCTGGCTAACACGGTGAAACACTGTCTCTACTAAAAATACAAAAAATTAGCCGGGCATGGTGGCAGGCACCTGTAATCCCAGCTATTCAGGAGGCTGAGGCAGGAGAATGGCGTGAACCCCGGAGGCGGAGCTTGCAGTGAGCCGAGATGGCGCCACTGCACTCCAGCCTGGGCGACAGAGCGAGACTCCGTCTCAAAAAAAAAAAAAAAAAAAAAAAAAAAAAAAATTTAGAGAACAACAACAACAACAAAAGAGCCTTTGGAAATTAAAATCTTAAGAGCAAAGCCAAGAGAGTTGAGACATGAAGAGAAAAAAACTAAGGGATAAAATAATCTTACTTTTAAGATGGACAAAACTGAAATCTGTTACTATGTTAAAAATTTTAATTTCCCTTTTGAAGGTTTACAGACAGGAATTATTTCCAGTACCTAAAGCAGGTGACTGTGAGATAATTAATGATACCCTTCGGAAGAGGAGGTGCTGAAAAGAGTGAAAAGATAAAAATGAATTTTTATTCGGCAGTTTAGAAAAATTATTGTTTCCCATCCTGTGAGTGCTGTCAGTGCACAAAAATCATATGACATAAAGTAGGGAGACTCTATTCCTAGTGTTGCATGTGTTAAAGAATGTATATATATTGGAGACAGGGTCTTGCCCTCTCACTCAGGCTGGAGTACGGTGGTGCAATCATGGCTCACTCACCTCCCAGGCTCAAGCAATCCTCCTACCTCAGCCTCCCAAGTAGCTAGGATTATAGGCACACATCATGACACCTGGCTAATTTTTATTTTTTATAGAGATGGGATCTTACTATGTTGCCTAGGCTGGTGTCAAACAATCCACCCATCTCAGTCTTCCAGAGTGATGAGATTATAGGCATGAGCCACGACACCTGGCCAAGAATAATTTTTGAAAGAAAATAAAATCGTCTGGGTGCAGTGGCTTATGCCTGTAATCCCAGCACTTTGGGAGGCTGAGGCAGGCGGATCACCTGAGGTCAGGAGTTCGAGAACAGCCTGACCAACATGGAGAAACCCCGTCTCTACTAAAAAATATAAAATTAGCCAGGCGTGGTGGTGCATGCCTGTAATCCCAGCTACTTGGGAGGCTGAGGCAGGAGAATCACTTGAACCTGGAAGGCAGAAGTTGCTGCAAGCCAAGATCATGCCATTGCACTCCAGCCTGGGCAACAAGAGCGAAACTCCATCAAAAAGAAAAAAAGAAAGAAAGAGAGAGAAAGAAGGAAAGAAAGAAAGAAAAAGAAAGAAAGAAAGAGAAAGAAAGAAAGATGGAAGGAAGGAAGGAAGGAAAAGGAAAGGAAAAAAGAAAGAGAGAAAGAAGGAAAGAAAGAAAAGAAGATAAAATCATGACTTTCAAAGAAATATAAAATTAACACAAAAATTTTTTGGTTTGTTTGTTTGAGACATAGTCTCGCTCTGTTGTCCAGGCTGGAATGCAGTGGCACCATCTCGGTTCACTGCAAGCTCTGTCTCATGGGTTCACGCCATTCTCCTGCCTCAGCCTGCCGAGTAGCTGGGACTACAGGCACCTGCCACCACGCCCGGCTAATTTTTTTTTTTTTTTTGTATTTTTAGCAGAGATGGGGTTTCACCGTGTTAGCCAGGATTGTCTTGATCTCCTGACCTCGTAATCTGCCCGCCTTAGCCTCCCAAGGTGCTGGGATTACAGGCATAAGCCACCAAGCCCAGACTAAAAAATTTTATTCAACTCATTAAGAGTCAACCAATAAGAGATTACAACTGATTCTGAAGACAATTTAAAGTACCACACATTAACAGTGAGGTAAGAAATGCTGAAATGATTTTGAAAAACAGAACTTGGCAAGTGGATTTTGTTTCCCTTGATTTATAATACCTGAATCTTAAATGAAGCTATAAAGTATGTTAAAATTGTATTAGTGTTTGCACTTACAATAGAGCTGTGATTCTTAATTGTATTACCTCTATGTTTATTTTTAAACTTGTTATTGTCTATATTAGTCAGGGCTCACCAGAGAAACAGAACCAATAGGCTATATACACACATACACATATGTATAGAAAGAGATTTATTATAAGGAATTTGCTCACACAATTACAGAGGTGAGAAGTCCCACAGCCTGTGGTCTGCAAGCTAGAGACACAGGAGAGCTGCTGGTATAGTTCAAGTCTGAATCCAAAGGTCTAAGAACTAGGAGAATCCATGGTGTATATTCCAGTCTGAGTGTAGGAGAAGATTAATGTCCTAGCTCAAAAACAGTCAGGCTAAGAGAATGAATTTGCCTTTACCCCCCTTTTATTCTATTCAGGGCTCCAATAAATTGAATGAGGCCCATCCACATTTGGGAGGGTAATTTGTTTTATTCAATCTATCAATTCAATTGTTAATCTCATCCAAACATATCTTCACAGACACACAAAATAATGTTTAACCAAGTACTTGGCCCGGTCCATTTGACACATACAATTAACCATCATATTCACTTCAATTAAGTAAATACTCAAGGGTTGTTTCTCAAGTATTCATGATCCCATCTTAATTGAAAAGCCAAGGCCAGGCACAGTGGCTCATACCTGTAATCCTAGCACTCTGGGAGGTTGAGGTGGCAGATTGCTTGAGCCCAGAAGTTCAAGACCAGCCTGGGCAACATAACTCTACTAAAAATACAAAAATTAGTTGGATGTGGTGGTGCATGCCTATAGTTCCAGCTATTCGGGAGGCTGATATGGCAGGATCACCTGAACCTGGGTAGGTCAAGGCTGCAGTGAGCCATGATTGCACCACTGCACTTCAGCTGGGTGACAGAGTAAGACAGACAGACACTCAGAAAGAAAAAGAAAGAAAGAAAGAGAAAGAAAGAAAGAAAGAAAGAAAGAAAGAAAGAAAGAAAGAAAGAGAAAGAAAGAAAGAAAGAAAGAAAGAAAGAAAGAAAGAAAGAAAGAAAGAAAGAAAGAAAGAAAGAAAGAAAAGGGCAAATCTCCTTTGACAACTTTCCGATTTTTGCCTTCCCCCAAAATGGATGATCCCTTGATAAGGCTGTCAATTAGGTAAATTATTCTTCAGCTCCTTCCTGTCATATCCTAATTTGTATTTTTTCTAGTGTCACAGCCCCTCTCAAAGACCCAACACCAGAACGTGCATGGCTAATTGGCCAAGGTATTCCTTTAGCCAAGCAAAATCAAATGCTAAAGATATTTTCTTCTCATCCATCAAACCCATCTATCCTGTGTCTCCTTTCCTAGAATTTGTTATCTTTTAATCTGAAACTTATTTCATGTTACAGAATTATGTCCTTTCCCAGGTATCATTTGCATTTTAACAGTGAAAACATAATATATATTTAAATATTGAGCACATATTGAGTACAATTTTATGTTGGGCATTATGCTCTACCTCCATCATCATACATGGTCAATTTCTGGATTCAGGAAGCTTACATTCTATTACATTAAGTAAACACAATAATTGCTATAGTAACATTATAAAGTCTCCTCAGGGTACAGTGGCTCATGCCTATAATTCCAGCACTTTGGGAGGCCAAGGCAGAAGGATTGCTTGAGGCCAGTAGTTCAAGACCAGCCCAGGCAGCATAGTGTGGCCCCTTCTGTACAAACAAAACAAAAAATGAAAATTAGCTGAGCATAGTGGTATGCACCTGTAGTCCTAGCTACTCAGGAGACTGAGGTGGGAAGATCACTGAGCCCAGGAGTTACAGGCTGCAGTGAGCCAAAATCATGCCACAGCACTCCAGCCTGGGCAACAGAGCAAGATCCTGTCTCTACAAAAAAAAAAAAAAAATTAAAGTCCCAGAACTCCTTAACTTGATATTCAATTGATTTCAACAATGGTGTCAAGACAATTCAATGGGGGAAATAATAGTGTTATCAAGAAATGGTACTAGGACAACTGAATATTCACATTCAGAAGAATGAAGGAGAAGAATGAAGTTGGACCCCTACCTCACACCACACTCAAAAATTAACTAAAAATTAATCAAAGACCTAAATGTAAGAGCTAACACTATAAAACTCTTAGAAGAAACCATGAAGTAAATCTTCATTACCTTGTGTTATAGACTTAATTGTGTTCCCCTCCAACTTTGTATGTTGAAGCCTTGATTCCCAATATGACTACATTTGGAGATACGGTCTTGAAGGAGGTGATTAAAGTTAAATGAAGTCATGAAGGTAGTGCCCTTATCTAATAGGACTGACATCTTTATAAGAAGAAGAAAGGGCATGAGAGCTATCTCTCTCATCACACACACAGAGGAAAGGTCATGTGAGAAGGTAGCCATCTAGAAGTCCAAAAGAGAGGCCTTACCAGAAACCAATTCTGCTGGCACTTTAGTTCTTGGACTTTTAGCCTCCAGAACTGTGAAAAAATAAATTTCTGTTGTTTAAGCCACACAGTATTTAGTATTTTGTTGTGGCAGCCAGAGCAGACTAATATACCTTGGGTTAAGCAATGATTTAGATATACAACACCAAAAGCATATGCAACCAAAGAAAAATAGGTAAATTGGACTTCACTAAAATTAAATATTTTTGTGCTTCAAAAGATGCCATCAAGAAAGTGAAAGATAACCCAAGCAATGGGAGAAGATATTTGAAAATCATATATCTGAGAAGGGACTTGTATCCAGAATATATAAAGAACTTTTGAATAGACATTTCTCCAAAGACATACAAATGGCCACTAAATATAAGAAAAGATGCTTAACCTTCTTAAATCATTAGGGAAATGCAAATCAAAACCCTAATGAGATACCTTATCACACAATCTAAGATAGCTACAATTTTAAAAATACAATTTAAAAAATTGTTATTTAAAAATAATATAAACAACTGTTGGGGAGGATATGGAAAAATTTGAACCCTCATACACTGCTGATAGGAGTGTAAAATGGTACAGCCACTTTGGAAAACAGTTTGGCACTTAAGCATAGAGTGACTATATGACCCAGAAATTCCATCTCCAAAAGAATTGAAAACATATGTCTACACACAAACTTGTACATAAGTGTTTATACCAGCATTGTTTTTTGTTTGTTTGTTTGTTTTGTTTTGTTTTGTTTTGTTTGAGACAGGTCTTGCTCTGCTGCCCAAGCTGGAGTGCAGTGGTGCAATTTCAGGTCATTGCAGCCTCTGCCTCCCCGATTCAAGTGATTCTCCTGCCTTAGCCTCCCGAGTAGCTGGGATTACAGGTGCACACCACCATGCCTCGCTAATTTTTGTATTTTTAGTAGAGATGGGGTTTCCCTATGTTGTCTAGGCTGGTCTCGAACTCCTGACCTCAGGTGATCTGCCTGTCTCGGCCTCCCAAAGTGCTGGGATTATAAGTGTGAGCCACCGCACCTGGCTCCAGCATTGTTCATAACAGTTAAAAAGTAGAAACCTCCCCAATGTCCATCAACTGATGAGTGGATAAAAGTAATGTAGTATATCCATACAGCAGAATATTATTCAGCCATAAAAAGGGATAAAGTATTGATACATGCTAAAATATGGATGAAACTTGAAAACATTATGCTAAATGAAAGAAGCCAGTCACAAAGACCACATATTGTATGTTTCCATTTATGTGAAATGTCCAGAATAGCCAAAACTGTAGACAAAAAAAGTAAATTAGTAGTTGCCAGGGGTTAAGGGGAATGGACAATGAGGACTGACTGCTAAAGGGGTATAGGGTATTTTTTAGGAGTGATGAAATGTTCTAAAATTAGCTTGTGGTGAGAGTTGCATAACTAGGAATATACTAAAAGTCACTGAATGATACACTTTAAGTGGATGAATTTTAAGGTATGCAAAATATATCTCAATAAAGCTAAATATATGTACATACAATATGTATCATGATAATATGTAATAATAAACACACGCCTTTCTTTCTTTCTTTCTTTTTTTTGAGACAGAGTCTTGCTCTGTCACCAGGCAGGAGTGTAGTGGCGCAATCTCGGCTCACTGCAACCTCCACCTCCCGGGTTCAAGCGATTCTCCTTCCTCAGCCTCCTGAGTTGCTGGGACTACAGGTGTGCGCCACCATGCCCAGCTAATTTTTGTATTTTTAGTAGAGATGGGGTTTCACCATATTGGCCAGGCTGGTCTCAATCTCCTGACCTCATGATCTGCCCGTCTTGGCCTCCTAAAGTACTGGGATTAGAGGCCTTTAACATTTTTTTTACAATAAAAATGCATTTTGAGATTAGAAATAAAAGTTCTTTAAAATAAAAGAGAAAGAAAATATTATGGAACTATATTAATATTTAAATACCTAAAAATTTAAAAATATATAGATATAATAAAACTTCCAAAAACAAAGTTAAAAGAGGAGTCAAACTGGAAAGATATTCATAAATTATATGACAGTGGGTAAATAAGAAAAAGAATACCCCAATATAAAAGTTGGCTAAAGTAATGAACTGTGATATATATAAAAGAAGAAATGTGAAGGTATTTTTTAATAGAAAAACTACTTAACCTTGCCAGTACTCAAAGACATGAAAAAATTAAAGTAATTTACACTTTGTACTTGTTGGATGAGCAAAGATTAAAGTGAATAATCCAGAGTTGTGTGAGAGTCTGGAAAATGGATTATTTATCATGGTTTTGACAAGATAAATACAGTATAAACGGTTACAAAATTTTGGGATGGAAATTTCCAACTATATTCTGAAAGCCTTAAAATATAGCCTTTGACCAGTTGAGAATTTTTTTCTAAGAATACAATCAGATAATTGTACATAGTGTATGTTTAGCTAACAAAGATTGAAAAGATGCTTCCCTACACTACTAATCTGAGAAACTCCAATCAAAACAATATGCTATCTTTCATCCATAAGACTGTCAAAAATTATAAGTTTTTCCAATGTCAAGCACTGGCAAGATTCTGAAAATACAGATATATTTTGGTGTTTGAAAGCTAAATTGGTATACAGTAGTCCCCCTTTATCTGTGAGGGATACGTTCCAAGACCCTCAGTGGATGCCTGAAACCTTTGATCATACCAAATCCTATATATACTGTTTTTTCCTCTATGTACATACTATACAGCATGGATACACTGGACAAAGAGACAATTCATGTCTCAGGTGGGAAGGAGTGGGACAGTGCAAGATTTTATCATGCTACTCAGAACGATGCACAATTTAAAACTTAAGAATTATTTCTGGAATTTTCCATTTAATATTTTCAGACTGAGGTTGACTGTGGGTAACTGAAACCACAGAAAATGAAACCACAGATAAAGGGGAATGACTTTACTCCCTTTGGAAGACAAATTTGACACTGCCTATTAAAAAAATACTAAATATACTCTGTAACTCAATAATTCTACTTTTGGGTGTCTAACCTAGAAAAAAATATACACACTCACAAAGAAAAGCATATAAACACATGCATGTTCATGTATTATTTGTAATGGAAAAAAACAGGGGGCAGCCTAAATTTCCACATGTAAGAGACAAATAAGAGATATGAAGTCATACAATAAAGGAATGAATTACATATATGTCTAACTACATGGGAATGGATCTCAAAAAAATTTCTGAATGGGAAAAGCAAACTGCAGGATCATATTTGCAGAACAACATCACTTATGTAAAAAACACAAGGCATTAGTAAATGTTTTTGATACATATATAATATAAATGTATAAAAGTGGGTTGCACTATGTACCAACTCAGTTATTTCCTCTGAAGAGAGAAGGGAGGGGACCAGAATAGTAAGTGGTGGCCAAAGGGAATTTTCATTTTACCTGGAACAGTCTCACCTTTTTTTTAAAAAAAAGAAAAAAGAAAAAATATTTGTATATTTTTATATGTTTTAAAAGAAGAATATTTGTATATTTTTATGTATGAAAAGACTGGGAAATGATGTGTTGAAACATTGGCAGTCATTAATTCTGGGCAGTGGAAAATGAGTGTTGTTAGTTTCTGCTTCTACATTTTTGTTTATTAAAAATCCAAGCTCATCACCCAGAGATGCATATGAAGAATCTTTACCACAGCCTTGTTAATAAAAAGAAAAGGAGGCCAGATGCAGTGGCTCATGCCTATAATCCCAGCACTTTTGCTTGAGCCCAGGGGTTCGAGACCAGTCTGGGCAACACAGTGAGACCCTGTCTCTATAAAAAAAAGAAAACAAAAGAAAATTTAAAACAACTTAAAAGTTCCAAAATAGAATGTTAATTAAATTATTTTATACCATAGAAGAAACTATTATTAAAAATAATGGGCCAGGCGCGGTAGCTTACGCCTGTAATCCCAGCACTTTGGGAGGCTGAGGCGGCAGATCGTGAGGTCAGGAGATGGAGACCAGCCTGGCCAACATGGTGAAACCCTGTCTCTACTAAAATACAAAAAATTAGCCTGGCATGATGGTGCGCGCCTGTAGACCCAGCTACTTGGGAGGCTGAGGCAGGGGAATTGCTTGAACCCGGGAGGCGGAAGTTGCAGTGAGCCGAGATTTCACCTCTGCACTCCAGCCTGGTGACAGAGCAAGACTCCGTCTCAAAAATAAATAAATAAATAAATAAATAATATAGACGCAGACATTTAAAAACTAAAGCAAAGTTTAACGTAATTATTAAAGTTTAAAAAAGCAAATGCAAACAGAATTTATGTTAGGAATCCATTTTTGTGAAAAGCAAACATTTCCAAGTGATGTGCCCGTGGGTAACTTCCTTTATGCATATACTTGCAGCACATAGTTCAGACTAGCCACATTTCAAGGGCTTCTCTGAAGAGAGCCTCACTAATTAAGTAATAAAGTTAATCAAAGAAATAAACAGTCTATCGAGAATAGGGAAACAAGAGAAGTCGATATTAAACCTAGTATCACCCTAGGTGATATTCAGTGTTTTAATTTAGCTTCTGTAAATTCCTTTCATTATCATTTTAAAAACCTGTCTAGCAACGGCTTTTCCCATGGAGACACAGAATTTCATGTTGCCAAATGGAACTTTCTGATGAGCAAAAATAATCTGAGACAAAATTTCCTACTAAAATGCAAGTGATTTGTTGTGCTACCTCCTCATATGAGACAGCTGACAACACAGAGCAACAAGTTCCAGGTATAGGAACCTGAGTTCTAGTCCTCACCAGTTATTTCTAAATGACAGAGAGCCAGACCTCCTTCCCCAGAATGACCTAGAGTGCTTGTTAAAAATAAAGCTTCACATGGGGCCTGACTCTCAGGATGTGCTAGGTCCTGGCACACACAGATTCCTATGCACACTAAAATTTGAAATGCTGTGTGAAACGCCAGGCCTAGGCCCATCAAATGGGTGATGAGCATGCTAGGACATGGATCAAACTCCCTAGAATGCAGAGAATGCCTCTGATCCATCATAAAGAAAGTCTGCTTCTGACAAAGGACCCTCTTCAGTCTTAATGCACCTTAAGATGATAACAAGCATGGCTAAACGGCCTCTATGAAGACGTTTTAAATGGTTTTCCCGGCTGGGCATGGTGGCTCACACCTGTAACCCCAGAACTTTGGGAGGCCGAGGCAGGTGGATCACCTGAGGTCAGGAGTTCGAGACCAGCCTGATTAATATGATGAAACCCCGTCTCTACTAAAAATACAAAAATTAGCCAGTCATGGTAGTATGCGCCTGTAATCCCAGCTACTAGGGAGGCTGAGACAGGAGAATCGCTTGAACCTGGGAGGCCGAGGTTGTAGTGAGCCAAGATCGCGCCATTACACTCCAGCCTGGGCAACGAGAGTGAAACTCCATCTCAAAAAACAAACAAACAAAAAAAGGTTTTCACTATCCCTTTCCTGCCTGCGGCCAATTTCTGGCTATAGGAGGTGGTGATAGAACAAGAAAGTGAAGTGCTCCATCCTCAGTAAATGTGAGCAGAGGTACACACGGAGCACCCTCTGGGGTGGAATGTTCTAGACTTGCATTGCTCCCTCTGGTACCCACTGGCCACATAAAGTTATTGGGCACTTGAAATGTGGCTAGTCTGAACTGATACGTGCTACAAGTATAAAAAACAAACTGATGTTGAAGACTTAGTAAAAAAAAAAAGTGTAAATGATTTCATTATTTTAAAATTGATTGTGTGTTGAAGTAATATTGTTATGTATCTGTTTAAATATATTATTAAAATAGATTTCTTCTGTTTCTTTGTACTTTTTAAACATGACTACTAGAGAATCTTGAAGTACACATGTGGCGGCTTGTATTATATTTCTGACAGCAATCCTCTCGATTGAAAAGTAAGCAGGTGCTGCCTAGCAAAAAATATAATAGACAGTGGCCACTCCATTGCCATTTAACCTAGCCCAAACAGAAACATGGTTTGCTTTTGAAAAAGTCTCTGTCTGACTTGCACTGAAGTTGCTAAAAGATTCCCCTCCTTTTCTCTGCTGAAGTTTTCTGTGGTGAAATGAGAGATGCACTCTTATTTTTAGTTTTCAGTCTCTCAGTTCCTCAAGATTGGGGAACATGTTGCACTCTATGCACTCGTTGCATGGCTGCTCACCCACTATGCCTGTAAAATAAAGATCTGCCATACAGCAGAGACGAACCACAATGATCACCATCAGTGCACACTCTCTTCTATTGGTCCCACCAGATGGTTGCTCATCAGTATTTGTGGTTTTTCATTAGTGTTCACATTTGTAGACGAAGAATTATTGCTTGTTGATGAGAATTTATTACTAATGAGTAAATGCTGATCTACAGATGGTACTAGAATTCTGGTTAACACCGAACAATAGCGCTCAAGGCAGCTCAAGCACCAAAAGACACCTGTTTTGTAGAAAACTTGGGGAATAAGAATATATGTGTATATATATATGAATATGTATATATAACATTATTATATATAATATGTATTATATATATCTTATATATATCTTATATATATAATAATATATATGATATATCTATACATATATATACATATATGTACATATATATACATATATGTACATATATATATGTATATCTATTTGAGACAAGAGTTTCACTCTTGTTGCCCAAGCTGGAGTGCAATGGTGCAATCTTGGCTCACTGCAACCTCTGCCTCCCGGGTTCAAGCGATTCTCCTGCCTCAGCCTCCCAAGTAGCTGGGATTACAGGCAGGCACCACTGCACCCGGCTAATTTTTTGTATTTTTAATAGAAACGGGGTTTCACCATGTTAGCCAGGCTGGTCTCGAACTCCTGACCTCAGGTAATCCACGTGCCTCAGCCTTTTAAAATGCTGGGATTACAGGCATGAGCCACCACGCCAGCCAGAATATATTTAACTAGAAAAAAAGAAGCAATGAGATTAGAATTATAAATAGAATACACATTCAGTAATCATAGAGGGAAGAACTTGATCTAGGAAGGTAATAGCTGGACAGAAGGAATTTCAGATGTGAGTATGGATTTTAGAGCTAAGACGTATCTTCCAGACTGGGGAAAGCTAGAACCCACTGTGACTCTATGTGTTTAATTACATATTGAGCGCTTCTTATAAAATGATAAATAGCTTGCGCATGTACCCATACATCTGCAACATACCCCAGCACATATATGTGCACATGTGCAGTCACACACACACACAGAGGCAGAGTTCACCTGACACCACCCTCCGTTTATAGCTGGAGGCGTCACCATTCCCATAAGAACCCCTTATGGGAAATGTGAAGGTTTTCAAGTATGAATCTGAAAAAGTTTAGAGGATTGTAATGTTTAATCTTGAGACATTTGTTTTTCTGGGGCTGCTTGTACCAGTGAGCAATTATCAAAACAAGGATTAGCTAAAATCCAGCTTTTGCCAGTTCAGGAAAATCTGTGGGTCAAAGGGAGGAGTTTTTGAAAATCATAAACACATTTTGAGGGATTAAGCAATTCATTAACAATGTGCCTCTCTGTGGGACCTGCCCTGTTCCTCCCTATTCCAATATTCTTTGCTCCCAAACTCTTACTCTGTCTTGTGTGTGTGTTTTTTAAATTTCATAATATACTGCCAATTGGAGATAATCTGAATTATAAGATTCCTAAAAATAAAAATAATTCTGTGAATGTAGGGGCCATCAGTCCTTCACGTAATTGTGTACATCTGTTCAATAACACCTGAGATACTGTGCTGGAAAAATAAATGGATGGGCTGACTGCGAGGAGAAGGGAGCAAGTAATTTTTGGAATTTGTAGCACTTTAGGAATTCAGACAGACCTGCAAGGTGCCATGGTGGAGAATGCAGAGTGCCAGGAGGGAATGAGGGCCTTGTGAGAAGGCATACCAGCTACTGAGAGCAAGCCATAAAGGGAGGTGAGAGGAATGTTGAGGACAAACTCCAACTGGTTCCAGTTTTCCTAGGGCACCATCCATTGGCTTAGAAGAAGGATAATATATGCTGTTTCCTCCCTCACGCCTCTCATTCCTGCAAGGACTTCTCCCTTCCCCAACCATTCAGACCTCAGGCAAACAAGATCAATGCTATGACTCAACTCTTTTCTAGGATGCATTTGCTTTTGTTGTCTAGCCTGGAAACTTGATCACTGATCTTTTTTTTTTTTTTTTAAGAAAAAAGAGATATTCCCTAATGCAAGTGGGGGAAATGGGGACAAAACAGACTTTTAGGACAAAATAATTCTTAAGATGTAAACAACCCATCTATAGTCATGTATCGTTTAACGACAAGATATGTCCTGAGAAATACATCATTAGGCGATTTCATTGTGTGAACATCATGGAGTGTACTTATAAAAACCTAGATGATTTCGCCCACTACACACCTAGGCTATATGGTATAGCCTGTTGCTTCTAGGCATTGGGAGCACGTGACTCTGCTGTGCAGCATGTTATGGTACTGAATACCACAGGCAATTGTAATACAACAGTATGTGTGTATCTAAACACATCTAAACAGAGAAGGTACAGTATTATAATCTTATGGGATGGTATTATAATCTTATGTGATCACCATATATGGACCGTCATATAAAGTATGGTATTTGAATCTTATGGGACCATCATATAGGTGGTCTATCATTATGTGGCACATGGCTGTATATAATTTGCATCCTCTTAATTGCCTCAGACTTCTAATACAGTAGTGTTTATAACTCTTGACATAATTAACCTATGATCCCAGCATAAAGATAGTCCTTTATATAAAAACATTTCATTTCATAAAAAATTCTCTACATTGTCTTTTTAAGATTATTTTCATCATTATTTTGCAGATTCATGAAAATGTTTTTATGGATAGTATGTGGGGTCCTGTGTGGTCAGGCAGCCTCAGTGCTAGTGCAGCCATCTGGGAATTTTCTCTGTGTTCCATCTGATACCTACAGCAGTCCCAGGCTGACTTCCTTTTCTTCCTCGTTCAAAACCACTACCCACTGTGAAACCTATCACCAAATGCCTCTTTCCTGTTTGAGGGAAAATGCTCAGCTCTTGAACCCACTAAGGAACTGGGCTCTTCTCAGCTCATGATACAATATCACCCTTACTTCTGCCCAAGTTGAGTACAGTGACACATGCTTAGCATCTCCATTTCTAGAACCCAACAGCAAAATGAAATCACAAGGGAAAAATGCAGAGCATTGCATAGCAGTTATTCTCTTCTATTACAAATGTAACAAGCCTGCACCTGTACCCCCTGCATCCAAAATAAAAGTTGAAATTATTTAAATAACAACAAAAAAACAAATACAAGGAGATGGGGATGCCAGTAAGCATTTAACAACTGGATCTGTGAGGGAAGCCCTAATTTGTAGCATCTGCAGATTTCTTTGTTGGAAATACTCCCATTACGACTGATGTCTTGCTACCAGTGTGACATCACTGAATGTGAGGTTGGGGAGAGATGTACAGTAACACATCATGACAGTACTTCCAGCACTCAGATTCAGAGGGACCACAAGAGCACAAATAATAGTAAAATGAGTAACAATTAACAAGTGATGACCTTAGAGTATTTATTACCTTTGTTTTCAATATAATATAATTATGTTTATACAATTTAATTTTTAATATCAGCTGTGTTTAACAATTGGCTCACAAAATTTCCCAAATTTGACAATGGGTTTTGTGAGGCAGGGCTGTGGGTTCCCAGCATACCACCGATGTGCATCTACCTTGAGCAGGGAACTCTTCACCTGAACGTTAAGTAGGGATGTGCCTTGTGACAAGGCTTTCTGAAATGATGGCTGTAAGGATCTGCCACAAGTGAATTGGGACACAATCAAACACTTAAAATCCTATGTTCATCTCTGATACGTCTGGGTTTTTGTTAGAGATTCCCATCCTAGCATTGACCTTACTCAAAGCTGCTCAACTTGCAAATTCTAGCGTGCTTGTAGCCAGAGGTAGTGTAGCTTCAAGCATAGTTAACTTACATGCCTAAGTCAAGAGGGAGTTGACCCTGTTATTCAGAATCACTGTTACACGTGTGTGAAAAGTAATGGGGTTATATTTTGCTTGCGTTAACTATGTTTAGATTTAAATGAGTATAATTTTCTAAAACAATAACATAAATCCCAGAGAAGAAAACCTGTCACTCGCAAGAAAGCAAAGCCAGAAAGAAGCATTCCAATATCTCCCTTTCCCCTTTAACTGGGTGGTTAGTCTTCTGACAACCCAAAATATTATTTTAGGAGCTTGAGACACAGGGAGAGGGCACAGACAACCCGAGAGAAAAGGTTACAATCACAGTTTGGTGAAGAGAAAATACTCTCAAAGATAATATGCCATGACATATTGTACTGAAGTGTGGCTTTCCATGAGAAATTCCACATCACAAGGTTCTCATGTAATACAGGACTAAAGTCATCCCTAATCTTAAAATCCAATGTCTAAGTGCTAGCACAACCTGCTGTGAAAGAAGCCTCTTAAATAAATCCTACACGCTGTAATATTTCTGCCACGAAACAGAACACGTGTGCCAGGATAACTCCCGGCAAAGAAAGTTACAGAAACCAAAAGAGTAAACAGAATTCTTTCTGTCCACTCAGCCCATCTTTTACTTGTAGACAAGGTTTTGCCACACATGGACTGCCCATTTTAGGGTTAAAGAGCCCATGCAGAGATTTGACCTTTAAAGAGAAAAAGAAAATGAAAATTGTATGACACCCTCAATAGGGGATATTTTGAAAGCTAACTTGGGATGGTTTGTCTAAAATGTATGACCAGGGAATTTTTACCAATGGAAGGTCGGCAGAGTCTTCATCTGAGAATTCCTGATCAAGAGTGACAGGGCTGGATACCTAGAGGCAAGACCTCAGCCTTCACACCCCAAAACAGCACCATGGCTTCCACATAACTCAGGAAACACCCTCTGTTTTTTATTTCCATTATTTTTGAAAAGTTTCAGGTTGCTATATTCAGTTTTTTGATCCTATCTATATTTCCTAATCAGATGTTCAACAGCTTTAACATCTATGTGACTATGACATGCAAAACACTGGTGCTGAGACCTAGAAAGTCAGTTTTCCCTTATTTGTGTTTACTGAGTATTATGGGTTGAATTGTATTCCCCCACACTCAATTCATATGTTGACTCATATGCTGAAGTCTTAATCCCCAGGATCTTAGAGTGTGACTTTATTTGGAAAAAGGGTCTTTGCAGAGGCAGTCAAATTAAAGTGAGGTCATTAGGGTGGGTCTTTTGCTGTTTTTTTGATTTGGTTTGGTTTGGTTTGGTTTTTTCTTGAGACGGGGTTTACTGCATCACCCAGGCTGGAGTGCAGTGGCATGATCTCAGCTCCCTGCAGCCTCAACCTCCCAGGCTCAAGTGATCCTCCCACCTCCGTCTCCCAAATAGCTGGGACCACAAGCATGACCACCAAACGTGACTAATTTTTGTATTTTTTGTAGAGACGGGGTCTTGCTATGTTGCCCAGGCTAGTCTTGAACTTCTGAACTCAAGCAATTCTCCCGCCTCGGCCTCCCAAAGCACTGGGACTACAGGCATGGACCACTGCCCCTGGCCAGGGTGGGTCTTAATCCAATATGACTGGTATCTTTATAAAAAGGGTAAATTTGGTCACAGAGATAGACATGCATAGAAGGAGGATAATAGAAAGTAGATGGCCATCTACAAGCCAAGGAGAGAGGCCTGGAACACATCCTTCCCCTACAGCCCTCAGAAGGAACCAACCCTACAGACAGGGCTTGATTTTGGACTTGTAGCCCCCAGAACTGTGAGACAATACATTTCTGTGGTACTTTGTTACAGCAGCCCTAGCAAACCAATACACCTAACATATGCTATAGAGCCACATTGTTCTTCCACGTCACAGTGGATGGCGAGCCCTGGGGCCACATCTCCTTCCTTGAGCTGTTTGCAGACGGTTCCAGAGATAGCAGACAACTTTTGTATTCTGACTATTATGGGTTGAACTGTATTCCCCCACACCCAATTCATATGTTGATTCATATGCTGGAGTCCTAACCCCCTAGATCTTTGACCACTGGAGAGAAAAGAAGTATTCCTGCTTTCACAGAATTATTCCAGGGGTTTTATGCCAGGGTGGTGACTTCATATGCCATAGTGGTACTGACACAAGTCCATCTACGGGGAGAAATTTGAGGATGAGAACTTCATCCTGACACATACAGGTCCTGGCATCTTGTCCATGGCAAATTCTGAACCCAACATCAACAGTTCCAGTCTATCATCTGCACAGCTGGGCCTGAGTGGTTGGATGGCAAGCATGTGGTTTTTTGGCAAGGTAAAGACAGAAGGAATATCTTGGAAGGCACAGAGTGCTTTGGGTCCAGAAATGGCAAGACCAACAAGAAGATCGCCATTGCTAACTGTGGACAACTCTAATAAATTTGGCTTGTGTTTTATCTTAGCCACCACACTGTTCTTTCTGTAGCTCAAGAGAGTATCCCTCCATCCCATCTGTTTGCAATGTCCATTATCTTTGTGCTCTTGTTGCAATTCTTTGGGTTCCATATTTTCCTTATTCTCTAAGTCTAGCTGGATTACAGAGTTAAGTTTATAATTATGAAATAAAAAATAAATAACAAGAACAAATGGTTATCTTCCCAAAATAAAATATCACATAGCACTCAAAATGCTAATGATGTAAAAAAATCCAATGAGAGGGAAGATGGTGGGGAGTGGAGGGAGAAATGTTAATATTTCTCCCTCGTTTGTTGGCTCATGGGTGATTTTTATGGCCTTAAGTAGCAATATTTTCTAAATTCTTTACAAAAGACATGAATAACCATTATAATTAGAAAAATATATTAAAAAACTTGGGTACCAGAATACATAAAACAATTTCTTATGGGAATGATCTTGAGATAATTTGGCCTAGTATTTAATTCATATAAATATTTTATTTTAATATGTATATACATAAGTGGACACAAATCTTAAGTGTACAGCATGATAAATTTTCACAAAATAAAGTAGCCACATAAACAGCACCCAGATAAAAAATACCAGCATCCCAGAGACCTCTCATGTTCTCTTCTATTACTATCCCCTAAAGGTAACTGTTACTCTGTCTTCTAACACTATCAATGGCTTTACCTCTTTAAAAAAATGTTACATAAGTGGAATCATACAGTATATACTCTTTTTACTCAGTGTTTTTTGGTGCGGTTCCTCCTATTTTCACACGTAGACATAGCTTGTTAATTCTCATAGCCAGATAGCACGGGTTGGCAAACTATGGCTTACAGGCTTACAGGCCAGCTGACTGTTTTGTAAATAAAGCTTTATTGGAACACAGCCATACTCATTCCTTTATGTCTACGACTGCTTTCATGCTACAATGGCAGCACTGAGTAACTGTAACAGAGATCATATGGCCCTCAAAGCCTAAAATATTTACTATCTGGCCCCTTACAGAAAAAAGTTTGCCAACCCCTGCGATATAGTATTATGTGCCTATGCCACAATCTATTTATCCACTGTACCGTTGATGAGCAACTGTGTTGATTTTAGTTTGGGGCTATCATGGAGTTGCCAGATTTAGCAAATAAAAATACCTAATGTCTCCTTAAATTTGAATTTCAGACAAACAATAAATATTTTTAGTGTAAGTATATCCCAAATATTGTATGGCAACCCTAGGCTATATGAATACATGTATGAATATATGAATAGCATAACTATGAACATTTGAATAGGTAACTTTTGGTGAACACATATACACAACTCTGTTAGGTATATTGCTAGCAGTGAAATTGCTCAGCCATAAAGGATGTGTATGCTCATGCTTAGCAAATACTAATAAAGATTTTTCCAAAGCAGTTTTACCAGTTTACAGTTTCACTAGCAGTGTAAGATTTGTTTCTTATCTTTGGCAATGCTTAGTATAGTTGGTCCTTTTAATTTTAACCAATGTGATGGGTATGTAGTGGTATCCCATTATAGTCTTAATTTATATTTTCCTGCTGACAAATGAATTTAAGCATTAGTTGGGCTGTCTTTTTCGTGATGGCCAGTGATTTATTATATGTTCTAGCTTCAGTTGGTGAACTAGAACAATTATATATCCTTTCTCTTTGTCTCTTCATTTTCTCTCTCTTCAGAATTTGACTTGGGGAAGAAGAAGAAAAGAAGGTGGATTTCAGCATGAAAGAATCTAAACAGTCATTAGTGAACAAATGTGTAGCAGTGCTGTCCAACAGAACTTTCTGAAGAAGTAATGGGAATACTCTGTATCTGTGATGTCCTGTATGGTAGCCACTGGCCTCACACAGCTCTTGAGCACTTGAAATGTGGCTACTGTGACTGAGTAATTGAGTTTTAAAATTTCATCAATTTTAATTAATTGAAATTTAAATAGCCACATGAGGCCAGTGACTACAGAATTGAACAGCACAGGTCTCACAGATGGACTAAGAGTAAGCCAGTTACGAAGAAGCTTATACAGGAAGACCGGCTAAAATATGTCAAAGGAGAGTTTCTCTTTCTGAACTCCGAGGAGCTGTTCAAATAAGACTGGTCTGGAGAGAGTTTTGGGTGGCTGGAGGTATTTTCACCCCTCCACTTACTGTGCCTAACCTTAGTATTGTTGCCATTCTCACGTTTCTGTATGACTCCATCTCCCTTGTTCTGTTCCGATGCCGCTTTTTCAGTTTTTCTGAGCTCTCAATTAAACACAGTGAAATGAATCTCCTCCAAGTGCCTTTTTAGTGACTAAACTGAATAGTTGGCTCAGAATGCTACAAAGTCCTCTCCCTCAGGAAGAACCAAGTTTTACCATTAAGATCCTGATAGATTTACCAGCTTTAACTGACACCTCTTGGGGTGGCTTCCAGATTCACACTTTCTCCTTTTTGAGAAGACTCCCAGACACACGGGGATAGGTCCTGAGTGATCATATTTGAGCCACACAATCTTGTTACGCTTGCTGTAGATCCATGGTTCAAAAACATTCAAGTGTGTCTGACTCAGCTGGAGGACTTGTGAAGACACATGTGGTGGGACCCATCCCTAAAGCTTCTTTTCCAGTAGGTGTGTAGGTGTGGCCCAAGTATCTGCATATCTAACAAGTTCTCAGGTGATACTGATGTTGCTGGTCTGGGGATTGTACTTTAAGATAATTAAGTCAGGGACTGTTGCCTGACATAGGACAATAAGCTTCTCTCAGGAATTTGAAATTTGGAACAAAGAGCTCGGAGTCTTAGTGCTAGTAGACCAGTGCTCTGGAGAGGTCTGAAAACTACCACTGCTTAGGTTCCTAGTTTGTCCAGTTCCTGTTTGTCTTGAGCCTTGGTTGTCTAATCCTTTGAATAAATCCCATTACATTCTTTGTTTTGCATAAACTGGCCATAGAAAGTTCTTGTTGTCTGCCCCTAAAAGAACTTTAACTAAAGTGTGAGTATGTCAGTTAAAGTGTTCCACCAAAAAAACAGAAACGATTCTAAGTAGTATTTAAAACAGAGATAATGTGGTCCAGAGAATTGGCCATACTGTGATAGAAGATCTGTGAAGCCAAACACCCAACGCAGAGATTAGCAACAGCAGGAAGCTATCTCTACCGCTAGGCAAGAGGGACAAAGGGAGAAGGTGGTGTTACAAGGCCAGGGTGACCTGGAAGAAGCTGGAACCATGACAGACCAGTCCAACAAGGAAAATGCTGCTGCCACTGCCAGAAACATCACCCAATGCACCTCTGAGGAAGTGAAGAAATTCCCTAGCTTCTCTCTTCCTCCTGCCTACAATCCCCCAGCAGTGCCTCTCCATGCTGGGAAGCTTGGGAAAAGCTCCCTATGTTACTGAGGACAGCAGGGGATCCTGAGGAAGAACATATAGATCTGAGAACAAGTCAAGGACTGGCACTGTTCAACCCTGAATTTCTCATTTTAGTCTTCAAAGTACATTTTGCCTACTTACCAATTAGAGTGAGATAATATGTGCATGCTATATTCTTTCTAATAGTCTCTGTTAAGAATAAGAATTTTTAATTTAAATGGGTTTTTATTACCTTGTTCCATAATTAGGCCTGACATTTCTGAGATAATCTTTTGGGAAAAATTGCAAATGATATCAAGAACTAACATTTGTATAGTGCTTTTCAGTTTGAAAAATATTTTTACATGCTTCATTTAATTTAATCCTCAAAAACCTCATGAAATATATATTATTATTAACCCTATTTTATAAATAAGGAAACTGAGGCTCAGAGAGAATAAATAACACAAATATGCAAAGTAACATGGATCACAAATAATGGAATGGCACAATCCCAAACCTGGGCTTAGCATACAACCTTGATTGTTGCAAAACACCAAGCTATTGCATGAAAGTACACGCAAGGCTACACACTTTCATTTCTTTCTCTCTGTTGATAACTCATTTCCTCCTTTATCTAAAATCCAGTATCTAGAGTAAAACCTTATAACCAGCACTGAGAGAGGTGATTTTAAAAGATCATCAAAATGCTTCGTGGTGCCTTCTCCTCATCCCCTACCTGTATAGACTGTCAAATCTGTTCTTAGTGGTCTCACAGGTTCCTAATTAATAGGCCACGATTATGGGATGAGGCAGGGCTTTTCATAAGGTCTTCAGAACAGCAGCAGTTATGTAAAATGAAAAGATAGAAAGTAAAGAAACCCATTTTGACTGAGAATATCAATTAGCTAGACAGAGTGGGTGTTTTTGATGATTTATGAGACTACTTGGCCACCTAGAAAAAATTAAATGCAAACATACACAATGATTGTGTATGAAAGTGAGTGAGAGAGAGTGTGTGTGTGAGTTTCCTTCTGTCTCCAAAGAAGTGGTTAAGCCTCCTCTGCTGCTAGTTCTACAGACTGTATTTCTCATGTTAAAGAGCCATCTTTGTTTCCCTTGGTTACCAATGAAACTGTGCAGGGATCAGTTCAAATCCATCACCACTTGCAGATAATTTTTCCAAACACAATGCCCTCTTTCTACATCTATTATCTATATTTATAGCTATTAGATAGGAAGAGCAGTTCACATGTGCATTTCTCCACATTTATGTGCTTACAGTCTATTGTGTATGCTGTCCTTTATATGGAGATGACTATGTCACATGGCACATCCCTATAATATTGTTAAAGAGAATGGAATTTTTGTTTTCAGACAGACTGCATCTTCTCCTTCATTACTGAAGAGCCAAGAGAACTTGTTGTAAGGTGATTTCTCCATTAAAATTACTCCTCAGAGTGTGCCTCAGTAACATACTTTTATCTACAAGGATAAGCCCTGTCTTAACAGAAAGGCTCCACATTCAATTTATTGACTCAATAAATTTCAGGCTCACTGATTATGTTTCAGTCTAAAAGCTTTACACAGTTATAAAATTAGAAGAGCCTTTAGAATCATCCCAGGTCAAGTTTCTCTCTGAATATTTTTCCACCATGAACTGCGTTACATTAAGTCTACCCATTAGTTAGAATATCAGTGATTATATCCTTGATCTGATGGCCAGGGGAAAATTTATATTGTCAGAGTTCATTTTAGATAATATTTGAAATGGAAGAAGTAGCTGAGGACAGAAGAGCAACATTCAAAGCTATCTTCTTTCGGGGGAGAAAAGTGGGTCTTGTCTATAAAGAACAGGCTTGTTAAAAGAACATCAGAATTCATCGCTAAACATCTCTCTGAGCAAAACAAAGCATTTCCTCTCCCCTGAGATCCTCAACTAATTTCATAAATATTTTTTCACTTGAACCCAACTTAGTGTTGCAGAATGAAAGGAGAAAATAAATGATAAGAGTTCCACCAACACTTCAGTAGGGAGTTGTCTGAAATCTTAATTGTGAACCTTTTTTTCACAAGATGCACAGTCTTCTAGAGATTTTGCTAGTGGAACGGGTGTGTGAGCTGATCATTATATGGAATTGAGACACATCAAATGCCATTAAAATTTACATTTACAACTCGAGTAACTAAATGCATTGATTCTTTTCATATTAAAAGACACTTGGTATTCACTGAATAATGAAAAATGCCACGGAAAAAATTATGTATTAACAATACAACCTGCCTAAAGGGTCAGAATTCTGCTACACACCTTTTGCTTACCTTTAAATAAATATTTAGGTGTGTTAAGAGCAGGGCAATTCTTGAACGGCACGATGTTGTTTGGTTTAATGTCTTTATAAAAATATTTGAAAAGGTATGGAAAATGAGGTGAGAGTGTTGTGGATTTAAAAACATGTGTATACATAGATACACAATTATTAAAACTTTAGACAAGGACGTTTTCTTCCTGGGAGTGGAGAGCCACCAGCGCGGGAAGTCTGCTGCAGGGATGAACAAAAGCATGGCTGCACGATAGTATTATCTTTGCAGCAGCAGCAGGCGCCCTGACGGAGGGTTGCGGCGACTGTCTAGTCTATCACACCGCACTTCTGGTAGTGACAACCTCCGTTATTCTGTCAGCTCAGCCGACTAAGTGGTTCCCCGCGTTCTGCCTGGTCACCTTGTCTCCGTTAAACGGGAAGCAGAAAAGAGAAAGGTGAATTGAGGGGGTACAAGGAGATTCCTCCGCCTTGGGACCGGCGTCGCCCCATCCTCTGGAAGTGTTGAGCGGGGAGAATTCGAGGACCGTATTTAACCCAGAAAACAGTAAGCCCTCTGAATTAGCTGCTACGCCTGGGGAAGGCAGAAAAGTCTTAATCGTCCCTTCCCAGCAGGGACCAAGAAAGACCAGTTAGAGCGAGCCTGGCCGGACCACGCGAGCCCCGGACCTCTCCGATCCTTCAGAGCCCGCGCCGGGCAAAGTAGAGGTCAAGTCAACACACACGACCGCAGGGCAGCCCTCCCACTCTCCCGTGCGGTCCGCAGCTCGGCTTCGGAACGACCACCGCTAACACTGCAAGGCTGTAAGGCTGGGAGGGGGCGGGTCCTGAAGGGGGCGGGAATAAGAGGCGGGGCAGAAGGGCGGAGGAGTGTGTCGGGAGATGTAGTTCCGCGAGTCCCGACAGCAAAGCTGTCCCGGCTCCGCTAATAGATTGGGACCACTACTCCCAGGAGTCTGCGCGCCCGACCGGAGCGTCCATGCGCAGTGGGAGCCACTTTGTATCCTATCAGGCGAGGAGAGGGTGATGTCACCTGCGAGTTAGTAACCTACGAGCGGCTGTGAAGGAAACTGTTTAACCGGATCCCATTGTACCCAGAGTGCAGAGCCGCCTTTCCAGCATGCAGGGGCTGCTCAGGTAAGGGGGACGCTCCTCCTTGCCCGCCGCACTCATTCATTAAGTGGCACTGCTCAGTGGTGCGGGGGTGGGCGTGCTTCCGTGGGCTGGGCGCTGGGTTCGCGGCGCGCCCTCCTGCTGCCTCCCCGGAGCTCCCGGGCCAGTAGGTAAATATTAAACCCGTCCTTCAGGTTGGGTCTGGGTGGGAACGGGACCGAGACAGCTCTCGGCTGCCTAGCTGGGGGTGGGAAAATGGCTGCAGCGCAACGCAAACCGAGGCAGCAGGGAGGAAGACGCCCCCAAGGACTGGGGTCCCTCCCTTTCTTTCTAAGGCGCCCGGCTGGCCGAGGAGCTGGCGGGGTAACACTCGCCGCCTTGCTGAAGGCTCCCCGGGGCTGGGGCCGCGGGTACTGCAGCGGCGTCCGCGAGCTCCCGGCCCGGCGGCTCCGAGAGGGAGAACCCCGAGGCAGGCTTGGTGGACACGGCGGTGGCGACAGGGAAGGAGGGACTCGTGTACCCGTTCGCGTCCGAGCAGAGCCCCCAGTGCCCCTGGCACCCTCACTTCCAGCCCCATTCGAAAGGGACGGAGCGCCTGTAATTCAGACTAAGTTGGACCTAAATGTTTCAAAACAGAGAGAAGGGAAATCGGGCGTTGCGGAGGGAGAGCAGGGTGTTGGCGGCCGGGGAGGCTGCGCCGCCTGCGGACCCGGTTGTGAGGCACCGCAGAGGGCTTTTGCCGCCCGTCCCTCTCGGGAGGGCGCATCTCAGTCTCCACGGTCCCTTGGTGTAGAGCACCTGGGCTGGGGCGAAGCGCCTGCCCTGAAGCCCTGGGCCAGGAGGTGGTAGCGCGGGGGTGGAGGTGTCGGATAATCTAATGATTAGGCTCGCTGTGGGGCAGGAGGGCTGGATAATCGGGTTTACCCAGCTGGTTCTGAAAGCCAACTGCTTGTGATCGGCTTGCCCTCTGAGTGGAGACGTGCAGGAGGCCCAGAGCTCTCAGTCCTCTGGATGTTCTTTGCCTTTCCTAGTACCTTCATTTGTTCGTTTACTCATTCATCAAACCCTGCTAAGGTCTCAAGTTGTTCACGGCCTGGCTTTGCGGAGCTACCTCTCGCCCCATAACATATTTAGTGATGCCTGAACTCCATTCCCCTCTCCTTCATCTCCACTTTCTGGAGAGCATCAAGAGCAAATGCCACCGTGACCGTTTTGCTGGTAGTTTCTTGAGATTCGAGCAGGACCCAGTGAATCGAAGCGGAGTTGCCTGCAAGATGAATCCCGTTGCCATGGCGACTCCTGCCTTCGGAATCTTAGCCGCTGCCACTGCTGTTTCGATTCGATGTGGCTCTGCGGGCAGCTGGGAGGGAGTGGCTAGTGGGTGTGGTCAAACGCTCGCCCTGGCCCAGCTGCTCTCTCCTCCTCGCCCCTTTCACAGCCCCGGGACTCTCCCCTTTCTCTCCTAAATAGCTTGGACACAGTTCTAAACCCCTTTCCCTTCCCCGTGCCACACCTCATCACGCCACCTCTCTCCCTGAAACTAATTGTTTGGCGCCTTTTTCCTGAGGCAAACTCTGAAAATTATAATTTGAAAAATCTCTTCCCCCTTTCGGGCTAGCCGCATCATTTCCCCAATAAGGTAGTTTATGGTGTTGGAGGCAGCTTTGTCATGAAAGGCGCCCTCCCCTGTTGTGCATAAAGAGAGCTCTCTGGTCACCAGCAAAGGCCCTCAATTTGCTCTAGGTGCAGCTGATTGGAAGTGATTAGGGACAATTAATAACGGCTGGAAGACACTGCAGTCCCTTGTGGTTCTCATAAAATCTAAAGCCAGGCTAGAGGGCGCAGGTCCTTGAGGGTGAAGCATGCAGGGCCATAACCAGGAGCCTTGGGTCCTACTCTGGCTCTGTCAGTCACTGGCTACTCCACGTTGGGATTAACCCTTTACCTCTGGGAACCTCAGTCTTCTCTTTGGTAATGTGAGGAAAGGGTAGAGAGGGTTTCCTAACGTTAATTCTAGGCGCAATGGCCTATGATTCCAAGATAGACTTGGTCATTGTCCTTTTTCGTCCCCGACCCCAAAGTAATCTGAAGTTAAGGGTTTAAACTTGGCTTCTGATACTGTGCCGTCAGGTTATATGGACAAGGCAGCTATGTGACTATTTATAATACTGTTTATACTACCACTACTATTATTCCAGTATCTGGACCCTTCTAATTATACTTTAGTATTATAACTAATTGTTTAGGTTTTGCCTTTTTATAGATTCCTAATGAATGCAGTTATTTGTAATTGCATTAAGTGTAATTGACATATAAATATTTTGTTTCCCCTCTGCTTGCATTTTATACCAATGTGCATTATCACAGATGTTGCAATTATGGGGGAAAGTGTGTATATGAGAGTGTCTGTGCATGTGTATCCATAGTCAGGTAAATGCTTGGGATTGCTGTGTGCTTGGTGGTTGACACTTACGATCTTATTTTAAGTAGGTAGCTACATCCCCATGAGGAAACAGGATCAGAAGTTGTCACTTTTTTCCTGGAACTTACCATTAAATGAAAATTTCCTTCATTCTTCTGCTTGTCTACCCTACTAGATTATAAGCTCCTTGAGGGCAGTGTCTTTGTTTTGTCCTTTTCTGTCCCCCCAGCATTTAGAGCAGTTTGTTCATTTGTAGGTCTTTAATAAATATATGTTAAACGAATATTAAGTAGCAGAACTATGATTGGAGATCCAAGGTCTATTATTTCCACTGATAGTTCTGTCATCCGTGGTAATATTCCCCTTAGCTTTTCTATCAAGCAGTTTCATTTCATCATAAACCAAAACTTGTCTGGCATAAAAGGCCTTCTATGTATTTGAAATAGACATATTTCCTAATTATTTGCTTTTAGAATACATTCACTCACATCGACTGTTTCTTTGTAGTTACAATTTCTTATTACCCCTGAACCAGGCATTTCTAGATTTCTCTCAGTTGCACTATCCTTGGCCCAGATAATCTTCCCAGGAGGTGTGTGACACGTGAATAGGGAGAGACACCAAGAGAAAGATACCCAGAAGCCTTTGCCAGGCCACCAGTGTCTCCCAGAAGAGCTGGGAGACAATAGTCCTCTCACCTGAGGCAGAGCCGTTCCGTAAACAGGATCAGTTGTTTCAGGCTGGTTGATGTGAAAGAAATGTGAAAGAACATTTGCCCAATATTTGTAACATGTTACCATCCAGTAGTCTGATTCTGTGGGTTTTCAGGAGCATAAATTAGTAAATTAGTGAGGAGGTGTGATAATGAAGAGGGTGTGGTGGGTCACATCCTTGGGTGGTGCTTACAGGAGCTCCATGAATAGGTGCTAAGGAATTTGAATCCTGGCTTTCTTGTTTTGTGGACATGTTCTGCTTGTTAAGGGGTGTGTGTGTGTGTGTGTGTGTGTGTGTGTGTGTGTGTGTGTGTGGTTTTGAGCTACTTTGTTTAAAAGGCTGCTTTTAGTGTTGGCACTATGGTCCTTAAAACAAATAAGGTGTTTACAAGCAAAAGTTCTGATTGAAAGTGTTTCATTTTGTAAATATTTGGGAGATGGCATAAAGAGAAACTTGAGGTCTTGTGTGAAAACACTTTAAAGTTGCAGCTGTTGGACCAGAGGAAACATGCTTTTCCAACAAAGCTTGGTATCCTTGAGTGCCCTAGGTGTTTGGTTCAGGAAATAATCACAGAGCTTGTAACTGCTGTGGGGCCCTCCCTGGCTTCAAGCCGTGCTCTGGTATTTCCAGTGTTAAGTCTATCCTTATATTGCCGGAAACAAAGCAAGGTGTCCAACTTGGGTTAGCAAACTTGTTTTCTCTCTAGAGGGGACACCAGTCAAAATAGAAGTTCTATATTCTGTTGTGATTTTTTCCTCTTTGGATGAGGAATATGGTGACTTATTTTGGTATTACAATTTCTAACTTGGTAATAGAGGTAATATTCTAAGTGAATACCAATCTTAAGTACGCACAGCATCTGTTGTAGTGGTTTCAAGACCTCAAAGTTTAGGCCGGGCGCGGTGGCTCAAGCCTGTAATCCCAGCACTTTGGGAGGCCAAGTCGGGAGGATCATGAGGTCAGGACATCGAGACCATCCTGGCTAACACGGGGAAACCCCGTCTCTACTAAAAATACAAAAAATTAGCCGGGTGTGGTGGCGGGTGCCTGTAGTCCCAGTTACTCAGGAGGCTGAGGCAGGAGAATGTCCTGAACCAGGGAGGCGGAGCTTGCAGTGAACGGAGATTGCGCCACTGAACTCCAGCCTGGACTACAGAGCGAGACTCCGTCTCAAAACAACAACAACAACAACAACAACAAAACCCTCAAAGTTTAGAGGAAATTGATTGCACAGGTACTATTTAAGAAACTGGTACTGAGAGCATTTTCTCTATTTCTGTATGTGGCTTGGAGGTAATGTCTGGTTGACAGATCAGGCTAGGGTGGATGATACCCCTCTTGAAGATGCATTCACTTAGCAAGTGTACTGTCTTTTATGTAGATTATATTATTTAGAGTGGCTGAGGCTGCTGATAGAGACCAGCGTTGAAGTGTGGATCTGAAGTTCACCCCCTTTCTCTGAGCTGTCACCTTGTTTGTAGCCCCACTGAAACAGGGACAGACGAACATGAGATTCAAGTTGATTTTAGTGACCTATATTTCATCCAGCAGATTTTTTTTTTCAGAAATAAAAGGTTACCTTTTAATTTTTTAGTATCCTTTCCACTGTTCTAGGAGCAGGGGGAGAACAGAGCATTTCAGGGAGAGTTTGCATTCATAGTCCACAAGTTTGCATACATAGAACATGTGTCTAAAAATGAACTGAATGTTAAGTCCTAGAAGCACAGCAACAAGTGTGCAGAGCCTTCCCCATCACTCCCAATTAATCTGGGGTTACCAAATACACCCTCAGCTTTGGTGAGCTTGTTTTCCTCATTGATGTTTAAGCGTTCCTGGTTTTTACTCTGTCTGTGACTTTCTGCAGTAATGGCTGTCCACGTCTGGAATGTGCTTCCCTCTGAGTGTCTGGATTATCTTGTGCTTTCATATCTAGCTCAGGTGCCACAGCTTCCACGAAGCCTTCCCTGCCCTTCCTCCTTAAAGCACTTAGCTTGACCACACAACACTTACAGCTAATTTGATACCGATATTGTATGTGAGGTGCCTACCTCATGCCAAGCCCTTTCTAATACTTTCCATGGGCTACGTCATTGACTGCACATAATTATACAAGATAGATACTTTTATTGCCATGTTCTAGATGAGGAAACTGAGGCACAGAGAAGTTAAAGAACTTGCCTAGCTTAGGCCACACAGCCTGTAAGTGGCAGACCAGGTTAGGGACTCAAGCAGTCTAGTTCTTTATACATCCTGATGTTGCCTGGTTTCTGACTTTCCGGCACGTTATTCTTTTCTCTGCAACTCGAGTTGGGGTAATCACAGCTTCCTTTGAGTCTCTTAATTCTCAGACAGTGCTGGGTCAGTAAGTCCTGGATTAATTGAGAGTAAAATGACTTCTTCATGTCACAGGTTCTTACAGCCTGATTTTCTGGAACAGAAAATGTTGTGTGAGATTAAAAATGTTGTTTTTGAGTATTTAAATGATAAAACTTTGGAGCTCTCCTTTGCTGTATGAACGATAGACAAATTATTTGAAAAAGGAAATGCTCTTATATTACAACTCTAAATCTGTTTGGAGCCTGTCCAGCATTAGACCTTATTTGTTAAGTGAGGTAACTTTTCACTGGGTTGAATCCCTCATCTGATAAAAGATCTTCTCACCCTGAACAGGGCCACAGAAGCCTGTGTTGAGAGTTAAGAGGGCCCATAATTTCTCAGCCTCCCTCTTCCCTGTAGTCTTTTAACATACATTGTGAAAGCTCTTTTGAAAAGAAAATAATGAACACTTGAGCAGTAGTCAAACATGTAATCTAATATTGGATAGCCTTAGATATTAAAATAAACTTTTTCCCCCCACCTCAGAAGAGATACTTTTATTTATTTTTACAGTGGAGCAAATTTGGTGCCAAATAAACAATTTCTATTCTTTTAAACCATAGCCACAGTTGTGAATTAAATGGGGAAAACCAGGGAAGCAAGTTCAATTTCCAATGCAGTTGGTGCGATTTCGTGACTTACAATAGATCTTTTCCTTTTGGCTTAAAACTAGATATTGTGCCACTTAGACAATATTTAATGAAGACAATTGACTAAAACACAAGGAAATAATAGGAAAGCTATGCCTTAACGGCATATTGCCAGGAAGGGAAACATGAAAACAAAAGGCTTGTTAGCCATTAGGCTACACAATCATAAAATTTTTTGAACAGACATTGATTTCAGAAGGTTTTTCTTTTTTCTTAATCATTCATCTTGTTATACTTTTTTTTTTTTTTTTTTTTTTGAGACAATCTTGCTCTGTCGCCCAGGCTGGAGTGCAGTGGTGCGATCTCAGCTCACTGCAAGCTCCGCCTCCCAGGTTCACGCCATTCTCCTGCCTCAGCCTCCTGAGTAGCTGGGACTACAGGTGTCCACCACCACGCCCAGCTAATTTTTTGTATTTTTAGTAGAGATGGGGTTTCACCGTGTTAGCCAGGATGGTCTCAATCTCCTGATCTCGTGATCCGCCTGCCTCGGCCTCCCAAAGAGCTGGGATTACAGGCGTGAGCCACCGCGCCTGGCCTCATCTTGTTATACTTTTTAAGTATGTCATTCACCTTTAGTAATAACCTGGGTTTATTCTGTTCTATAAATTACACCAGGATTGGGGTTTTAAGGCTACCTGTATTTCTGCTGGCACACAATTAAGGTCACCTATTAAACTGGTCTTTGTCATTTTTATGTCTAAAAAAAATACCTGCAGTGTGATTGGAAAATGTTGCCTATCTGATAGACTTCCTGAATTTAGGCTTACAAGAGTAGATAGCCCAGATCCTAGCTTTGGGCATTGTTGGGGTAATACAGATGCCCATCTTTTATTTTCTGAGATAGGTTCTTATATTCTGGCTTGTTGGCTAGCTCAGTTTGTTAGTGACATACAAACCAGGTCAAGGGCATGGGTTAGCTTTGCCTTGTTTTGGAGCCACAAACTGTACCTGTAATTCTAGTCAGATTTTTTCTGTATCTTTTTTTTTTTTAAATTAATCATGCTTTTGGGGACTAGACTGTACATTGTGGACATATCAGTGCACAGCTATCACTACTAAGGGCAAAAAAAGGTGCCATATTTTAAAGCGAACTGGTAGGAAAACCCTGTAAGTGAGAGGCAAGACTGCCAGCAGCTTGCTAAGGAACCGTATGCTTCTGACAGTTGTCCTCCTGTGAAGATTAGGTCAGGACTAGGGGCAGCTTCTTGAAAGTTTGCCAAAGCCAATAGCCTTGATCTTTTTCCTTTCTTGGCAGAATGACAGATGCCATCAATGTGTGTTTGGGTGCTACTTCTGGACTTACTCTTAGATAAAGTTCTGGATATTTGTGCCCAAGAAGAAGAGTAAAGGATGGTGGTCAACATTATTCACCAGATGAGATAGATTGTTCATATGTGCCTAAGCTTAAATTTGTATTAGTTTCATAGAGATTTGGTAAAACCAAGCAGGGAAATGTTTAGACACAAGTTAGAACCCGCAGTTCTGTAACAAGAGGTTTAGACCAGGGACCCTTCTAAATCCCCAGAATGTACTACAAAATTAATTGTAAGAAATGGGCCGGGTGCGGTGGCTCACGCCTGTAATCCCAGCACTTTGGGAGGACGAGGCGGGCATATCACAAGGTCAGGAAGTCGAGACCATTCTGGCTAACACGGTGAAACCCCATCTCTACTAAAATTACAAAAAATTAGCCGGGCGTGGTGGCGGGCGCCTGTAGTCCCAGCTACTCCGGAGGCTGAGGCAGGAGAATGGCGTGAACCCGGGAGGCGGAGCTTGCAGTGAGCTGAGATCCTGCCACTGCACTCCAGCCTGGGTGACAGAGCGAGATTCTGTCTCAAAAAACAAAACAAAACAAAACAAAAAAACAAAACCCACAAAAAAACTAATTGTAAGAAATTAAAGGAAATGAAACAGCTTAAACTGAAGAAACTTGCTGCATTCTCTATTCTTGAAAGTTGGTGAAATTGTGAATATGGAAAATGTCATACATTTCTGTTCAAGGCAACCCATTTGGAATTCTTTTTTCTTTTTTGAGACGGAGTCTCGCTCTGTCGCCCAGGCTGGAGTGCAGTGGCGCGATCTCGGCTCACTGCAAGCTCCGCCTTCCAGGTTCCCGCCATTCTCCTGCCTCGGCCTCCCGGGTAGCTGGGACTACAGGCGCCTGCCACCACGCCTGGCTAGTTTTTTGTATTTTTAGTAGAGACGGGGTTTCACCGTGTTAGCCTGGATGGTCTCGATCTCCTGACCTCGTGATCCGCCCGACTCAGCCTCCCAAAGTGCTGGGATTACAGGCGTGAGCCACCGCGGGAATTATTTTTTCAAATGCAACTACAGTTAACTCATTATTAGTGGCTGCTATTTGATTTAGGCTGATGGTGGAAAAGAAACAACAATACCATTTCTGTTTGGTTTCCCCATCCTGTTTGTGTGGCAGTCATTTCTGCGTTAGAGGTACTTTGTTCAGCACTGTTGGTAATGTGAACTAAAAGTTGGAGGACATGCAATAAATAAATGCTGGAATTGAAGCCAATGGCTGAGACTGACCGCACCATGTTCTCAGAAGGTTAAATGAACAGGCCTGCTATTATATTTTCGTCTTTTAAAAATCAAGAATAGAGATTAAACTGGAAATACTCTGACCCATTTAGGGCTTGAGATTCTGTGAGTAGGTAACACTTCCAACTATGGAAGTTCTAGGAACTGTGGCAGGAAACTGCCTTGCCTATGATATTTTCTGCTAAGGGCTGGTTAAAATGTTTTTAAAAATGTATATAGTTTTATATTTAACCCAATTTCTTTTCAGGCTGTGTCTGAAGTTACGTTTCTTCCATACCTTACCTTTTCTTTCTATACTCCCTGCATTGCAGTTTGACAGTTCTGCTCCTTTGGCTTCTCTGTGGGCAGGGTGAGATGGCTGTCTCCAGTCTGCCAAGTTCCATATCTTGGGAGCCCCATCACTGACCTTACAGAAAAGCATGTCTTCCCCCCTTAACCCTCTAGCTTAGAATGAGAGCTGTGAGGCAGCTGGGAGAGGAAGGCTTACATTGTAATTCTGTCAAGCTCAGATTGTTTTTCTGACGAACAAGTTGAGGGAAGTAGGTAGAGGGGAGGACAGAGAGAGTTGCTGGGTTTCACTTATCTTATCATTTGTTTCCCTCTGGATGGCCTTTGTTTATGCTGTCTCTTCAGGCCAGGAATTCCTCCAACAGAAATCATGCGTACACTCGGGGACATTCACATTGGGGCTTCCTTCTTGTGTTTCCATTTGCTGATTTGCCTTTCTTTTCTTTTCTTTTCTTTCTTTTTTTTTTTTTTTTGAGACGTAGTCTTGCACTGTTGCCCAGGCTGGAGTACAGTGGTGCAATCTTGGCTCACTGCAACCTCCGCCTCCTGTGTTCAAACAATTCTCCTGCCTCAGCCTCCCAAGTAGCTGGGATTACAGGTACCCGCCACCATGCCCAGCTAATTTTTCTATTTTTAGTAGAGACAGGGTTTCAACATATTGGTCAGGCTGGTCTCAAACTCCTGACCTTGTGATCCGCCTGAACTCCTGACCTCATGATCCGCCTGCCTCGGCTTCCCAAAGTGCTAGGATTACAGGCATGAGCCACCGTGCCTGGCCCCATTTGCTGATTTGCCTTTCTTCTCTACAGCCTGATCCGGAAGGAGGGGTGGAAATACTTAACCTGCTTTTAATGCTTCTGTTAGGGGATAAAGAGATTTTACAACAGTGATGTGGGGCAAACATGTGGGTGACTTTTCTAATGAGGAAGGAGGATAATGCTGAGTAAATGTAGATTCAATTTACATGTAACTTCTGTTTGGTAGAGTGTTTAATCACACATGTTTGACACCTTGAATGAAATCTCTTCACCTGTCTTTTGGTGCTTTGCAATTGCACAGAGAAAAAGACACACTCTTTGATTTTAGGTTCAGTTTGGGTAATCGTGGCAATTCCTTTAAACTTTCCGGACCTCTCTTTCCTCATTCACAGTGTATTCACATAGAATAAGCTATCTTCTGGATAAAAATTCTAAATTTTTGGGAAGACAGTATCCTCTTAAAATAATGACCTCACTTATGTGGCACTGTGTACTCATCAAAGTAATATCCATTGAGTTTCCCTAAAATGGAGATCGGTGAGGGAGAACTCCGATTTTTCGCCCCCAGTTTTCAGCCTTGGCTGCCCCTGCCTTGGCATGGTGTCCTGAGATCCTGTTCTTGGCTGGAGCTAAGCCCCATGATCTGATCCCCAGTCTCTTCTCAACTGCACAACTCAGGAGTTTTGTAGGATATAAGGGATGAAACTCGACAGAGTCTTTTGGTGATCATACAGTTCTGTTTAAATTGATCATCACTTTTTAGTTTCTACTTAATTGTTTTTCTTTTTTTAAATTTGACATGAGGTCTTGAACTCCTGGCCTCAAGCAATCCTCCCGCCTCAGCCTCCGGAGTTGCTGGGATTACAGGCGCATGCAACCGTGCAGGGCTGATCACCACTTTAAACTGGAGTCTGACCACCAGGGGGTCCACAGAGTGAATGTAGCCAGCTGTCCATGTTTTGCTTGGCCAGCACAGTATTATTTTTAAAAAGGAGTGATATTTTAGTGAGCATTTATGTTCTGATTTGTCACAGACCTTACCACACTCTAGTGCCTAATGCACAGCCACTTAGTTTATGTGATATTTATCTCCTTGGCCCTTGAAGACATTGAGTTTGTGATTCCTATTTTCAACTAAATTAAATTGGGATGAATGTCTCTTCAAAGGTTTATCTAGCAGTGGGCTGGCAGATGACCCATTTTTGTATTCTAACCCAGGGTTTCCCAACATCAGCACTCTTGAAATTTGAAACTGGATAATTATTTGTTGTGAGGCAGATTGTGCTGTGCACTGTAGGATGTTTAACAGCATCCCTGGCCTCTACCCACTAGATGCCAGTAACATCCCCTCCTCCAGTTGAGACAGCCCAAAATGTCTCCAGACATTGCCAAATGTCCCCTGGGGGCAAAATCACCCCGGGTTGAGAGCCATTTGACAGAGTTTTGGATGGTCTGAAGACTTTAATCATTGAACCAAGCCTGGATATTTAGGGATAAATTGGAATTCATCTGGGAAACTGCGCCACCCTGCTGTTTTTATTTATTTGGGCAGTTGGTTAGAGCAAAGTAAAGGTCAGTGGATTAGACCCTTTAGGGTCACTTCTCCATTCTTCCATGACCACAGCCTGGGAGGCCAGCCACATTTTAAGGACATGTCTTTGGTCACAACAGGAGACTTTGTGAGACACTGATGCTGGGTCAGGGTAAGCCCAGCAGATCTAGTAGGTAAACAGCTTTGAAGCCCATGGCCTGTGTTGGTAGCTCAGTAATGCTATCTGTGGGTAAGGAGGATGGGGCTTTGGGGAAAGGGAAGGCCAACTCTGTCATTATTGTCAAATGCCAAAATGCTTTAGAAAAAAAACCTTAAGCTTTAAACATGACAGCTTATCTCAAATCAGCAGTGTGGGAAGGGCTCTGAAGAGGATTAGCACAGTGATGTTCCATTTTTTTTTTCCTCCCCCAAACAAGAATGTTTTTTAAACTTGACTCTAAAACTTGGGCTTTGGCAACACTGAAACTTGCCTTGCCTTTTAGAAAAAACATTGATAAGATTTTCAGGGTACAAAATGAAAATGTTATAAGGTTTTAAAAACCAACCCAAGTTCCTTTCTTGAGCAACTAATGCAAAGATAATGCTTAAGGAAGCATATATTTTCATATAAAATGTAAAACAACGTTCCTTCGCAGTTGGATAGGTGGGACTTCTGAGGATATCCAAGCCTCTTCTGTTCTGTCTGGTCTGGTAGTTCTCCACCTTGGATATGCATCAGAATGTTCGCAGTGGATTTTTAAAAAGAGATATTTAGGGATGCTGACTCAGTAGATGTGGAGTTGGGGCCCATTCTACAGGATTCTTAAAGATCCCCAGGTAGGCGGGGTGCGGTGGCTCGCTCCTGTAGTCCCAGCACTTTGGGAGGCCAAGGCGGGCGGATCACGAGGTCAGGAGATCGAGACCATCCTGGCTAACATGATGAAATCCTGTCTCCACTAAAAATACAAAAAATCAGCCAGGCGTGGTGGTGGGTGCCTGTAGTCCCAGCTACTCGGGAGTCTGAGGCAGGAGAATGGTATGAACCTGGGAGGCAGAGCTTGCAGTGAGCGGAGGTTGTGACACTGCACTCCAGCCTGGGCGACAGAGTGAGACTCCGTCTCAAAAAAAAAAAAAAAAAAAAAAAATCCTCAGGTGATTCTGACATTCAACAAAAGGGGAAAATAGGTGAGAAGAGTGAAAGATCTTGGGTTCGGGAAATGTAGTTATAGTTGCAGATGTGGGCTGGGTCTGGCTGCCTAGCTGGTTAAGTGCACAGCTTTGTTTTTAAAAATTCCATGTCTGGCTGGGCATGGTGGCTCATGCCTGTAATCCCATTAACTTGGGAGGCTGAGGTGGGTGGACCACCTGAGGTCAGGAGCTCGAGACCAGCCTGGCCAACATGGCAAAACCCTGTCTCTACTAAAAATTAGCTGGGTGTGGTGGCTGTTGCCTGTAATCCCAGCTACTCGGGAGGCTGAGGCAGGAGAATTCGCTTGAACCTGGGAGGTGGAGGTTGCAGTGAACCAAGATTGTGTTCCTGCACTCCAGCCTGGGCGACAGAATGAGACTCCATCTCCACGCCCTGCCTCACCCCCCTTCTAAAAAAAAGTAGCTGAGCATAGTGGTACACATCTGTAGTCTCAGCTACTCTGAAGGCTGAGGCGAAATCACTTGAACCCAGGAGGCAGAGGTTGCAGTGAGCCAAGATGGTGTCACTCTACTCCAGCTTGGGCAACAGTGCGAGATACTGTCTCAAAAAAAAAAAAAAAAAATTCATGTCCATTTTGGTGTGACTGTTTAAAAAGATTTGTTTTAGAATTTTGAATTTGTGAAAAGGAAGGGTCTTTTACCTGTCATATAGTGTGCACTACCTAATACACTGAACCTAATGCTTCTAATAATATTGAAGCTCTATTATATTTTGGCAGGTTTTACTGAAAAACCTCTAAATCTGTAGATGAATCAATTTACATTTTAATCCACTGTGTAAAAGAAGGAAACAAACTACCCATTCACAAATAATCAGTACCATGAGCATCCTTGAGATAAAAATTCAGCGGGAGAGTAGTAGTAAATGCTTTTCTTAGCCTTCCTTCTAGAGAAGGATCTAAAATAATCTAGAAAGGATCTAGGTTCTTTCACAGCTACCTCTGTGAGCTTCCTGTGAGACCCTCCTCTGGCGTCATAGACGTGGGCAGGTCCGTTTCAAGTTTCCCTCAGTCTGTTTCATGTTGCCAGCACTACATCTCATGGAGGACCTTGTCTTTGGCCCAGAGTTACAGTGACCCAAGGGGGTGGGAGATCAAATAAAATGGCTTTAAAAAACATTTAGACAGAATTTCAGATCCAGGCTTCTAGCAAGCATAGCAGAAGCAAGGAAAATAGCTGATTTTTAGGGGAAAATATACTTGGCATTTTATGGACTATCCCATAAACCATAAAAGCAACACCTTAAAACATCATTCATTTGTTCATTTGCCATTTAAAAAATGTTTTTAGTGTTGAGCGTATACATTTCAGAATGCTGTATGTTCTTAGAGAAACCCCCGGTTTTTTCCTTTGTAGTACAGAAGTCTTGTTTTACTTAAGTAAAGCTCAGATTATCCTCTGTCTTCAGCTTCTGAAATAAACATTACCTGTGCAATAGGTGAAGAGTTTCCCCAATGAAATGCTCTTTGCGTTCCCTGGCAGGTGCTTTCATGTTTTGCTTATTTGGAGCATTTTCATTTCTTTCAAAGGAATGTTTACAACATGAGTTATGGAAGTTCTACAATCCCAAATGAGTTTTTAAGATATTTGTTATGTCTATGGTCAAATCTTCTACCTCCTGTTCTTTTCTTTCCTAAATGTTGATTTTGAGTCTTGAATGCCCAAGCCTTTCTACTACTAGGGAAATGTATTAGCATAGCGTAGTATTGAAGAAAGAAGGACAGTTAAAGACAGAACATGAGCTTTCTTTTTTTTTTTTTTGAGATGGAACCTCGCTCTGTCACCCAGGCTGGAGTGCAGTGATTCGATCTCCACTCACTGCAAGCTCTGCCTCCTGGGTTCATGCCATTCTCCTGCCTCAGCCTCCCGAGTAGTTAGGACTACAGGCACCCGCCACCACTTCTGGCTAATTTTTTTTTTTTTTTTTTTTTTTGTATTTTTAGTAGAGATGGGGTTTCACCATATTAGCCAGCATGGTCTCGATCTCCTGACCTCATGATCTGCCCGCCTTGGCCTCCCAAAGTGCTGGGATTACAGGCGTGAATAGCTTTCTTTTGGAGATGATGAAGATGTTCTAAAAGTAGTGGTAATAGTGACATATTTGTGAATCTCCTAAAACCCACCAAATTGTACAGTGCATATGGATGAATTTTATGGTACACAAACTGTATCTCAAAATAAAGCTATTATTAAAAAACATTTAAAAGAATCAGACTAAGTAGAATCTTAGATTTTTAGGCCTTAGGGATAATACTACTTTCCCATTTGTTATCTTCATGTACATCTCATTTTTTCCTCTAAATAAACAGAGTATGACATGCACAAAGGATAGATGTGGTAATTCCTTAATATTTATGGACCACTTGAGATATGAGAATCTTTGTTATAAAGAAATTTTTGTTGTAGTAGAATCTGATCCATGTTTTTCTCATACATCCTAATCATGAGCTAGGGTATTAGAGGATAAAAAGCTTTCTTATACTTTATACCTGCTGTGATGACAAGCTAAGGTTTTGGTGATGCCTTTGGCTTGGTCACAACGTGCTTTCAGTGTGTTCATTTGATTATTTTGCAGCATGTTTCTGCTGTAGAAGTCTTCATATTGTAAAAAGCATTCAAGTATGAACTCTTGCCTATAAAACTAACTGTGTTGGATAAGAAATGTTTTATTTAACAGGGATTATGTAGCTCAAGGTTTCTCAAATTTGGATTCATGATCGTCTGTGAAACACTGTATTAAAAGTTAAATTGCCAAATGTTTAGGTACTCACTTGGTGTTGATGGGATCATAAACCCATGTGCAAAGGTAGGCCTTGAGATACTGTGGTGTTATTTGGTTATAAAATGCTTATGAAGGTGTATTAGTTTTATTACTGCATAATACATTACCACAAACTTAGTGGCTTAGTAGTCTGCACATGCTGTGGCTAGATTCTCTGCCCAGGGTCTTAGCAGGCAAAAATCCAGGTGTCAGCCAAAATGCTGTAGTCTTCAGCTGGGGCTCAGGGGCTTCTTCCAAGCTCATGAAGTGTTGGCAGAATTTATTTCCTGTGACCATGGGACTGAGGACCACTAGCTGTGGGCCAGGGACTGCTTTTAGCTTCTAGAGGCCACCCACATTCTGTTCCACATGGCCCACATTGGCAGTTCACAGTGTGGATGTTTGCTTTCTTCCATGCCACGTGGAGAACATCTCTCTGATTTTTTTCCCTGCAATCAGCTGGAGAAGAGGCTGATATTAAAGGGCTCCCCTGATTAGGCCAAGCCCACCCAGGGTAATCTTCTTTTGACCATATAATGAAACATAATCATGAGAGTGGTATCTCATCATAGTGACTGGTTCCATCCACATTTAAAGTGGGGAAGGGAATTATATGAGGGCAAGGGTAATGGGGTATCATTTAAAGTTCTGCCTGTCATATCAGGTAACGTACATTTATGCCATTATACTCTTGATGATTATTAAAATGAAAACACAACATCCAAAAAATCATCAGAATGGGGCTGGTGCAATGGCTCATGCCTGTAATTCCAGCACTTTGGGAGGCCGAGGCAGGTGGGTCACTTGAGGTCAGGAGTTCGAGACCAGCCTGGCCAACATGGCAAAAACCTCTCTCTTAAAAAAATAAATAAATAAGTAAATAAAAATCATCAGAATGAATGGCAACTCACAAATATGCTTCACGACTTCCTCTGTCTTCCTAAAATGATCCCCCCATCAGATTTATTGCTTCCTGTTGCTACTTTTTTTGTTTTATGTGGAGTGAAAATGAAGATTTTAAAAACATTTTATTATTGAACATTTCCTACTCATATACATAGAGAAACTAATACAACTAGTATGAGAATCCTCCATGTTATTTTGTCCTGTAGAATTTTCCACAGTCTGGAACTCTTGTTACAGCATGATTTTCTGTTTACTCTAGTTCCTGTAAATTTGTTAAAGTGAAAATAATTGATGTCTTATACTATCTGGTCACTAGAGGTAGAAAAACTATGTGATAAACAGTGTGTATTGGCAAAATTTATTAGGTCCATGTATATAGAGATATTTCAAGAAGCATATACATTTAGCAGTGAAGCAAATGTCAGGTTTTCCAGATTCCTATTATTGAGAACAGTTTAAGTTTAGTTCAGTTAAAGTTCTTACAGAAAATAGATAACATTTAAAAATATTAAGTGATGTTTGGATTTGCTGAGATCTTTGACCTGAGTGTGTTTGTTGAATCAGGTTTTAGCTTCTTTAAAAGGAAAAAAAATTCTTAAAGGAGAAAGACATTTGAGTTTTGAGTTTTGGAAAATGACCAGATTTAAAAATTGAGGTCATGAAATAATTGCTTTTTTACAGTGAGCCTTTGCTAGTTATTTCATATCTGTATGTTCTCCAAAGACAGGTCTTTTGTCCTTAAAGACATGATGTACTATATTTAAAATCTTTACCTTGGAATATTCTGTTTTTAAAAACGCAACACTTTATATTGTGTTAAGAGAATAATTTTATATGGTTGTCACTGAAAGAAAATAGAAGCAGTTATCTAACTTAAACTTCATTTTGTAGGAAAAGATACCCTTGGGATGAGATAAATAAGAATACAGTAGGTTAGAAGAGAGGATGGCCAACTTTTTCTGTAAAGGTTCGGGTGGTAAGTTTTTTTGTTTTTGTTTTTGTTTCTGTTTTTTTGAGACAGGGTCCAGGGTAGACCTCCCCGAGCTCAGGTGATCCTCCCACCTCAGCCTCCTGAGTAGCTGGGACTACTATGCCTGTCTAAATTTTGAAAAATTTTCATAAAGACAGGGGTCTCACTATGTTGCCCAGGCTGGTCTCGAACTCCTGGGCTCAAGCAATTCTCCCACCGTGGCCTCCCAAAGTTGCTGGGATTACCAGCATGAGCTACTGCACCTGGCCCTCAAAGTGTTCTAAACTATGTGCAAATGGAGAACCTGAAGAGATTTTTCCTTAACCTCTCTTGATACATGTAAGATTGTGTAATTCACTTGATCATTCTGGGGCTCAGGTATTTATTTTATTTTATTTTATTTTTTTTGAGACGGAGTCTTGCTCTGTCGCCCAGTCTGGAGTACAGTGGTGCGATCTCGGCTCACTGCAAGCTCCGCCTCCCAGGTTCACGCCATTCTCCTGCCTCAGCCTCCTGTATAGCTGGGACTACAGGTGCCTGCCACCATGCCCGGCTAATTTTTTGTATTTTTAATAGAGACAGGGTTTTACCGTGTTAGCCAGGATGGTCTTGATCTCCTAACCTCGTAATCTGCCTGCTGCGGCCTCCCAAAGTGCTGGGATTACTGGCGTAAGCCACTGAGCCCGGCCAGATATTTCATCTATAAAATAAGATATACTTATCCCACTCTTATTCCAGTGTTTAAAATTAATTGGAAAAAAGATTAGAGTTTCTAGAATGCCGGGTGTAAACAGTAGATACTCTTTAGGATCAAACTATTTTGAGGAGGAAAGTAGTAAGAAATATTGGAAATCAAGTCTACTTTTCTGAAGTTTTGACAAATCAGTTTGTATTATCTTCAGCTACATTTAGCAAAAAATACTCTAGTAGATTTAGGAACTAAAGTAGGGTCTTGACTGGGTTTGTTTTGTTGAATTAGTAAAACTTATTTATCATAGCTTGCATTTGTTTTAAAACATATTTTGATTAATTATTAATTTATTTTTAATCAGTGTTGTGGCCTGTATGCAGGAACTGATCTATTGGTAGATAGTTGGTGCTAAAGAATAATTCTCAAAGAGTTTAAAAATAAGATTCTCAAAATTATAAACACATGCCAACAATTTTAATTCATTAATTAATGAGGGAACCAGTAAGATGTTAAGGGTCGTTCACAGGAGAATTTGAAGAACAGGTATCTATATGTCTGCCTGTGTATCTGTCATCTATCCACAATCAGAAATGCTGAAATAAATTTGCTAGTGTATACAGCACTTGTTAATATTTTCAAGGGCCGTAAAATGCAATGTTTGCTTATCTTTTCTATAGGCATGTAAGGCAATTATATCACTACCAGACAAAATTCATTTGTTTTGCTATGGACAAGAGGCATTACATTACTGTGTGTTTTTGGCAAGTGAGTTTCTGCCTCTACAGAGCTGTGAGATAGTCTAGTCCAACAGGTTCTCAAACTTTTCGATTTCAGGACCCTTTGACTCTATTAAAAATTGAAGATCCCAAAGAGATTTTACTGTGTAATATATTTATCATGTTAGAAATTAGAATTAAGAAGCTTTAAAACTATTAATTTCATTTAAAACATATCAATAATGAAACCTATTTCATGTTATGTGAATGATGACTTCATCGTGGGTATTAAAGCGCCTCAAAAATTCTACTCTATGCTTGTTGAGAGAGTAAGAGTGAAAATGACAACATCCTCGTGTTACAATGAAATTAGTTTTGAACTCACGAACACACTGAAAAGTCCTCTGGCTCTCCAGGACTCCTCAGATCATATTTTGAGAACCACTGGCCTAATTACAAACAAAAAAGTCAAAGATCATCCCTGGAGGGCCTCTTAGACCACAAATCACACTCCATTGAGAGGATACCCAGTAATCTCTTTTGCCCACTTCTAAATCTTGGGTTTTTTCCTGACAGCAGTCCCTTCTCTGAGAAATTTTGCCGTGCCTAGCATGGGGAATTTTCAAGGCCATTCTGAAACTATTAAGTCAGAAACTTATTTTTTGGTTATAATATTAATTTAGGTTCACTGTGGGGAAAAAAACACAGAAAAGTACATAGAAATAGATAAAAATCTTAATGAAGTTTTAAAAATGCTTTTGATTATACATTACCTGCGCTCTTTTGCATTCTGCCCCCAATTAAATGTTGTCATAAGCATTTTTCATGTAATTAAAACTCTTAATAAAACTCTTAGATGACTGCATTTATTTTCATTTTATACATGGTACTGAGAAATAAAAATAAAATCCTAAGCCTCCCAGTTGACCGAATAGACACCCTGTTGTCCAAGGGGACTCCCAGAGAAACCTTAAAAATTGAATTCCTGGCCATGATGGAATGGGAGATTTGACACATCTTAGTATGCCCCTTCCTTATGAGCCTTTAACCAGCATTCCTTCCTAAGGAGTAAGCAGAAGCCAACTCCAGAAAACAAGAAACGAATGAGTCATAACTTCATCGCTTTCAGCCAATCATCTGAGGCCATGGCCGGACTCCCCATCTTTGCAGTTTCGATGTGGCAGCTCACCAGTTTCACATGCATCCCTTCCTAAAAACTGACCACCATCTCTAGGCAGGTTTTGTCCAACTCTCTCAGGAGGTCCAGTGAGGGTTTTCATGTCCTCTGCTTTGCCTTTTGACATCAGAGGGCTGAAAACTCAACCCTCAGATCATGCTAATGCCACTGTTTTTTGAACATATGACCCATGAATAGGCATCAATATCATTTGGATGTTTGTCCCCTCCAAATCTCATGTCGAAATGTAATCCCCAATGTTAGATGTGGGGTCTGGTGGGAGGTGTTTGGGTCATGAGGGTAGATCCCTCATGAATGGCTCAGCACCATCCCCTTGGTGACGAGTGGGTTCTCGCTCAGTTCAGGCAGGATATGGTTGTTTAAAAGAGTTTAGGACCTTCCCCTATCTTTCTCTTGCTCCTTCTCTGGCCATGTGATGTACTGGCTTCCCTCTTCACCTTCTGCTGTGATTGTAAGCTTCCTGGGCCTCACCAGAAGTCCAGCCCTGTTGCTGCCATCCATGTACAGCCTGCAGAACCATGAGCAAATTAAACCTCTCTTCTTTATAAATTATCCAGCCTCAGATATTTCTTTATAACACAAAAAGTCCCAATACAGGCATGAAGCTTAGTTGCGCATGTGCATGTTTCTCCTTTCATAAATATTCAGGACTCCTCCTATAATCTGTTAAATACTTATATTTGACCATCCCTCTTGGCATACATTTCTGTTCTCTTTACTCCTCCCTCCAAGTGCTTGCTGGATGGCACCTTTTATGAGAAATAAAGCTCTCCTTTCCAAATTTATGAACCTTATGATTCTTCAGTTCACAGTACAAGATAACCATTTTTGTTTTTCCATTAAAATTATGAACATCTTTTCCATGTTTTAGATTATTTTCTTAGGATAAATTCATAGAAATAAATGAAACAAAAGGTGCGTAATTTTCGTTTTTCTAAAAGGAAAGATGGTCCCCGACTTACGATGGTTCCACTTGCAGTTTTTTGATATTACCACTGTGGGAAACCAATATGCATTCAGTAGAAATTGTACTTTGAATACCCATACAACCATTCTATTTTTCATTTTCAATATAGTATCTAATAAATTCCATGAGATATTCCACACTTTATTATACAATAGGCTTTGTGTTAGGTAATTTTGCCCAATTGTAGGGTAATGTAAGTGTTTTTGAGCATGTTTAAGGTAGGCTAGGCTAAGCTATAGTGTTCAGCAGGTTGGTGTATTAAATGTATTTTCAACTTACAGTGTTATCAACATACAATGGCTTTATCAAGATGTAACCCTGTTGTAAGTCAAGGAACATCTATATGACCAAATCATCCTCAAGGAAGATTTTGCAGGGGCCAGGCACAGTGACTCATGCCTGTAATTACAACACTTTGGGAGGCCAAGGCAGGAGGATCACTTGAGCCCAGGAGTTTGAGAGTAGCCTGGGCAACATAGGGAGACCCCCATCTCTACAAAAATTAAAGAAAAAAAAAATAGGAAAAAAAGTAGATGGGCATGGTGGTACACACCTGTAGTCCCAGCTACTTGGGGTGTGTGGGCTGAGGTGGGAGGATTGCTTGCGCCCAGGAATTTGAGGCTGCAGTGAGCTATGATACAGCCAGTGCACCCCAGCCCGAGGGTCTGAATGAGACCCTGTCTCTAAAACAAACAAACAAAAAAACCAACCAAAACCAAAACAACAACAAAGTTTTGCAAATTGACGCTCTTGACAGTGAAAGAGCATTAAAGCATTTTTCACTTCACCATTGCCTACAATGAGTATTATTATATTACAATTATCTGTGATTGGACAACTAGCAAAAGCTATCACATGGTATTTTTGCATTTTAAAAATTTATTAAATATAACTTTCCTCCCTAGGTCATTTATATTTTTCCTTTCTTAAATGGCCTGTTTGCGAATTTATCTGTTTAAATCTCAATGTTTTTGAAATGACCAGAAATGGGAGTAATTAGCAATGCAAATAAGCCAGCACTTTTCATAAATATAATAAGCAGTCATTAAACCCTTTGGAAGGAAACTTACGATATCTCCAGGTACATTTTAAATGATCTAAAATATTTCTCTGTGATTAAGGGTCTCTTGCTTCAGTTTCGCATAATTAATTATCTTAACATACCCTCTCCTCATTATCTGGAGGGAAACCTCAGGCTAGCTTCTGTCATTTTCTTGCCAGTTTGCATTTCCTGGAGTTTGCCTTAGTGTTTTCTTAATCTTAGTAGTTTTCTGCTGATGGTGTGACTGCTACAAAGAAGGCTTTTCTGAAGGCATAAAAACCAGGGAAATGATACATAGTTTTTCCACTGGACTAAACTTGTTTGGAAAATAAGGAGGTAGAACAATGAAATAATCCAAATATTATGAGGAGAGAGGGAGAAGTTTATATTATAATGATTTATGTGATAAAAGAAATGTTATGCCCAGTATATTTTGTTTATACATGGTGTTGTAAAACAGATCCAAATGCTTGTCTAAAATATTTGCAGCATTGCCTGTACAGCACCTAAATTTTACAAAATGCTGTACTTACGGTCCAATTGCCTTTTTGTCAATATATCATAAACCAATATTGTAGGAGAAATGGTTTTTCTTTTAAATGCTTTAGGTTTGGTAAAGCACTTTAGGTTTGCTTTAGGTAATTTAAACAGAGAAATAAATCTTCTTCCAAGCACAGAGAGCTTCATGTTTAAAATTTTAGATGATTGTAATAATCCCAGTAACAGAATATAATGAAGTGTTTCCCAGCACACTTTAGAGAAGACATACTGAGTATTATGGTTCTGTTCAGATTTTATTTTCTGGGACTCTATTTTAAAGTGCTCCATCTGTATTTAAGAAAACACATGCATGCACATACATCCTGTGGCACTCTCTTCTAGGGCAGGTGTTGGTGGGTAGGTCCCTGTGCATTTGTTTGGGGGACACGTTTGACCCAGTGGTGTAATAGTTGTTACAAGAGGATTCTCTGGAGGAAGGCTGCTGCTGCAGAGGAGGAAGTCACATTTGTCTTCTCCCAAAACATCAACTCATTGTCTTCCTAGCTTGCAAAAATGAATATTTCTCCCCAGTTGATTTGTTAATTTCTTGCATCATTCAAATGCCAGATGATTGGACTCTACACAATTGACCGAAGGAACAGAATTTCCAAGAGTGTCAGTTGCCTTTCTGAGTAAAATAATCAGACACTTCACTCACATTCTATGAATAAATAACACCTCCAGTGTAAAATGGATTATGAGATGTTTTATCTTAATTTTCTATATTTCTTGAATTTGCACTGAAAAAAATCTTGTGAACAATCTTTAATATAACACAGAATAATGATTTTAAACAGCCTCTCCCCTGCTATGACTAGTAAAGTTGTGGACTAAAAATATTCAAACATATTTTTCTCATTAATGATGAGTTCCATATTATTTTATGAACTTCTGAAAGATAAATTTTAAGAAATATAAAACACTCCTTTTATTTTCTGATTTAGCCATTCCTCCTTAATTCTTATTTTAAGTGAAATATGTGATTGCTAGATTCACATTTTGTAACTTTCTTTATGTAGGTTTCATTTTTTAATGGGGCTGATTCTAAATGGATAAAACTTTGATACATAGTTTCTAAGATAAAACATCATTAATTTTTACCATGACTGGTAGCTGCTATTGGCTTGCATTTACTGAGGTTCTCATGTTTCTACTATTTAGGCTTAAAAATATATGACAAAGTATGTGATCATAATAATGCCATAATTCATTTAGTATAGTCATCTGGTCGGGAGTTATAAACTTTTTTGAAGTCAGACTTGTTTGTTTGTTTTTTTAAATAGTATTAAATGAGAATTTCTTATACTATCAGTTGTCACAAGGTGAACAAATATAAGTAATTAAGTCAAAGTTTTGAAGCACATATTATGGCTTATGCTGTTGAAAACTCTCCAGTGTTTTAGCATAATGTCCGAGTCAAGTTAGAACACAGGTCTCTGCTAATTGTCATATCTTAGATGATTGCCTGATAAAGATGATTGTCTGGCGTAGCTTGGAGTACCAATACAGGAGACATGTTCTTCCCCCACTTCCTATTCCTTCCACTGCCATGCTAGACAATGCTTATCAAAGGTGACATTCTTTCCTACCCAGCTTGGACATGCCTCATAATCCTGCCCAAGCAGCATTCTAATAGCCACAGCTAGTAAACAAGGGATCTAACTAGTTTGTCAGTGTAGGTAGTAGAATCTTTAAATTTTTTTTTAAAGGCCATTGTTAGTATTTTTAAGAGATCAATTTACATCATTTATTTCAGATGGAATATTGTTTATTTCTCTGTCGCAGTGGCTCCCAATCTTTTAGAATGTTCCTTTTTAATAAAAAAGAATCAGATTCTCACATGACCTTGAATTTCTTTAACACTTTAAATGAATTTTACTTTTATCAATCGCAGCATATAAATTCATTGGAAAAATAGGCATGTGTATATGTATCAGACATTCACATGCTTATGAATGAAGGACCCCTTGTAATACTTCTGCCCCTGCCCCCCATTCCACACACCACCCCCTCCCCAGGAGTAGGGATTAGAAATCGTTAGTCTTTCCATTTTGTCTTCTGTGGTTTCAGTTAAAGTTCTAAAGACGTATTTTACTAAAAGTGGAATTGACTTTTTGTATTCAGGGGAACTTGTCAGTGGTTTTCATATTATGTGCCGTGGAGTCCCAGGATTCCAGAAGATGCCTCAAGGGAGACCCCTCCCTTCCCCCGTATCCCTTCCAGCTTTAAGCAGCCTGTCTGCTTTAAGCTCTTATATATATTGAGATTCTCCATGAGATTTCATTTGTATAAATGATTTCACAGCTTACCAAAAAAAAAAAAAAAAAAAAAAGGAAAGAGAAAACCACTGATAATCCCACCTTGTTTCACACATGATTAAATGCAATGCCCAGAGTATTTTGGGGTTATCCTGTTAGTTAATGTTGAAGCCAGGTTGAGGACTCTGATTGTCTGACTTGCAGGCCACTATCCCTCTACCCACTGCTATTCCTAAAACTAAAGGAGGATGTAAACTGACACCACCACCAGCTGTGAGTGCAGCACATACTTATATGGAAAGAAAAATTGTTTACATTGTAATACCAGGGGACTCAAATCTGTTTCAGCCCTTAAATAAAGGGTTGCAGGGTATACGTATATGTAAATGCTTGTCTTGCCTATGTGTGGCCTTCTCTCACTATTTACGGTGGGTGGAGGGAAGGTGAAGCTTACTTTTATAAATTTTATTTTAAAACACAGAAGAGCTGATGCTGCAGTCGGAAGACAGTTTATTTTTCTCCCAGAGCTGGACCCCTTCCCTGTTGTGTTTGTGACATACTTTGCCTTGTCCTGATTTTAAGCATTGGGCAAGCAGAATCTGCCATCTTTCCTGGATTTCACCATCTATCAAAGGGCAACCTCAGAGCTTGTTTCTCAGCAGTGGTCACCTATTTCCATTATTAAATCAACTTGCTACCAAGATATCAGGCAGATATCACACTTAACGTACCTGGTTTGATTTGGCCTGCCTTTTTTCATCTGAGGCGTTAGCACAAAGCTAAATTTCCCTTTGAAGTTCACTGTGATTCCGAGGATCTTTGCTTCAGTTTACTTTGGAAGATTGGGGCTGTAGCTGATTCAAGATAACTGGAGCAGGTGTCTGGTGACAGTTTGCAAAGGGTGCTGTGTAGACCTAAGTTCTGTGCCTGGCATGAGAAACCTCTTTGTCTTTCTTGTATACGTTGGTTTAAGTTCATGTGGATCACTATGAGGGATGTTAAATGTTTTGCATTTAGATTCTTCCAAGTTGGCAGGTGCAAGGCAGGCCTGGCTGCTACCACAGACCCCTGACGTGCTTCTTTCTTCCTTGCTCTCCTCAGGAAGGTCATCCTATTTGAAGAGATACTTTTCTGTTAACTGTGGAAAAGCCAGATGTCTCACTTTAGGCAATAGTTTCAACTTCGTTTCTTCCCATGTAGTTTGACAGATCGACCTCAACCCTGACCCAGACAACTACTAATCTGCTTTCTGTCTGTATGGATCAACCAGTTCTGGACATTTAATATAAATGAAGTCATGTAATATGTGGTCTTTTTTGATTGACGTCTCTCATCTAGTTTAATGTTTTCCAAAGGTTCATCCATGTCATGGCATGTATTGGTACTTCATTCTTTTTTATTGCAAAATAATATTCTGTTTTATAGATATACCACATTTTTTTTTATTCATGGACATTTGGGTTGTTTCTACTCTTCAGCTATCATGAATAATGCTGCCGTCAACATTTGTGTTTAAGTATTTGTGCGAACATGCGTTTTCACTTCTCTTGAGTAAATACCTAAGTATGGAGTTGCTGGGTCATATAGAGACTTGGTGTTTAACAATTTGAGGAAATGCCAAATGGTTTTCTAAAGTGACTGCACTATTTTATATTTCCACCAGCAATGAGTGAAAGTTCAGGTTTCTCCATATCTCATGTGTTTTTTAAACACTGTATTCTGTTGTGTTTATAAAATGTTTCCTCTTGTCTTCATAGATGAGGGAGTCAGGGACCTGAATGATAATTTTGGAGGAAATGAAACAGATGAAAGTGAAATAAATTATTTTCATATTGGCTCAGTGTAGCTGTGGAAACCTTTCAGCCCTGAGCCTACAAACCTTCCTGTTTGACTGGATATGACATTACCAGGAGTTTTACTTTCCTGCCTTTATTGTCCCTGGAGAGAAAAAAGAAATATGTCTTTTCCACAGCTAGACATGGAAGGTTCAAACAAATATAAAGGACCCCTGAGTTATTAACAATTCCATGGGAACATGTGCTTGGTGTATGCCCAGAATAGTTCCTTTCAAATGATTCTCTTGGTGCTTCTGCACTGTTCTTCACCAGAGTGTAACATAAGAGCTGAATCAAGGCTTGTTCAGTCAGTGTTTGGAAAAGAAGTGGTGGCTGGATGCTGGTCAGCTGGCTTGGGCTGTTGGCAAGCTTGCCACCGACCATGCTTTCTGCAGGCGGCAGCCGCTGCAGGCTTGTTAAAGGCCTGCACCAGGCCGAAGTGTTTGCATTTGCCCTGTCGGAGCTCAGGATAACAAGGCCTTTCATAATCCACCACAGTAGTAAGCAGGCAAGTCCGGTGGCTCTGGAAATGTCCCAGTACACCAGCCAAAGGCAAAATCCCAGCTCCTTTGCCCTGTGTGACAGCCGCGGGGAGTAGGCTAGGGTGGGGGTTGAGGTAGATAAGGAAGGAAACACCAAGGAATGTCATTTTTGTTACATAAATTGATAACTCCAAGTGCCTTCTCGCTACAATTGATTGCTTTGGGTCATATATTGACAGTAAGCAATTTGATTATTTGCCTGCTGAAATGACACTATAGCATGAGAGGTCAGCCTCTTAGGACAGCCTTTCTCACGTTCCTCTCATTTTTATTCTTGCTGAGCGGGACCATATGAATGACAGGCTTGTTTGCGAGGGTAGATTTCCATTCCATTCATGCACCTTGCAGACCCAGTCACTCTTCTTGTGGGTGGAGTTTGCTACACACAGGTGGAGTCTAGAAGGTGAGGTCCCCAGGGCCTCCCAGCCCTGTTTGAGCTGATTTTCTCTTCCTTGAGTCTTGTCCAGCCATACCTCCTCTGACTTCCCAGGGTCCCTCCCTAAAATGCCTTACTCACATGAGGAGAGGACCCTGCATTCTGACCTCCTCTCCATTAATGCTGCCTGTCTCAGGCACAGTTTTTCAATGTACTGTGTTATTTCTGTATTTCTGTCAAGTCAATATCATGCTTTTATTAAAATGACTTTGAGTGTGTGTGTGTGATATTTTTGGACAGCTGCCTGTTTATTATACTCATGCACATTGTCTGTATTTCATAGAGTAGGCAAAAAAAGGATTTTAATCAATTGCAAGAGTCAATTTCAGGCAGGACGCAGTGGCTCATGCCTGTAATACCAGCACTTTGGGAGGCCGAGGCAGGTGAATCACTGGAAGTCAGGAGTTCGAGACCAGCCTGGCCAACATGGTGAAAGCTCTTCTCTACTAAAAGTACAAAAACTAGTTGCTCGTGGTGGCATGTGCCTGTAATCCCAGGTATTTGGGAGGCTGAGGCCGGAGAATAGCTTGAACTGGGAGGCAGAGGTTGCAGTGAGCTGATATTGCACCACTACACTCCAGCCTGAGGGAGAGAGCGAGACTCTGTCTCAAAAGAAAAAAAAAAAAGTCAATTTCATATCACCATGAAGTATTGGAATTCTTTAAGATTAGAGTAACACTTGATGTGTTTCCTGTTGACTAACCGTTTGTGTGATTTCTGTAGTAATTAAGGTGTTTGGCTTAGTTACCTCAATTGGAACTATAAAGAATTGAATTTTAAGTATATACTATGTGTATGTCTATATAGTTTTTTTTTTTTTACTTGTTTGTAGCCCAGCGATGCTTGAAAGTTGAGAGACAATACCTCCCCAAACACCCCAATATAGGAGTTTCCAGCAGTTTTTAGTTTTTTAAAACAGATATTTGATCCACGTTTGTTTGTCTTGCATTGTGTTTGACCTGGTCTTGGGAGAAAAAGAAACTGTCTGAAATGGGCTGGTTTTCATGGAGGCAGGGGTGAGGTAGGGTAACCTGGCTCTTCCTAGTCTGAATCTGGGCCTTTTTTGTTGCTGACCACAGTGGGCTTGGAGAGGCAGCCTGCTTGTCCTGCCAAACCTCAGGACTGCTCCCTGTGTGTGTGTCTGTGACTGATTTCTTAAGGGCAGTAAGGATTTAGAATTTATCAAGCACCATCACCATAACACTTCATGTACCCACCTTCAACTTGAGTACTGTGTCTGCATTACAATTTTACTACTGAAAATCTTCCTTTTGTGTCTTTTGAGATTTTCACTGTAGATGGGCTTCTGATTATATCAGTGTGGTGTAACCAGAGTTGGTAAAAGTTTGACATTTGATTTTTTAAGATATAACATGTCTATGCTGCTGTTATGGTATTGATTAGCAATATGTAGCTATTTAAATTATAATTAATTAAAGTTAAGGGCTAGGCATGGTGGCTCATGCCTGTAATCTCAGCACTTTGGGAGGCCGAGGAAGGAGGATTGCTTGAGGCCAGAAGTTCGAGGCCAACCTGGGCAAAATAGTGAGACCCTGTCGCTACAAAAAAGTACAAAAATGAGCCAGGCACAGTGGCTCATGCCTGTAATCCCAGCACTTTGAGAGGCCAAGGCGGGCGGATCACAAGGTCAGGAGTTTGAGACCAGCCTGGCCAATATGGTGAAACTCTGTCTGTACTAAAAAAAACCCAAAAAACAAAAACAAAAATTAGCCGGGCGTGGTGGTGGGCACCTGTAGTCCCAGCTACTTGGGAGACTGAGGCAGGAAAATCACTTGAACCCAGGAGGCGGAGGTTGCACGCCACTGCACTCCAGCCTGGGCGACAGAGCGACTCTGTCTCAAAAAAAAAAAAAAGGATCAGGTATACTGGCATGTGCATGTAGTCCCAGCTATTTGGGAGGCTGAGGAAGGAGCATCACTTGGGCCCAGGAGTTGGAGGCTGCAGTGAACTATGATTGGGCCACTGTACTTCAGCCTGGGTGACAGAGGAAGATCTCATCTCCAAAAAAAGAAAAAAATTCAAGATTAATTTCCTCCGTCAAACTAGCCATCTCATATGTGCTCACTAGCCACGTGCAGGCTAGTGGCTACTGTAGTAGATGGTGCAGGGATAAAACATTGCCATCATCACAGAAACTTTTACTGGACAATGCTGACTGTAAACTTTTTTCTGCCCCAGAGGGTCCAAGCAAGACATTAATCACAGCAAAACAGAAGCTTTGCTTAGATGAGTTCAGGTACTGGAAAATTGCTGTTGCCTGTTCCTAGCCTAGAGAGAGATAAATAGATGTGCCATTTTGCTCCAATTTTCTCTGAGTAGTGTTTCCTTGCTGTGATTTCATTTGTTTCTAAAGGGGTGTGAATATTCAGTAATAAGACTTGCTCATATTCAAATGCAAGTTAAATAATCTGAAACAATATGTAAATAGTTATTATCTACCATTCCTTGACATTAGAACTGATACTTCCATGTCCAAGAGTGAAATCAAGATAAATTAAAATTACACTAAGATTAGATTATCACTATTATTTTCTGATGGCACACACATGTATGAGTTTCATCTTATGTAGGCTTTGTCCTTTGGGGGAGCTAGAGTTTATTTTGGCTTTAATGTCTGTCTGTTGGTTTCTGATTCTTTGGAGATATTTTTAAGTCTCGGCATTTGTTAGCTATCTTTACCCTGAAATTTGAATTCACAAGTTATAAATTTATAAATACAAGAATGGAGCACAAATATTCCCTTCCCCCGGCCCTCCACACATGACTGCCAAGCTATTAATGTTTTTATATGACTGATATGCAAGGGCTGGGACTGTATTACAAGCCATATGACGGACACATAACCTGTTAGTGCTCTAGGAAGTTTCAGGTAAAAGGACAGAGGAGTGGCAGTTATTGGAAAGACCCTTTCTAGTTTATGTGAGCATTGTTTCTTTCATTTCCATTAACTTGAATAATTCTCAATGCCTTGGGAATGTATACCTGTGTTCTTTCTAATGTTGGCATTTGGTGGTGATGGTGTCTACACTGAAATTTTATCTAAAGTCTTCCCCAAACTTAAGCCTGTTCTACAGCCAGTGTGTAATACTGAAGAGGAACTTACTACCTTCCACCACCACCCCATCACCAGCCTATCCTCAGAAACTTTGTAGGTAAAATTGTGTGGGGTTTTTTCTTTTTTTTAAATAGTCTTTTCTCGAGGGCTAGGAAAACTTACTCTATGATGATTAGCCAGGACTTGTGCATAAACCTCTGGGGGGACATCGGCATGCTGTAGTCAGTATCCTGATTCTTGTTCCCTGGTTTCTTCTGGGTATAGCAAGAACACTTTTTATTCTTGGCATAGCACTTCAAGAGATGGCTTATACATTCTTTCCTTTATATTATTTATTCTGTTTCATATCTGCTTATAATTGGTGGTGCTTTTTTCTTAGTCCATGGTAAATTTGTATGTAGACTATTATACGGTACTCTTTCCTCCAAGAGTAAAGTCTAGAAAACTGGAATTTCTGCTTTCTAGAATTGGATCTTAGGTATAGTCAAGACTTAGTGCCAGTGTCTTTCATATGTTCATAAACATCATATAAACATGCAATACTTGATTTGAACATGAGCTTGGCCAACCTGTGTTTTGAGTCCTTCAGCCTTTCCTTATTTCTTGTCTTCTTACTGTAGGATCCTGCTTGTCTAATATCCCTTTGGTGTCTGCTCCTTTGCCTTGAGGACTTTGGTGCCACTTCTGGACATGCCTTTATTCATTCTTAGCTGTGGTCCAACATCTTGCTCCAAAGGCTCACATTTACCTTGTCTGGGTGCCAGCTATAGATTATGTTTGAATTCAAGAGTGGTTCCTGCTATGGATGTAGCTATTGGTTTCGAAAAATACAGATTTTTTTTTTCCAGGATGGCATCCATTGCCTGTCACTGAACTACAGTGAAAAGTGTTGTTTTGGTTTCAGTTCTTGATTTTAAGCATTTGACCAAATTTCAAGGTCTCTCATCCCAAGATTTTGTTTTGCCAGAAGCTTCTGGCAGGAAATAGAATGATAAAGGAAGAGATACACAGAAGTCAGAGAATTGGCGGCTCTATTCTCAGGTGTAATGGAACTTAATTAAACTTTAAGCTCCTAAAAGGCAAGGGTGATATGTTTTACTTTGTTACCTATACTTAACCTATAAGTGGCACATGGATTAACTCTAGAGCAAACATGCTCTATGTTTGCTGAGTGGATTGTTGTTTGGTCTTATTTTTGCCAACATTTAAGGGAGGTAGAAGTTAAATATTCTGTATTAGAAATAAGTTTTGCCTAGTTTTGAAGAATGAACTGGCTTATGACATGGTTTCCTCAATAGCCACAATTATTGCCCCAACAATACTTACTTTATTAGTCTTTGTTTTCTCAAGGAAACAGGACCAATAGGAAATCTGTCAAGGGGATTTATTGTAGGAAGGCCAAGGAGTCCCGCCATCTGCCATCTGCAAGCTGGAGAACTAGGGAAGGTGATGGTGTAATTTAGCTGGGTCTAAAGGCCTGAGGACCAGGAGAGCCAATAGCCAATGGTGGTGCTGGCAGAGGGGGATGGGGATGACTTACTGCTGGTGTGAGTACCAGAGCCAAAGACCTAAGAACTAGGGGATCTCCAGTGTGCAATGGAAGGAGAGGATAGATGTTTCAGCTCTAGGAGAGTGAATTCACCCTTCCTCTGCCTTTTTGTTCTACCTGGGCCCTAAACCGATTGGATGATGCCCACGCACATTGGTGAGAGAGGATCTTTCCTGAATCTACAGATTAAATGCTAATCTCTTCTAGAAACACTCTCACAGACACACCCACAAATAATGTTCTACCAGCTATCTGGGTACCCTTTAACCCAGTCAAATTACACAAGTCTACCTTGTCAACTTAACATCCATACACATCCCCTTAAACCATACCTAACCTCCAAATAAAGACAATGACAAGGTCATAATTCCACCTATCAAGGTACAATGATCCTGTGTACAACTGAAAGTGCACTTATCCCTTCTCTGGAAGTGGAGGTGAAGTCCTTGAGTGATGTTTACTCCTCTCCTGAGACTCTGTAACTTAAATAGTATAGAAAATTATCATTACTGAAATACTGACATAAAGTCATTAACATCTTGTGTGATAAGGGAATAAGAGAGGAAGGAAAACAAGGATATTTACTTAATATATGTTTATATACACACAAACGTATTCATAACAAAATAGGGAGGAAATACTCATGGTAATTACAATCTTCCTTTCTGTAACTGGTCACATGGTCACAGATGGTATCATAACTAGCTTTCCTACTACTCATTCTGTATTCCCTTTGCCTTCAGCTGGTTATGATTCTTTATCTGGTCGGGTGGCTTAAACCTTCATTTCTGAAGGGTCTGGATCATTGGCAGTTCTGCCTGGATTGGGTTGTTGTCATTTTTCATTGGCCTTAGTTGCTGGGCATGGTAATACTAAGAGAAGCTCTAAACGATCTCTTGTATTCCAGACATACTTTTCCTTACCTCCACTGTGGAATAGTAGTCCAGTTTCTTCTTGGTAATCTGGATGGGTCACTCCAGCCAACACTGTAACTCCTTTCTTGTCCTGCTGACTCAGAGGCATGAGGAGCCCAAAGTGGCCTGATGTCCTTAACTTGCATTTCAATGGAATTATTGTTGTGTCTCCTGCTGGAAGCATTCTTCCCTCTGGAACTAAGGCCAGCAGAGCATAAAGTTGTGGGAATAGGAAGCAAACATTTTGCCAGTGACCCACTAGGCGTAATGGTGAGTGGTGCCACCCACTCCCATTTCCACTCCTGATTCCTATACCTGTGAATCTTGGCTGTCAGAGAAGCACTACCATATAGCAGATGCTGATTCAGAGCATATACAGTCTTCTGGCTAACCTTGCTCCAAGCCCTGCAAGGTGTTGTCAGCTACGTAGCATGTAACTGAGTCTTCAGAAGGTTGTTCCATTGTACAATCAAATCAGCTACTTCAGGATGGTGCTTTATGATGGTAGGGAACATGGTAAGACTATTGAATTCCGTGAGTTCGGGCCCCTTTCCTCATTTTGTGGTCTGTGAAGTGAGTTGCTTGGTCAGAAGCAATGCTTCTTATTCACTATGATGGTGAATAGGGCATTCTGGAAGTCCATGGTTGGTGATTTTGGCAGAGGCATTGCATGCAGGAAAGGCGAATTCATCTCCAGAGTCAATGTCCATTCCAGTAAGGATAAAACACTGTGCCTTCCTTGATGGAAGAGGTCCAGTGTAATCAACCTGCCACCAGTTAGCTGGCTGATGACCCTGGGGAATGGTGCCATAAAGGGGGCTCAGTGTTGGTCTTTGCTGCTGGCAGATTGGGCACTCAGCAGTGGCTGTAGCCAGGTCAGCCTTGGCGAGTTGAAGTCTGTGTTGCTGAGCCCATGCCTAACCTCCATCCCTGCCACCATAGCCACTTTGTTCATGAGCCACTGGGCGATGACAAGTGGCTGGGAAAAGAGGCTGACTGGCATCCATAGAATAGGTCATTCTATCCACTTGAAATCCTCCTCTGCTGAAGGTTACTCTTTGGTAAGCATTCACATAGGAAACTAATATCTTCATGTTTTTAGCCCATTCAGAATGGTCTGTCAACATACTTCTCCCCCAGATTTCTTTGTGACCGATTTTCCAATCATGTCTGTGGACATCCAGCCATGCCATTGGCTACAGCCCATGAATTGGGTATATAATTGCATGTCTGGCCATTTCTTCTTTCAAGCAAAGTGCACAACCAGGTGGACTGCTGAAGTTCTGCCCACTGGGAGGATTTCCCTTCACCACTGTCCTTTGAGGATGTCACAGGGAACGGCTATAATACTGCAACTGTCCACTTTCAGGTGGTGCCTGCATGTAGTGCAGAATCATCTGCAAACTAGGCCCAAGTCTTCTCTTCCTGTGTCAGCTGATTGTAGGGAATTGCCCATGAGGCCATAGGTGCAGGCTGGGACTAGAGAAGACAGTGTAGCAGGAGTGGGGACTGTGGGCATTTGAGCCATGATGACATTTAACTTACTTGTGCCTTCAGGATCTGCTTTCGCCTGATCGTGTATATACCACTTCCATTTGATGATGGAGTGCTGCTGTGCATGCCCAGCTTTGTGGCTTGGTTGATCATATAATACCCAATTCATGATGGGCAGTTTGGGTCATATGGTAACTTGGTAGCCCATGATTAAGTGCTCATTTTCTACCAAGGCCCAGCCCAAGAGCTGTCTCTCAGAAGGAGGGTAGCCATCTGTAGGTGATGGCAACACCTTATTGTAAAATCCTAAAAGCCGGTGCTGCAATTCATTTGTAGGATCCTGCTGAAGAGTCTAAATGGCATCTATGTCTGCCACTGATAGACACTTCAGGCAATGTTGGAATCTGCTGGATCATATGGCCCCAGTGGAAGAGCAACTTGCACGGAAGCCTGGATCTATTGCAGAGCTTTATCCCATTCTGGGCCTCATTCAAAACTAGCAGCTCTTTGGGTCACTCAGTAAGTGGGCTAGAGTAACACGCCCAAATGCAGAATATGTTGCCTCCAAAATCCAGATGGGTCCACTAGTCATTGCACTTTTTGATGGTAGGAGGGGCCAAATATAACAACTTGTACTTCATCTTGGAAGGGATGTCTTAACATGCCCCACACCTCTGGACCCATAGGCATTTCACTGAGATGGAAGACCTGCATTTTATCAGATTTGTTTCCTGCACTCTTAACACACAAATGTCTTACCAGTAAGTCTGGAGTAGTTGCTGCTTCTCACTCACTAGATTCAGTCAGCATAATGTCATCAGTGTAATGGTCCAGTGTGATGTCTTGTGGAAGGGAAAGGTGATCAAGATCCCTTCACACTAAATTATGATGTGGGGCTGGAAAGTTGATGTACCTCTGAGGCAGCATGGTAAAAGTTATATTGTTGGCCTTGTCAGGTGACAGCAAACTGATTTTGGCTGGCCTTGTGGACAGGTATGGAGAAAAGGGCATTTGCTAGATCAACAGCAGCATACCAGGTACCAGGTGATATGCTGATTTGCTTAAGCAATGAGACCCCATCTGGTACAGCAGCTGCAATTGGAATCACTGGTTTGTTAAGCTTATGATAGTCCACTGTCCTTTTCCAAGATCCATTTGTCTTCTGCACAGGTCAAATGGGAGAGCTGAATTGGAAGATATGGTGGGAATCATCACCCCTGCAACTTTCAAATCCTTGATGGTGGCACATCTCTGTAAACCCTCTAGGAATGCAGTATTGCTTTGGATTTACTGTTTTCCTAGGTAGAGGCAGTTCTAATGTCCATTTGGCCTTTCCCACTGTAATACTTTGGAAGCACGTAACTTGTTTGATTTCACAGGCTTACAGCTGGAAGGGAATTTGCCTCAGATGAATCATACATTTGAGTCTTCCCTATATCTGATTTAGATGGCATTTAGATGAGACTATGGACTTTAAACGTTTGAGTTGGTACTGGATTGAGTTAAGACTTTTGGGGCTATTGAGGTGGAATTAATGTATTTTGCACGTGAGAAAAACATGAATTTTGGAGGGGCAGGGGCAGAATGCCATGGTCTGAATTTGTTTTCCCAAATCTGTATGTTAAATCTTAATCACCAAGGTGGTGCTATTAGAAGGTGGTGTCTTTAGGAGGTCATTGGGTCATGATGGCTCTGCCCTCATGAATGGGATTAGTGTACTTCCTTGCTCCTTCCACTGTGTGAGGGAACGGTGCGAAGGCACCATTCCATGAACCAGAAAGCAGCCCCATACCAGACATCGAGTATGCTGGCACCTTCACCTCACACTTCCCAACCTCTACAACCTCTAGGACTGTAAGAAATAAATCTGTGTGGGTTTTTTTTTTTTTTTTTTTTTTTTTTTGAGACGGAGTCTCCTTCTGTTACCAGGCTGGAGTGCAGTGGCATAATCTCGGCCCACTGCAACCTCTGCCTCCTGGGTTCAAGTGATTCTTCTGCCTCAGCCTCCCGAGTAGCTGGGACTACAGGCATGCGCCACCAGGCCCAGCTAATTTTTGTATTTTTAGTGGAGACGGGGTTTCACCATGTTGGACAGAATGGTCTCAATCTCTTGACCTTGTGATCTGCCCACCTCTGCCTCCCAAAGTGCTGGGATTACAGGCATAAGCCACCGTGCCCAACCATAAATTTGTGTTTTTAAAAAGTTACCCAGTCTAAGGTAATTTGTTGTAGCAGCCTTAATTGCCTAAGACTATGAATCTGTTGTTGATAGTTAATAGCTCTCACAATGAAGCCAAAAATAAATGTGATTAGTGAGGCAACACTGAAGCAAGTGTTTCCCTGTCTAAAGCAAGTTGGGACTTGAGCCTCCTCTTTCTGTGCCTTTGATTTGCCTCTCCTCCATCCTACTCCATGAATTTGTTTAGTACCACTTCTTCCATTAGCTGGTGAGGACACCTGAGGCTAGGTACAATGTGGGCTCTGGGATTCTGGATTTGTCAGGGTGGTGCAGTAGAGTGCTCACAGAGATCTGGCGGACAGAGATCTTGATTTGAGGCTGTCCTTGGGCCAGCTTTAGCCCTGCTGGTACAGATTCTGGGCAAGGTTTGATCTAGTTTCCTTTTTTGTAAAGTATTAAGATGCCTGTTGTCCCTGACTACTGAGAGGGTGCTTGCGAAGATCGAAGGAGAAATAGTACATGGAATCACTTTGCATAGCACTATAAAATGTAAGATCATGCTATTAAAAATAATATGTTGCCCATGTATATCTATGAATTGATATATATATTAATTGAACCCTCTTACTAATGTGGCAAGAAACTCAAGCCCTACGACATTGGGGCAACTAAGAACAACTCTAAGGAGTCTAATGCAACATATACTCGAAATGTGTTTCAGTTGCCTGATGATAATTTTTTTTTTTATATTTGAGTAGTCAACCTGAGACCTCTTATTATTTTCAAGTAGTTTCAGACTGGAACTTAGGATACTTTTCACTGGAATGCATTTGGTAGAATATCCCCTGGGACTTTCAGCTTGATGGAGGGATATTGAACAGATACCTACTTCCTTAGTATATTGCTCTGTTTACTGACTTGGTTTGTACCTCTGTAAGAGCATAGAGAAGGCACCAAGTAGCACCAAAGGGGATATTTCTTTGTTCTTTTCCTTTTAGTTGATATATCAGAATTATTTTGGTTGCAAGCAAGAGAAACTAAATTTAAGACAAACACACACACACACACGTACATAGCAGAAGAATATGGGGCAGTCTTTGTATCTGTAAGGAAGACTGGAAAGCATAGGAGACTTTGGGCATTTAGGGTTCCAGGAAGAAAGTCAATTTCTCACATCTTAGGTCTGCTCAGCATCACATTTCTAGCAGGATTGGGGGTGGGATGGGCCTGACATGATACCAAGAGTGCAGGGAATGGAGGTGGGTCATTCCTTGTAAAGTCAATCTCTGTATGCTAGGCAGGCAAAAACAACAACAGATTTCAGTAGGATTCTCAGTTGTCTGAAACTAGAAGCAATTTAACGTGCTTATTCACTAGCATGGGTTAAGCTGCCTTTTCATTTTTGCTGAAGTAGAAGTTTAGAAAGATGGAAAAGGGAAGGATCATCACTAGATTGGGAAACATTTACCCTGCAAATGCAATAGGAGGGCCCTTTCATTAGAACCTGGGAATGGACTGGGACACTAAGTAGCATCCCTGTACTATTTTAAAGTCCTGTGGATGGCTACATAGGTTGGCATTGCCCAACTCCAGTCACATGAAGTGCAGCATGAATAGTGCCTCTGGAGTTGTACAAGTTATAGTTCCACCTTTCCATGTCTCTGTTTGTCAGATTTTTCCCCCACCTTGTTTTCTACTTTAATTAAAATGCCTAGCATACATCTGTAGAATTTCCAGTAAAACTGACTGTTTTGAATTAAAATATTGAGTTGCCCAGAATAAAATGATTATATGGTATACCTTTAAAGTGCGTCTTTTACATTCCAGTTTAAGCTTCTGGTTCTTTACAGACTCCCTTACAAATACTGTTGGTGCTTTCATAAAGTGACTTGTGTACAGAAATAGGCTTACATGTGAACAAGGATGGTGTGAACAAGGATGGTGTGGTGTACCTTTTCATTTCCTTTTCTTTGCCCCTTACTCCTGAAAGTATGCTTTCAGGGAATAGGAGGGGAAAAGTCTCTGGTTCCCCATTACAGACTGACTATGTAGGTCACCTTCTTGTTATCTTACGTAGTTTCACTGAGACGGCCATGAGATTGTGAGACCTGTGTTTGTGTGAAGGTCCTGAAGGACTTGTTTGGGATGGCCAGGTACTAGAAGTATGATTTGCAAGTTTAATTTGTTCCAACACCTAATATTCCTATAGTATTTATCTTGTGCTGCATAAAATATGCAGAAAAATGGGAGGATTCACATATAGGCTTGGATTCTCCCCATGTCTCATTATCTCGATTATGTGTCACCTCGTGCTTGTTCCACTTTTTCCAGTTTTCCAGACCAGATCTGGTGCTCCAGAACATGATTAGGAGAAGCTGTTCACATTGTAAGCCCTTTCACTAAACTTGATTCTTTTGAGGGTAGGGATAGGTTGTGTTTCCATCAGTGCTGGGCACACAGAGGACACGTAGTCCAAATGTGTTTGAGTTCATAGAGCACCCATAGGGGCACCCAGGACTAATGAATGAATGGTACTCCTTGTTCCACAGGCAGGCTATCCCAGTGAGACGCGGGGATTTCTTACCCCTAGTCATTGCTACCAGTTTGTATCTCTGCCACACACCGAAACAGTTGAGGCAGGAGTCTTCTAGAAAAGGTTTACCTGCAAGTAAAGACAACTTAGAGCATAGAACTTGGTTACTAGTAGAAACCCTTTGAACTTTTTTGAAGAAGTCCTGGAATTACATGTTTCAACCCACAAGTTGTTTTTTCTTACCACTTTTTTTTTCTTCTAAATCTTAAGGGAAGAAAAAAAATCATAGGCTGTAATAATGAAATCTTTTAAATTTGTGGCATGATGGGAAAATGTAATCACAGTGTCAACATTCTGTCATTCTCTATTCATCTTTCTTTATGGAAAAAAATAATTACGGTGGTTTTCACTGACAAAGTTCCAAGGATCTAATGGTTTCCCATGACATAAGTTAGATGTTAAAGATGTGTAACCTATAGGTAATATCAGCTTCTCAGAAAATTTAGAAATGATACTCTTGCCCAGTATTGTGTCTCCCTCCTCCGCTCCCCAACTTCCAAGAAAAAAAACTAAAGGAAGGGGAAATTGTATTTTTACTATTGGTTGAAAATGGTTCGGAGTATCACTTGACTTTTAATGAAATCTGGAAATTCACTTAACTCCAACTGCTTTGTCTTCCCACACATTTCGAATGAATGTTAAAAGGAAAATACCTCTGTAGAAACAGGGCTATTTTTAGATTTCACTCATATATTTGGGTTTCATCACTCAGATTCTTTTCCCTCAGGGCCAGAGAGTCGTATTTGTGTGTTCTGTGCTTGATGGCTTTTTCTTATTCTCCACTCAGAACCACCTGGAGGCCAGCACACTCAGTCCACATGTCCACTTATAATCTGAATAAATCATGTATTTTCCTTGCCTACCTTTTCCCTCTGCCTTTCCCCCAAGTGTTGTAGATCAAAAGGTTACTTTGTTTTGGACTTAGCTATGGTTTTAAATAATTTATTTCACCTGGATTCTAGTGGCAGTCCATTGGTAGAATGGATACTCTGTTTCCGTCTTTTCCCTGAGTTCTAAAACACTTCAATTTTTGATTGACTTTTAAAAGTTACATTGTATTTAGAAAATGTTAGAGAAATAGTCTAACAAATTCCTTTTAATGAGGATTTGGTTATGAATATTGTAGTTCTGATTAGCAAGCAAGTATTAAAACTAAAAAGCATTTAATGGGCTGATTTTGAAGACTCCTCGCAGGGTGTTTCTTCCATGTGTGCCATTTTGCCCAGCCCTACATGTCAGCAGTGGAAGATATTTTGATTTAGTATGTTTTTACCAAAGACACTCCCACTTTTCATTGAGCGAATGATGCATTTTGTAGTGTGTTTTTCATTATGGTTAGAGGAGATCTTCCTTGAGACCAGTGTGTCATTTGGCTTTTGATTTTTGTGAGTTGTTACCTCTTTAGTCCTAAACTGTAACTTCATCGTGCAAGGATTTAACCCTAAGCATCACCCTAAATGATGTAGCATTGCATGTCAGGTATTTACTAATTCGTCTTTATGACATACTGATATGTTTTAAAAGCCTATATAATACCCTTGATTTATAAATTCACTTCACATTGCTCTTCAGAGAAGGTGTAGGTAAAACCAAGAATAAACATACAAACAAGATTAAAATGAAGACCCACACTGACTTACTATCTGTCCTGGCCCTTTGTGTATTTATTCTACTCTCATTTTTGAAGTAAATCCAGTAGGAAGATTTCTTCTTTCTTTACTTCCTAAGAGATGGCCAACAGTGGAGTTCTAAGTTCCAAAAACATGGTAACAGTAAATAAAGTAGTGTAAAACCTGGTTGATTAAACTTCTTGGTTGAAATTAAGTAGAAGGAGGCTTAATCCCACCTTGTGGGTTAGTTTCTGCTTTTAGCAAGCCCTCAGAGGCACTTCAGTGAAGGCATGGCTCTGGCTGGTGGTTTCCATCCTGATAGGTGGCCATGGCTATTTTCCTGTCTATAAATAACTGTTCACCAGGTTGAAGTGAATGCCAAATAAGCTTCTCCCACCACCACCCATCTTAATAGTAGAATGTTTGAGATAATGGAACAGTGATAAGGGTAAATAAATTTAGCACTGTCAACCTACCAGCATAAACCTTAGCTGATTTTAAATTTAAGGCCCACTATTAACTCTCTTACCCTTGCAAATTGAATTTCAGCTGTGATGTAGTTGAGACAAACCACACAACAGATCCGTCATTTCTCTTTGTGAAACAGCAGGTACCTGGGTGTGCCTCTTACCACTTCCTTACAAATGGGTCCCCTCAGGTGGCTGCAATGGAACTAGACTCCCAGTAGCCTTTGTTACTTGGAAGTCTGATTGGGGCAGCACAGAGACTCCTGTAACTGGAAGCAAACACTGCAGCCGAGGGGGGTGATGCTTAGAGGCTTTTTTTTTTTTTTCCCCCCACAAGCTAGGATTCCCTTACCCAGGAGGCATTGGTGTGCCACGGGGTTAACATGGAGCCTCTTCCTGGGCTGGGTTTCTTTCTATCCAAACAAATTAAATACTTAAAAAATATAACAGATACTAATTAAATTCACCAGAGACTACTAAGTTATGTAAATATAAAAAGCATTATTCATTGCAAGTTCTCTCTTATTTGTGGGATCTAAAAATCAAAACAGTTGAACTCATGGACTTAGAAAGTAGTAGAAGGATGATTACCAGAGGCTGGGAAGGGTAGTGGGGGGCTTGGAGGGAGTGGGGAAAGTTAATGGGTACAAAAAAACTCAGAATGAATGAGACCTACTATTTGACAGCATAACAGGGTGACTGTAGTCAATAATAACTTAATTGTGCATTTTAAAATAACTGAAAGAATGTAACAAAGGATAAATGCTTGAGGGGAGGGGTGGGAGGGGTACTCCATTCTTCATGATGTGATTATTTCACAGTGCATGCCTGTATCAAAACATCTAATGCACCTCACAGATATGTACACCTATATACCCATAAAAATTAAAAATAAAAAGTTTGTAAGCATTATTATATGGCATGTGGGATTCGTTCCACTATCTTTGTTGCCAGAATTAAAAATGTTCTCTGTTGAACAACTGTGCACTTGCTGTCAATGTCTTATGCTGCTTAAAATTATGTAGACACTAAGACAGATCAAATTCAGATATTTCAAGCAGGCAGGTGATGTACTGAACATGGGAAGGAAAGTACATATTACTTTGTTTATTAAACACACAAGAATATATTCATTTCCACTTCCTTTTTCTTCAAACATATGGCACAGCATATTATTTTCCCACTTAATATTTTTAATTGACAAATCATAATTGCATATATTTATGGGGTTCAATGTGATGTTTTGATTTATGTATACAATGTAGAACGATTAAATCAAACTAACATCTTATATTTCCCCACCTTTGATACAGATGTAAGCACAAGAAATATTTTACTTCAAATTTTTCTAAGTAGGAAAAGTGCAAGCAATAATGATGAAAAATGGTGAATGAGCCCTACCCTTGAAGTTAAGAAAGGGTAGGGAGTAGTGGGGACCATGGCAAACTCAGCATCAGATTTGTTGATGCTTGCGAATGAAAGTCGAGCTATTTGGCAATTAATAAAACCACATTTAAAAACACGTTATTATTTTTTAAGGGAAGTATTTTGTTTAGTGATTAAGACGTTGGCTCTAGAGTCAGACAGCCAGGGTTCAGATCTCAGTTGTACCATTCATTATCTGTGCAACCTTGGCAGTATACTTAATCTTTGGGCCTCAGATCCTCACTGTATAACATGCCAGTAATAAAACTCACATCACCGGCTTGTAGTTAGAACTTGATGAGGAATCCATTGGAAGAACTCAGTGCCTGGCATACAGTATGTGCTTAACAAACTTTAGCTACTATATTGTTGGTCAACACCGAGGAGGTCTACCAAAGCATATAAGTGGACCTCTGCAGTGGACTAAATATGTCCTTTCAAAATGCCTATGTCAAAATCCTAATCCCAGTGTGATGGTATTTGGAGGTGGAGTCTTTGGGAGGTAATTTTATGAGGACTCAGCATGTGAAGTGGTGGGCACATTTGAGAAATATACTATTTGTTGAGAACTTAGTAAAGTATGCTCCAGCCTGAGAGCTAGTACTATTTTATCCCCACTTTACAGAGAGGAAACAGATAGCAAGTTAATTCTCTTGGGAAGTTGTGCCCTGGATTTCTCCAGCAGTGCTGCTGCTTAAAGGTTGGCACTTCAGCATATTTCTCACCTTGTTTTTCTATAGCCTATTCAAGTCTGGTTATAAACACCCATACCTGTCACCACACAGCATTTACCATGAGGAGAGCTTGTTCTGCAGATCCAAGCATTGTCAAGGCCAGTTGGATGTCACACCTCCAGAGAATATCGAAACTACTGGTTCTTCCTAAATGTATACTGGTCACTGAGAGTCATAGTTTTATCAGAGAACCTCTCTGTCTTAGCCTTCCTGCAGAAGACCTTTGACTTCCTTTATTCTTGAATCTAAAAATGCAAAGTTGTCTTTTCAGATTCATAAATCCCCTAAAAAATCAGAGGGGCAAGGACATTAACAAAGGAGATGGATATGGTGGCTGTTCACCAACATGTTGAAATTCTGTACCCTGAAACAGTCTTCTGTTTAGTTTGGAATGATAAAATAAGCCATGTAGTATGTCTCTACAGGTTTCAGAGGAATATATTGCATTTCTTTTTTTTTCTTTCTTTTTTTAAAATTTTCTCTTTTTTTTTTTCTTTTAAGTTCTGGGATACATGTGCAGAATGTGCAGGTTTGTTACATAGGTATACATGTGCCATGGTGGTTTGCTGCACCTATCAACCTGTCATCGAGGTTTTGAGTCCTGCATGCACTAGTGTTTGTCCAAATGCTCTCCCTCCCCTTGCCCCTCACCCCACAACAGCCCCTGGTGTATGTTGTTCCCCTCCCTGTGTCACGTATTCTCATTGCTCAGCTCCCACTTATGAGTGAGAACATGTGGTGTTTGGTTTTCTGTTCCTGTGTTAGTTTGTTGAGGATGATGGCTTCTGGCTTCATCCATGTCCCTGCAAAGGACATGAGCTCATTCTTACGGCTGCATAGTATTCCATGGTGTGTATGTACCACATTTTCTTTATCTAGTCTATTATTGATGGGCATTAGGGTTGGTTCCATGTCTTTGGTATTGTAAATGGTGCTGCAATAAACATACATGTGCATGTGTCTTTATAGTAGAATGATTTATATTCCTTTGGGTATATACCCATTAACGGGATTGCTGGGTCAAATGGTATTTCTGGTTCTAGATCCTTGAGGAATCACCATGCTTTATTCCACAATGGTTGAACTAATTTATATTCCCACTAACAGTGTAAAAGCGTTCCTATTTCTCCTCAGCCTTGCCAGCATCTATTGTTTCCTGATTTTTTAATAATCGCCATTCTAACTGGCAAGAGATGGTATCTCATTGTGGGTTTGATTTGCATTTCTCTAATGATCAGTGATGATGAGATTTTTTTCCTATATTTGTTGGCTGCATAAATGTCTTCTTTTGAGAAGTGTCTGTTCATATCCTTTGCCCACTTTTTGATGGGGTCGTTTGTGTTTTTCTTGTAAATTTAAGTTCCTTGTATTTTCTGGATATTAGACCTTTGTCAAATGGGTAGATTGCAAACATTTTCTCTCATTCTGTAGGTTGCGTGTTCATTCTGAGGCTAGTTTCTTTTGCTATGCAGAAGCTCTTTCGTTTAATTAGATCCCATTTATCAATTTTGGCTTTTGTTGCAATTGCTTTTGGTGTTTTAATCATGAAGTCTTTGCTCATGTCCATGTCCTAAATGGCATTGCCTAGGTATTCTTCTAGGGTTTTTATGGTTTTGAGTTTTACATTTAAGTCTTTACTCCATCTTAATTTTTGTATAAGATGTAAGAAGGGGGTCCAGTTTCAGTTTTCTGCATATGGCTAGCCAGTTTTCCCAGCACAATTTATCAGATAGAGAATGCTTTTCCCATTGCTTGTTTTTGTCCAGTTTGTCGAAGATCAGATGGTTGTAGATGTGTGGCATTATTTCTGAGGTCTCTGTTCTGTTCCATTGGTCTATATGTCTGTTTTGGTACCAGTACTGTGCTGTTTTGGTTACTGTAGCCTTGAAATATAGTTTGAGGTCAGGTAGCATGATGCCTCCAGCTTTGTTCTTCTTGCTTAGGATTGTCTTGGCTGTGTGGGCCCTTTTTTGGTTCCATATGAAATTTAAAGTAGTTTTTTTCTAATTCTGTGAAGAATGTCAATGGTAGTTTGATGGGAATAGCATTGAATCTATAAATTACTTTGGACAGTGTGGCCATTTTCATGTTGATTATTCCTATCCATGAGCATGGAATGTTTTCCCTTTTGTTTGTGTCCTCTCATTTCCTTGAGCAGAGTGGTTTGTAGTTCTCCTTGAAGAAGTCCTTCACGTCCTTTGTCAGCTGTATTCCTAGGTATTTTATTCTCTTTGTAGCAATTGTGAATGGCAGTTTATTCAAGATTTGGCTCTCTGCTTGTCTATTGGTGTATAGGAATGCTTGTGATTTTTGCACATTGATTTTGTATCCTGAGACTTTGCTGAAGTTGCTTATCAGCTTAAGGAGTTTTTGGGCTGAGATGGTGGGGTTTTCTAAATATACAATCATGTCATCTGCAAACAGAGACAATTTGACTTCCTCTCTTCCTATTTGAATACCCTTTATTTCTTTCTCTTGCCTGATTGCCATGGCCAGAACTCCCGATACTGTGTTAAACGGGAGTGGTGAGAGAGGGCATCCTTGTCTTGTGCTGGTTTTCAAAGGGAAGCTTCTAGCTTTTGCCCATTCAGTATGATATTGGTATGGGTTTGTCATAAATAGCTGTTGTTATTTTGAGATGTCTTCCATCAATACCTAGTTTATGAGAGTTTTTAGCTTTATTGAGAGTTTTTAGCATGAATGGATGTTGAATTTTATCAGAGGCCTTTTCTGCATCTATTGAGATAATCATGTGGTTTTTTTCCTTGGTTCTGTTTATGTGATGGGTTGCATTTATTGATTTGTGTATGTTGAACCAACCTTGCATCCCAGGGATGAAGTCGACTTGATCACGGTGGATAAGCTTTTTGATGTGCTGCTGGATTTGGTTTGCCAGTATTTTATTGAGGATTTTTGTCTCGATGTTCATCAGGGATATTGGCCTGAAGTTTTCTTTTTTTGTTGTGTCTTTGCCAGGTTTTGGTATCAGGATGATGTGGGCCTCATAGGATGAGTTAGGGAGGAGTCTCTCCTTTTGAGTTGTTTGGAATAGTTTCAGAAGGAATGGCACCACCTCATCTTTGTACCTCTGGTAGAATTCAGCTGTGAATCCATCTGGTCCTGAGCTTTTTTTGGTTGGTAGGCTATTAATTACTACCTCAATTTCAGAACTTGTTATTGGTCTATTCAGGGATTCGACTTCTTCCTAGTTTAGTCTTGGGAGGGTGTATGTGTCCAGGAATTTATCCATTTCTTCTAGGTTTTCTTGTTTATTTGCATAGAGGTGTTTATAGTATTCTCTAATGGTAGTTTGTATTTCTGTGGGATCAGTGGTGATATCCCCTTTATCATTTTTTATTGTGTGTATTTGATTTTTCTCTCTTCTTTATTAGTCTAGCTAGTGGTCTATCTATTTTTTAAATTTTTTCAAAAAACCAGCTCCTGGATTCATTGATTTTTTTGAAGGGTTTTTCATGTCTCTGTCTCCTTCAGTTTTGCTCTGATCTTAGTTATTTCTTGTTTTCTGCTAGTTTTTGAATTTCTTTGCTCTTGCTTCTCTAGTTCTTTTAATTGTGATGTTAGGGTGTTGATTTGAGATCTTTCTAGCTTTCTGATGTGGGCATTTAGTTACATAAATTTCCCTTTTAACACTGCTTTAGCTGTGTCCCAAAGATTCTGGTATGTGAATATATTGCATTTCATCCAAACCAGCCAATTGCTTTGAAAGAGTTATGGTGGAACACGCATGCAGCTGGTGCACAGAGGTGGAGCGGAGACAGACCTCACTTCGTCAAATGAATAGCTTGATATACTTAGGAAAATAGACTTGATATGCTTAATAATGGGAAATTCCCTTTCTTAAAAAAAATCCCATATTAAATGGTTACTCCATGGCTTTATAATGAGAAGAGCCCTAAATTTTGTTCCCCCCAACCCACTTTATTTACTTATTTATTCATTCATTTATTTATTTTTGGAGAATTGCCTCTTTAGTATGAAGTGTCATTAATAGTGTTCTTTCCTGAGCTGCTAGGCATTTGAATCTTCAGGTAATTTTTAGCAGATCAAAGGGAAGAAGTTGTAGTAGAATGACTAGTTTTCTATCTAGTAGGTGTTGTTTTGTTTTGTTTAATAACTAAGGACCTGAAGATGGGAAATCATTAGAATTATAATGCTCTCTGTTACTCATCACACATGGTCTGGCTCTTGCTAAGCCCTGTGACCTGGCTTCTTGCCTCTTCCTCTTGTCCACTGTGCTTCAAGTACATTCGCCGCCTTTTTGTTTTTGAGCATGCCTCACCTTTTCTCCCTTCAAGCATTTGCTCTCTGGCTGGAACACTCTTTTCTTAGATTTTTGCATGGCTGTCTTCTTGTCGTCGTTTAAATATTATTTTCAGTGCCATCTTCCCAGATGTTATCTTCATGACTTTGCATTTTCTAAAGAATCACTCTTCCTTTAGCATCTCTGGCCAAGCTCTCTAAATATCCTGTTTTATCCATCTGAAATTAGAGTGATTATCTTTGTCTGTCTCCTCTCACTAAACTGTGACCTCTGTGATGACTCAGGGTGGGTAACGCTCATCTGTCTGGTTCATTGCTGGGCCTCCAACACCTAGAACAGTGCCCAAAGGTGTTCAGTGTATGTTTGTAGAATAAATTAATTAATTTATTTGTAATATAAGTGGTTTTGAAAACTTTCCCAAACTTCTCTTGTTTCATGTACTTAATGGAGAGCAGGGATCAGCAATTTTTTTCTGTAAGGGGCTATGTAGTACACTTATTAGGCTTTGGGGGCTAAAAGATCTCTGAGACAACTACTCGGAAAGCAGCCACAGACAATATGTAAACAGGAGCCTAGCTGTTATCCAATAAAACTGTATTTACCAAAACTGTTGGTGAGGGGGCACTTAGCATTTAGCCCTTGGGCCGCAATTTGCACACCCCTAGCATAGAGTCAGTTTTAACCTACACGTGCTGGAATATATGTGGAAAGGGTGGATTGGAAGAGTGGTTGTCTTGATTACAAGCTCAGTTCATTTAGTTTTCAGCCAGGGAAATGTGAACATCTATTCTTGTTCTGTCAGAATAGAATGTATAGTGAAAACTATTTGTAGCATGATGGAGATAGAAACATTCCAAAAGAGAGACATCCCGCCAGGTGGTGGAATACATATTAGAGGCTGTTGAAAAATTAAATACTGATCAAGCACTTAAGTACTGCAGGATTGTGGAAATACCAAGAGAAATAGTTCTAAGAACTGAAAGTTGAAAAAGTGTATTTTGACCACCCCTGAGCAAGCTAAACAATATAGGATTGCATTTAGGCTAATGTGGAATAATTTACATAAGAAGTGAATTTAGAAAATGAAGTGATCTGACCTCATAGAGCATTTTGTCATATACTTTTTCTAATGAAGGAAGAATAAACTCAAGGATATTTACGCTATTGGGCCTACATTTGAAAACTTGAATTTATAAAATATTTTGTGCCAGGATTGATATAGGCCTTATTGCATCTAATAAGACACTACCACATGTCTGAGCTTTCCTGTTAGCCGAAAAAACTGCTAGTCCCTGGATCTTCTCCCTACTTTCCACAGCACTCACCAAAGCAGGAGCCAGTAGGTCAGTGGGAACAGTCTCTGGACTCACTTTTCCAGTGAGTCCCATATATTCCTTTGAAGCTCTTGGCATATTTTTAGATGATATATTCATAACTTGCTTCTCCTTCAAAATTAAATGTTCTATTTAGAATGGCTCTTGGGGATATAAATGATAATTTTGAAGAGCAGGATATTTGCTCCCTCAGATCTTTCCATCATTGAAGCCATTTAGAGAGCAATAGTAGAGGCACAAATGATTCAGGTTACTGTAATGGCTCAGGTCATGGTAAAATGAGTGTCTTGGATGCCTTTCCTCTGTGTTTTATGTTTTTTTAAAATGAGATGTCTTCATGACCTTGTAAATGAGAGAAAGTTCAAGGGGATCCGAGGTAAATGTCTGTCCCAGATCCACAGACAACTCAAGAATTTCTCAGGATGTTTCTCAGTAGAGATAGGGAGTGGCTGGTTGGCTTTGTGGCTTTTCAAATCCCTTGCCTTCCGCTCCACTAAGACCTAGCAGTCCTCTAAAGCCTCATTCATATTTCCCTCTTTTCAAAAAAAACGTCTGAGATCATCCTAATTGGAAGTGCCCTTATGTCCTCTGAACCCTTACGGTACTGAACACTCTTTTGTGGCATTTGTAGTTACTGCTCTGTACGGTGGCCTTGTTCATGAGTCTCTCCTCAGCTAGGTCGTCAGCTCCACAGTAACTGAAACTAAGTGTGATTTCTTTTGTTTCCCACCCTCTGGAGACAGTCCTGGATAGCATCAGTTCCTCCTTCTGTGTGTTCCCATAGCACTTGTACTTACTGTGATCAGGGGCAGTTCAGCCTCTTCTTATGTTCTTGATTTTTGAAAGGAACAGAGTATAGCTTATTCAATTTTGTATTCCTAACCCTTCACGTATAACCCCTGACATGTAGCGGCTTACTGACTGTTCAGATGAACAGAGTGAGTAAAGCTGTAACTGACCTAATGAAACACTATAATATTACTTCTGAATATTTTTTTTTGCGTCTCTAGACACCTCCTGGAAGTATAACATATTGTTCTTAAAACCATTAAATGTATCGCTGACACATGGTAATCATTTATTTCAAAGATAATTTGAATGGTATTCTTGCATCAGAGACTTTCAGAGAAGGAGCCTAAGGCTACCCTTTATTAGATAATTCTAAGATGGGCTGGCTGACAGGCAATGCAGAATATCGAAAAAAGGACAGCATGAATTTGTCCCTGCTCTGCTGCTTAGGAGTGGGTGACCCTATGCAGGTCACATAAGTGCTCAGATAGTTACTCAGCTGTAAAGTAGAAATAAAAGCAATATCTGATTGCCTGTGCCTCTCTCTTTTTCTCTCAGGGTTGTTGGGAAAATAAAATGATACTGTGCACACAAAAGTACTTAGAAACCCATAAATTACTTTATGAAGGTAATATACTATTATGCTGTTGTGAAACAGGGTAATGCCCTATGGTGCTAACACTTACTTTTTTTGTGGTTATATAAAATAAGTAATCCAACCTATAATTAGGACAATTGGCTGCTACCCAAATAGGGCCTCAAGTTCCACCTGTCACACCCAAATCTTGCAAAAAATGATTATAATGCTTAAACACAGTCTCCTTATTGTCACTCTAGTTTTTTTCTAGATGGAAAAAGAGAGAGGTGTAGCTAGTGAATTTTAAGTCAAGAGCAGAACACTCAGTTTTATTCACCACGCTCTTACCTAGTCCAGGTTCTCCATCGGTTTCTTCCTCCCCTGCCCCAACTAGCTTGATTCTTTTACCTGTGCCCTTTTTCTTTGACAAATTCAATGGTAGAATTTTTAGATTCTTGACATTTTCTTACGTTGTGTTTTGTCGTATGCTTCCCCACCGCGCCCCCACCCCGATCCTTGTTATATTCCTTCCCTACCACACAGTCTGTCTCTCTCAAATTCTGCTGTGGATGGAGTTGGACGTGAATGGCTAAAGTTTCAGATTGTGGCCATCTTTGAGAAAATGACAGGGCGGGGGCCAGGACGAGGAGTAATGTTATTTCTAAAAGCTCCCTGCTCAGCAACAATAATGACTTTTACATTCTAGCGACTTTTCTTTATCTTTTTAGCACCATACATACCGAAACTTGAATTACTTCCAAGCTCCAAGGAATGATTCCCTGATAGGCTTATTTAAGACTCCTGGAAAGTCAATCTGGCAAAATTTGTTTCCAAAATGGGAACCCTTTGAGAAAGGAGGTGTTACATTACTCATGTCAATTTGTGAACAGTAAAACCAATACAGTCTTCTGTAAAACAAGACATTTGTGTTTGGATTTATGGCTCGATTTTTCAGTTCACTGTTAATTTGATTCTTGGAAAATAATAATGCTGTAGCTTGAAAGATGTGAGATTGTGGCTAGAGGGGGGTATGGCTTGAGATGAGACAGGTAGGGTTTATGTCCTTGCTGACCGCCCCCAGTTCTATGGATTTTTATTATTACTTCATCTCTCGAGATCTTTCTTTATTGTAAAACTATGATATCTTCCTATCACGCATATACAAATTAGCTGAAATGATGCTTGCTGAAGGTCCCACATAGTCTCTGACCTTGGAGAGGTGCTCAGTAAATGTTAGTTCCCATCTCATTTAGTCAAGTGGACCATGAATCAGGGTTCTTCAAATCTTTATGGGACAGAAATCCCATTGGAATTGGCTTAAAGGGGAAAAAAGTTCATTGAATCACTCAATGGAAAGTTCAAGGGGTATTTGACTGAGGCCCAGTATATCTAGTAGTTAAATGATGTCATCAAAACCTCCTCACTCCCCATCTCCCTTGTCCCATCTCTCAGTTCTGCTTTTATCTATGCTGGCTTCATTTTGGGGTAGCTTCTGACACATGGTGGAAAAAGCAACTATTGTAAATTTCTGGTATTATATGGTGCTTATATGTCATGATTCCAGGCAAAAAAGAGGCACCCTCTCATCTGCGGCATCCAGCCACATAAAGATCTCTGGTCGTCTTTGTGTTGTGTGCCATCCCTAGATCAGTCACTGTCCAGGGGATGGAGTGACTTGATTGGCGAAGCCAATGCCATGTGTCCATCTCTGGATGGAGAGGCAGAACCATTTGGTTAACCACTTTACTGAATCACATGGTGAAGGAGATGGACTAGTTCCCATAGGTATGCGAAGTAGGCAAATAGGTAAGAGACATGTCCATTAGAGCTAGTGATCAGAGTTCCCAAAGACAGATACAGCTGGCTGTAATATTTTACTGTGTGTGTGTATATGTGTGTACATGCATATGTGCTTCAAAGATGTCTTCAGTATGTTATGGTTGTGTATTACTTTAATCTCAGTGTGCTTCTGCTGAGGCCTGTGGTGTACTGCAGGCGGAATGAGAACTTCCTGAAATCATATACTGCATTTTGTATGTATGTAGAGGAAAAACATTTTTTTGAGTTATTGTTATACAATATGTTCTCTCCAATAAAATTACTAGGGGATTTTTACTTTATAAAATTCTGCAAGGTCTGGCTTGTCTTCTGCAAAGTGTTGGGAAAACTTTAGAAAAGGTCCTTTCACAACTATTTTTGGAACATCAGCCATATGGTTCAGATACTTCCTATTTCTTCCAGTGGGACCTCTTTCCGAATTAAGTAGAGTGAAAAGGAAAACATTGGTTTTTGAGACTTGGCTAAAATTATCTGTGTTTTTTAAAGTTTGAACTAATTACTTTGTGGGAGCTTTTGTGTTTGTAGTTGATAGCTTACCAGTTGTGGTGCATGCTAGTATAAACAAAGGGTAGAAGAAACTAGCTGTTTACATATTTCTTGTTATTTCTTCTGCATGAGGAACTTCTATTGTGTACTGCCATTTTGCTCCTTAATTCTGCTCTACTGCACCCAATTCAAACATCGGAAGCAGAAGGAAGAGCTTCCCTGTGTCTTCTAATTATATTATTTAACTTATCAAAGATCAAATTGGTTTACTCAGCACTGGATAGAAACAATTGGGCTATGACACTCTTTTTAAGAGGGATAAATCATGTGACCTTCGTTCTAGACTTGGGAGTTACGTGTAGACTTTTATACTAATCCTAGATCCGGGGCTTATTTCTTCTGGCTTTCTTAAATCACAAACTGTCTCTCTCTCTCTCTCTTTTTTTTCCCCCTCTTCCTCAAAATTTGTTGTTACCTATACAAGGATATGATGCTGTAAGGATTAAATTGCTCAAATCAAGGCAGGAACAATGTGCTTCTAAAATGGATTATCTTTTATTTCATTAGGTGTTAAAACTGGAAGAGACCTTGAAGATTCTCATCCTGCCTCTTTAAGGATAAACAGGTTCAAACAGGCTATGTATCTTAACTAAAGTCACAGAGCTACTAAGAGGAACAGAGTTGGGACTAGAGCCTAGGTTTTCCTTTAGACTAGTAATATTTTTTTCCAGCTATCCCACATTTTCTCAGGAAAAAATTTAACAAATTATCCCAAAAGCTTTATTTTCTTTATGATAGATCTCAAATATAATCTCTCTAAAGGCAAGAACCAAATTGGTCTTTTCCATTATTATATGCCTAGTAGCAGTGTTAGAAGCAGCAGCAGGGGTAGAATAATAATAATAGTAACAACAACAACAACAGACATGGGCACATGTCACAACCAGAGATGGGCACATAGCATTGGCTTTGCCAATCAAGTCACTCCATCCCCTGGACAGTGACTGATCTCTTATAGAAGAGCTTACTATGGCCAGACATTATTATTTGTACTTTACAGATATTTATTTAATCTGAACAAAAACGCTGTGTGCTGGGTACTATTATTATTATTCTTTGAGACAGAGTCTCGCTCTATCCCCCAGGCTGGAGTGCAGTGGCGTGATCTCGGCTCACTGCAAGCTCTGCCTCCCGGGTTCACGCCATTCTCCTGCCTAAGCCTCCTGAGTAGCTGGGACTACAGGCACCCGCCACCACGCCTGGCTAATTTTTTGTATTTTTAGTAGAAACAGGGTTTCACCGTGTTAGCCAGGATGGTCTCGATCTCTTGACCTCGTGATCTGCCTCGGCCTCCCAAAGTGCTGGGATTACAGGTGTGAGCCACCGTGCCCAGCCGCTGGGTACTATTATTATTTTCATTTTACAGATGAGAAAATTGGGCTGCCAGAATATAGAGCCTAGAAATATATGTAGAAGGTACTCAGTAAATATTTGATGAAAGAACGAATCCTTGAAGTTCAAAGCACTTTCATATTCATTATATAATGTGATGACAATAAGGGATGGTATTTTTCTGAGGACACCGCAGCTCAGAGATTTTAAGGAGACTCACCAAAGTTAGGGGGATAGTTAGTGGTAGGGCTGGGAACTACTTTGATCCTGGGCTGTGACCTTGTTAGTGTCATCGGTGGATTCCTATAAAAGCACATCCAAAAGGTAAGTGGCTAGGGAAATTCAGAGTCCAGGCAGTATCTGGTTTTGTATTTACCGACAGATCAGCCATTCCAGCTTTCTTCACTGCTTTGTGTAGGTCCAGATTTCTGTTTGGTCTCAATTTCTTTCTGCCTGAAGAACTTTCTTTAAAGAGTGTTGGACTTTGTTCTGGTGCACAGATCCTTTTTAGACTGCCTTTAAGCTTTTTCTAGAGCAGCCTGAGTCTAGGACCCTTTTGAATACTCTTCCTGATGTTTATGTATTACAAGGTTCTTCTACTCAGGCTGGTGGAAATGCCAGTCATTTCCAGCCCTGAGTGAGCCCCACATCCATGTGCAGATCAGTACTCAGCCTATAATTTGAGGTGACTCCTTTACAGATATCAAGAGCTATGGCTGCCTCTGATTCTCTGAACTTTTATCTCTGATCCCTCAATTCAACAAGACCCTTGAACTTGGTTTGGATTTCCTCTTTCTGCACAACAGCCTGGAGTAAGGGCAATCCTAGGGTTTGCCTTACTGGATGTTTCCTTTCTCTCAGCAATCACTGGTCTGTAGTACCTTTGTCCAGTGACTGAATACAGCTGTTTCATATATTTTGCCTGTTTATTAATTATTTGTAGTGGGAGAACAATTCCTATAGTAGTTAGTCCTTCATGGAATGGAAGTGGAAATCTGGCATCTTGTTTGAAGTTCCAAACATTAGCATCCCAGGGATACCTGTATGTCCCTGTTTCTCAAGAGCACAGATATCACCCTCTGCTTCCTTTTACTTCTTTCTATTTGATGCTCCCTATTTAAGGGAACATGGAAGTTACTGGTAGACTAAATTGCTATTTGATATGGTTTGGCTGTGTCCCCACTCAAATGTCATCTTGAATTGTAGCTCCCATAGTTCCCATGTGTTGGGGGAGGGTCCCAGTGGGAGATAATTGAATCATGGGGGTGATTTCCGCTTTCACTTGGCTCTCTAATTCTCTCTTGCCCGCCACCATGTAAGACATGCCTTTCATCTTCTGCCATGATTGTGAGGCCTCCCCAGCTATGTGGCACTGTGAGTCCACTAAACCTATTTTTTTTTTTTTAATAAATTGCCCAGTCTTGGTTATGTCTTTATCAGCAGCCAGAAAACAGACTAGTACACTATTTGAAGCAAGCAGAATATTCACTCTTGCTTGTTGAAGATGAGATGGAAAAACAGACCACCCCCTCTACAACATACACTCACTCCCATGCTGTTTCTTTTCTCACATAGCTCCTGGAATGCTGAGATGGCTTGAGAAGCCGGGGGTGTATGTGGATGTGAACTGATTATAAGCTCTGTGAGGGCAAAGCACACATCTCTTTTGTTCATCCTTATATACCAAGAATGAACAGGGGAGTGGACACCACTGCCTTCTTGAATGAATGAATGGAAATATACAAATTAGTACACACATGCAGAATTGTGAATCTGGGAGTGTGTGTTGGGGGCAGGGAGAGATTCTTAACTGCCTGTCAATTGTACCTTTTTGAGGAAAAACCAGTTTGACAGCTGTGTGAATGTGTACGTGTGGTGTGTGTGTGTATTTAGGTTGGTGAAGTATCTGGCATCACTGTCCTGGTTGCTTTTCCAGTATGAGCAAGTGCAGTTGTTAACAGCATGTTTTTCCACAAAGGGACTGGCTTTTACGTGACACTACCCAGTGAGGTGGGGCAGTGTTTTTAAGAGGAGTATCCATAAAGGCTAGTAGCCAGGTTAGCAAGAACATTTGTCACAGCTCTGCTTGCTGGTGATGAGTAGGAGGAGAACCAGTGAAGACTGGCTGTCCTGGTTGATAATTTTTGTGGAATGGAAAGTGGCACCTGTAAGATAACTGATGATCTCAGGGAAGGGAAAAGGACGGGGGGGCCAGGGGAAAGGTGATGTATGTAGAAATCATGAAATGAATGTATAGGAGTTAAGCATTTTTTCTACTGTGTCTTCACGTGGATCAAATGCATCCTTCAAATGCAAAGACTAATTTTCCTCCCTTTGTTATTTTGGGGTCTCTTTTGATGTCATACCACCTCTTATTTTGGCATTAACTTTCATGTCCTTTGCCTTTATCATTTGTGATCAGCTGCTGTGTTTCCATTTGGTGCCCTTTTGTAATTTATACTTTCAATACTGTATTGCTTGCTTGTTTAAGTTTGGGTCAGAAGCCATGAATGTGACAGGATACAATGTATTGCTATTTCAGTAGCTTTAGAATCTTCCTTTAAGTAGCAGGACCTTGAGATTACCAAGTGAATTTATTCCTGTGGAGTCAAACTTTCTAATAAATATCCAACAAAATATTACCTAATTAGACACTTTTAGTCTTTTATATAATATTCCTAGGGCCACCACCCAGCAAGTAGATGTTCTAAAGATAAGGATAGTAATATCTACTTCTGTAGCAAAAAAAATACAATGGATTTAAGAAAATTCTAAATTATACCATTTAGGTGAAAGTGAGCACCTGGCATTCTGTCACTAAGCAATGAATTGGGGTGACATTAATGTACAGAATTGTCTCTAGTGAATGGTTTGGTAGCTTTTCCCCCATCGCCCCATTGTAAATTGATGACAAATTTAAAAGAAGAAAGTCATTGCTCATATTAGTGTTGTACAGTTGAACAGATTGTTTTCATTTTGAGGACTAACAATTGTAGAGTTGAGTGTAGTAAAGTGGAAAATTGCAGAAATGAAAGCATTCTATAAACCATTCTTTAATTACTTTCAGAGCATAGCTATTCATTGACAGTGGCCTGTGTTTCTAGAAAGACAAAATGAGACGCTGAAGAACTCATTGCTTATCTCTGATTAATTGAGATAATTAATGGACTTAAAGTGCATTGAAAGTGCCTAGCATGTTGAAGAGGGTTGATAAATTAAAGTTATTTAAATTATTTTTCAAATTTACCATTTAGCCATTTTTCTGTGTACAGTTCAAAGCATATTCACATTGTTGTGAAACATACCTTGAGAATTTTTCATCTTGCAAAACTGAAACTCCATACCCACTAAACAAAAATTCCCCATTTCCTGCTCCCCTGTCCCCTGGTAACCACCACTCTACTTTGTTTCTGTGTATTTGAGTACTTTAGATACCTCATATAAATGGAATCATACGGTATTTGTCTTTTTGTGTCTGGCTTATTTCACTCAGCATAATGTCTTCAACATTTACCCATGTAGCATGTGACAAGTTTTCCTTCCTTTTTAAGGCTGAATAATATCCCATTGTATGTATATACCACATTTTATTTATTTATCTATTGATGACATTTGGGTTCCTTCCACCTCTCTGCTATTGTGAATAATGCTGTGATAAACATGGGCATGCAAATATCTGTTCAAAACCCTGCTTTTAATTCTTTTGGATATATTCCCAGAAGTATGGTTGCTGGAGCATGCAGAATTATATTATTAATTTTTTGAGAAACCACCATACTGTTTTCCATAATGGTTGTTCCACTTCATAATCCCAGCAACTGTACAGGGTTCCAGTTTCTCCACATCCTTGCCAACGCTTGTTATTTTCTGGTTTTTTGTTTTGATAGTAGTCATCTTAATGGATGTGAGAAGATATATTATTGTGGTTTTGACTTGCGTTGCTCTAATGATTAGTAATGCTGAGTGTCTTTTTATACGCATGTTGGTCATTTGTATGTCATCTTTGGAGAAATGTCTAGTCAAGTCCTTTGCTCATTTTTTAATGGAGTTATTTGGTTTTTTGTTGTTGGATTGTAGGGGTTCTGGATATTAATTCCTTAGCAGAAATAATTTTCAAATCCAATGTCATAAAATTTTTATGTATATTTTCTTTCATAAGTTTTATAGTTTGGGGTCTTATGTTTAAGTCTTTAATCCATTTTAAGTTAATTTTTATGTATGATGTAAGATAAGGGTCCAGCCTCATTCTTTTGCATGCAGATATTCAGGTTTCCCAGCACCATTTGTCGAAGAGACCCCTTTCGCCATTAAATGGTCTAGTCTCCCTTGTCAAAGATCATTTAATCATATATTTGAGAGTTTGTTTCTGGGCTCTCTGTTCTATTCCATTGGTCTCTATGTCTGTCTTTATGCTAGTACCATGCTGTTTTGATTACTGTACTTTTGTACTGTTTTGAAATCAGAAAGTACAAGACCTCCAGCTTTGTTCTTCTTTTTCAAGATTGTTTTGGCTATTCAAAATCCTTGAGATTCCATATGCCTTCCTGGATGGATTTTTCTGTTTCTGCCAAAGATGCCGTTGGGATTTTGATAGGGATTGCTTTCAATCTGTAGATTGCTTTAGATAGTGTTGTCATCGTAACAATATTGTCTTCCAGTCTATGAATATGGGATGTTATTTGTATCTTCTTTAATTACTTTCAGAAATGTTTTTTAGTTTTCAGTGTACAAGCTTTTCACCTTCTTGGTTGAAAGTTAATTTAATTTTTAAAAAGACTAGTTTTACAAACAAATAATAGCTAAACCACTCTAAACTTTCAGCGACAGGTTGATAATTAAGGAGAAAAAATGTAATCCAAGCTCATGTTAAAAAAAAAAAACAAGGAATTACAATGAAAGCAATTTCCATTTCCTTCTCTAGAAGGAGCCACTCTTAATGGGTTTTGGTATCTTATTTTATCACATGCTCAATAATTTCTTTGCATGTTTAAACAAGTATATCCATTTTACATTTATCATATACCATGTTGTGCAACTTGGATGGTTATTTAATATTGTTACTCCTTTAACATACCAGAAAAGATTTTTTAATTGAGTGTACCCTAAATCATTTAAGCAGTACTGTATTGAAAGCTTCCCGTATTTAGCCACTGATGACTTTTGCCTGTTTAACAATATTCCTCAGAATCTGAAGTCTAAATATTAACTTCTGTCCAAATACTCTGGCTTGGTAAGTGAGTAGGAGTAATAATTTAAAATAGAACTTTCCATGTTATTTCACTTAGAAAAAATTTTGCAAGAGAGGCAGTCTCTTTAGTGTTTAGTTGTCTTGAATTATCCAATAAAGCAATTAGTGTTCACACCTAATTATTTAGAAAATTACAGAGTTGGGTGGAGAGGACATGTTGGGTAGTATCAGCTTCCTTCACATTTCCCTCTTGATGACTGTGGAATGATGTTTTGTTTTGTTTTGTTTTGTTTTGTTTTGTTTTGTTTTGTTTTGTTTGACTCAGGCTTAAGTAAAGAGTGTAGTAATCCACTTACAGTAATTAAAATTCAGTAAAGATCTTTCTTTGCTTATTGTTTGTCTCCTGCAGCTTCAGAAGTGTTTGTTTAGCTATGTGAATAACTTCCCAAGGATATTTAGCACATGGAGAGGAATCCCCAGTGAGAAAACACACTCTTTCTTGCCGCCGCTGGTAATTTCTGTTTTGGTTGATGATTAGCTTTGTTTAATGAAAAGAGATTATATATGTGACCAGTTTACACACTCAACACATGTGCTTTTGTGTTCTTGGCTGCTAGTCTTATAATTTCCTCTACCCCTTCTCCATCCTCAAGGTCTGTGCATTATTTTTATTTTGTATAGGGCAAGCAGGTTTAAAGTGCAGATTAAAAGGAAACTCCTTTGTTTTCCTGAGAGTCCATCCCTCATTTTTTTGTTTTGTTTTGAGATGGAGTCTCGCTCTGTCGCCCAGGCTGGAGTGCAGTGGTGCGATCTCGGCTCACTGCAACTTCCGCCTGCCTCCCGGGTTCACGCCATTCTCCTGCCTCAGCCTCCCAAGTAGCTGGGACTACAGGCGCCCACCACCACGCCCGGCTAATTTTTTGTATTTTTGGTAGAGACGGGGTTTCACCGTGTTAGCCAGGATGGTCTCGATCTCCTGACCTCGTGATCCGTCTGCCTCGGCCTCCGAAAGTGCTGGGATTACAGGCGTGAGCCACCGCGCCTGGCCCATCCCTCAGTTTTGTACTTCTTCAAGGCTCTACTTTTGTGTGGCTTCCTCTTACCTGGAAATGACATCATTACCCAGTTCTTCCTAGGTCATTCTGGAAGTCACTTGTAATTCAATTGCCAAAGGAGCCTATTAACACAGCAGAACAAATTCCTGGCATCTTAGGTATTTTCCCAAAGCTTCATAGGCATGTTCCATTGGCATCCTTGTCCTGGGAGCCCTGTGTACTTATGTTCTAGAAGTCTGTAACAATTTCAGAAAAATCCATTGTTCTTTTCCAGTGGATATTTGCTTCCAAAATAATGGCAATTTTATTTCACTGGGACAGATACCACGAAACTGCTAATCATTTTGCTGTTCTCAAAATCATTGACTTCCTTTTCAGCTGTCTGTAATGAATATTAAGTGGCCATATTTGAGGGAATTAGGTTGCAACTAAGTAAACTTGGGAAGTGTATTCAGGAAGTAATTAGAGTTCTTATAGGACTATTGTTAGCATTCAGACCTCAATTTCATAATATTTCTTGATAAAAATCATAACTTCATTCTCATTCTCAAGACCATCTCTTTCCCCTTGTAAATTCAGTCACCATTTTTCATTTTATTCCATAAACAGTGTGATGACTTTTTTATTCACTGATAAGGAGGACCCCAAACATTTTACCCTTTAAAGATAGAACTTCAGGAGCATGTACTTGAGAAAATTACTGGAAACCAGCTTTAAAATTGCTGCAGCCACACATTCAGTGTCTTAAGTAGGATAAAATGTGGCTTATATGCACTTTTTTTTACAGTACCTGGAAGTAGAGGAGAGTTTTGGAAATTATATTGAATTCAGTCTTACAAAAATATAAACTTTAAATATATTTGATTGCATCTTTAAAATGTACCAAGTAGTAAGTTTCATTCATTTATGAACATACTAAAATCTCTTGTTCTTGGGTATATTTGTGATACCCCTATGATTTCTGATCCACAATAGAACTATAATTGAAACAAAGTCCAATAAAAGAAAAAATTAGTAGAACTCCCCATGTTCTCTTCTAACTGGCCCTGAGACCGTTTGAAGAACTTCTGACATAACGGCTTTAGTGAACTACAGAGTCTCTTAAAATTACATCTGGGAACATACAGAATTTAAAACAAAACAAATCATTGTTTAAAAGTTTGTCCCATTGTTATCCCTGTAGCTGGTCCCTGCAACCTTGGGAACATTCTTCCTCTCTGTATTTCATGAAGTTTGCATCTAACATTACATTGAAGTTTTTAAATTTGTTGGCTAACATAGAAAAACTTTTAAATGGACTATTTTTGTGGATGTACAAATGAGTAAAATACTGACAGTGAAACCGTCTGCATTTATGGGCATGGGTTTCAAGTATGCACAAAAAGCAAGCTGTAATTTTAAATGAAAGAGGCAATATAACAACTAAGGAGTTATTGAGGTGTATACTTAGAGTTTTAATGGGGTTATTGAGAAGGCTTGCAAACATCCTTTTTTCAGTAGGATACTGTCACCTGCATCATGCACTCAGGAGAGTTCATTAGCCACTTGAAAATCCATATAGATTCCACAGAGACAAACTTAGGTACATATGGAAATAATAGTTAACATTTATTGAGCATCTTGTGCGTGCTAAGCACTTGGTTAAATACCTCAGCTGTCTTTCAGTTAATACTTGAAACAATTCTGGAAGTATATGCATCCCGTATATAGGTAGGTACATACATATTGCTACAAATACAGTTTTTAAACATAATGGTGCTACATGTATATTGTTATAAACCTTTCTTTCTTCTCTGTCTTTTATTCTGAATATGTTCATTTTTTTCATGTCAGTCCCATGGACCTAGTACTTTCTTTGTAACCCTGGGCATAGGGTTCTTTAGCACTATTTCTCAAACTTTGCTGCACATTGGAATCACCTATGGGGCTTGGAAAAATACCCATGCCTGGGCCCCAACACCAGAGATTCCGATTTTATTGGTGTGTGGTACAGCATTGTTACTGAAGTATGAGACAACATTTATTAAAACATTCCCCTACTAAAAGACACATGATTCTCTATTACAAGTTAGGAAACCTGTTTTCTATTTCACAGTCATAATGAACACCTTTGTTGATACATCTTGGTGCCTGTGTATGAATGTATCTGCAGGTCAAATTCTTAGATATGCAATCTAGAAAGTGTAAGATGTGGATCAAAGGGCCCGTGCATTAAAATAATAACAGACACTGTCAGATTGCCTTCCACTGAGGTGGTGCAATTGACTTTCCCATCCACAGGTTAGGAGATTGCCCATTGTGGGGCTGAGGTTCTTCCCTCAGTCATCTTTCACTCCGCCGTGTTTTTTTTTTTTTTTCCTTTAAGTTTGTTGTATTTTTAGAGGATCGTATATCTAAATGCTTATGAAAGTTCTCAACATGAAGGGAGGTCGGGCAAGTTCTGAGTCAAGGCGTTATTTCTCTAAGTCTTTTTAATGTCATGTCTTTGGAAGTTTTATAGCTGACATACCAACTTAATGCCTTTAATCATCAGAGAAGATGTGTAGCAATACCTCCTAGAGCCACACAGCACCTGAAACAGGACAGTGTTAGAGGCGACTGTCCTCTCTACTGCCTTATTTCTATACTTCATCTTGCATACAGTTGAAGCGTTCATCATCTTTCCATATGCCTCTTTTGAACATCCATTATGTAAAATTTGTAAGTAGAATCTTTACAAAGGGCAGGGTGCTGCTTTTGAAGGGAGTTCCAGTTTTTATAATGTGATTCTGTCATTGTTTCTGGGTGGCTTCTCCTTGCTGCATCATCAGCAGGACGCATTAAGAAAAGCTGGAGCCGAGGTGTGGTGTAGTGCTGGCCATGATGCAAAGCTCAGCGTGCTGCCCCAAATGAGTCCCTCTGAGCAGCAGGCATTGTGGAGAGACTCAAGCTCTAATTAACAGCTTGCCACACTGTAATTTTCAACTCAGGACTCACCATATACTTAGCTCTCTCTAAACATTTTTTTACATTTGTAATGGCAAACTGTGGCAGTGTCCACATGTGTTCAGAATGATCTTTCTGAGGAAAAAGTGTGAAAGCCAGCGGCCCTGGGTGCTTATATCTTGAGGGTTTGCAGTAGATTTTCCATCTTGGTAATCAGTTCACAACCACTTCTTGGCCAGAGAAGATAACCTTCAGACTTAGAAAGCAAAAGGATAAGTAGATGTGATCAGTGACTGAGGATATCAAGGGGAATCATATCAGTATTACAAATGTCAGTGTCCTTGCAGTAACTAAATTTGGTATGCAAATATCAGAGTTTTTGTACAGTTGTTTGGATTGGAATATTAAACCTGCTGAATTCTTCAAAATATACAGGAAAGCTTTTTTAAAAAAATGCCTTTTCCCGTCCTGCTCCAGAAACCCTCAGAGAATTTCCCACAATTTGCAGATAAGCTGACCAACCTGCAGAGCCCTTGATTTAGTGATGACAACTGCCCTATAGAGATTAAACCAGTCTCATGCCAGGAATTTACTCTGCTGATACACACAGGAATGTCAGAGAAAGGAATCTGGTTAACATATTTCCACCAAACAGTGGTTAACATATTTCCACCAAACAGTAGTTAACAAATAAATCCTCACCCCCAACTTTTTAATGTAGTTCCCACTTCCCTTTATAGTGTCCACTCAAAAGCCATCAAACATTTCTTGAGTACTTCAGGGTGCTAGATGGTATGAGGAGACAGAGCATCTCATTTAACCTTTAGACTATGCCTGTGAACAGTTTCTCCCTGGGCTAAGAAGCAATCTTCCCCTTGGTGTGAAACATGAATTGGCATGTTTCTTTTAATTAGTACAGCTACATGATCCATCCATTTTCTTTTTTTGCATGGGCTGCTTGGAAGCTCACACCAAAGTGTTGTGCTCTAGCTTTCCTAATCTTAGATTTTTTCGTGTACAGCCCCCTGGGTTTCTCCCACCTTGACTTTCTGTGTTTCATTCTGTGTTGAAATTTTCGTCTCATTGTGTTTTCATTGTAAACCATCTTAATTCACTTTCTTACAACAGAGGGGAGGCAAAAATATGTACAACTTTATTTTTACAGATGATAAAACTGAGTTTCAGAGGATGTAAGTGTCTTTCCTAAAGTCATTCCAAGAAAGAAGTGGTGGAGCTGTTATTTGAACTTGTGTTGCAATTCTGCGGCTGCCTATGTGATATTGTGTCTATCAGTTTTTCCCTAACTGGAAAGCACAGGCATCTTCGTGAGAAAGTTGGAGGTTTCTTAATTGTTACCAGAGAGTGAGGCTAATTTTAACCAAGAATCTTTGTTCTTTGTGATGTTTCATTTTCTCCTGTTGAAATTGTATTAAAGTAATCTTCGCATAAAAGTAGGAGAACATAAAAAGAGGAAGGTAATTAGTGAGTTTTAAAATTTGCTTTCAGTGTAAACATGAACATATAAAGACCTCTGGGCAAAATTTTGTTTCTTTATTTTCAGTTCAGCAAACTGTCATTTACCAAGTATGCCAAGAGCCATTTTTCTCCACAGAAGCCTGTGTAGAAATAAAAATTATACCTCTTTGGCAATAAAATGCCTCCATGATAAAATACAGTTATAATATTTGAGAAGGAACAAGATTGAACAACATCTGGTTTGGGGCTGTGAGGGCTGGGAGCAGTACTCACTTCCCCAGGGGACCCTGTCTAGGCCTCACCAGGGAGAGGGACTTAGTGTGACCATGAGCCCTCAGCCCAGAGTACCTCCAGTATCTTCTTTAATCCATAGTAAACTTTGCTTCAAGATATGGTAAACATAATTGTTGAAATTAAGTATATATCTATTCAACTTCGCATCTCTCAAAATTTGCCTGCATTATTTCAATTGTGAGGAAGTTAAAAAATGCCTAATAATATATTTCTTTTTTAAACAATGTCTTTTAATATTATTTGCATTTTCTATGTGGATGGCACCAAAGGGTGGACTGCTTGTTTGGGAAGATCTGAAGCCTTAAATACCAAAAGTGTGCTCCTTGTGGTAGGGGGACATTTTCAGAGGCAGCCACATTTACCTGTATTTGTGAAGACTGACTTTAGGGGTCATTACACCTGGATCATAGAGGACCAGAGTGTGTAGAGTACAGGTGATTGCCGGTATCTTGTAACATACAAGTATTCTTTTCCATGACTGCTGGCCTTAGTCTCAGATTTTTGAAAGAACTGCTGGTGATTCAGGAAAGTTGCATTCTTTTGTATATTTGTAAAGAACAAAACTTGGCCTCTTAGATGAGGGAGAGCTTTGATGTGACAAAGCTGGCTGTGGAGTTGTAATATTTTATGTTTTTGTAGCCTCCACAATTTAAATTTGTCTTTGTACGGTATCTGAGTGGATCCCTTAGAGACAGATTGGAACCCAGAGGGAGAAAATTATTTGCATTTCTTTTGACTTCAGCTTACATTTGTTTATTGACTTAACTCACAGACTAGCAACAGGTCAGCAGGGGGAGGGCACAGCTCTCTGTGAGCTGTGATGTCTTCGGGTGCTCCAAGGACACTTTGGGTTTGGCTCCTCTCCCAGATGATCTAGACGAGATGTCTTGGCTTCCAGACTCTGGTTTCTGTCACGTGAACAGCACAAACTTCCTAACTCGAGAACCTTGTTATATTGGCTTTAGGGATTTATACCCTAAACCCATGGTTATGGTATTACGTGACACAGAACAGTTGTTGCCAGCTTTTTAGGATCAAAACTTGGAGGTCCTCTTCTTTGCTGCTTACATGCAGAGTTGGGCATAGTGTTTCTGGCAGGGCTTGGAGAAAGCCTGTTAATTACATGCTGGTTGAGGCCTGGTTTGGCCTGAGGGTATGCATGGACTTCACCTGGGTGCCCTCCTCCCTTATCTAGGGAGAAAGTGGGCAGTTCTGGCTTCCACTCTGTGTCCCCTGCCTATGCTGAGGCAGAGAGAGCAGACAGAAGTAGAAAGTGTTTTCAGGATGCTAATGGCTTTTTTGAACATTTGCATATTGGTTTCCCTGTGCATAGATGCTCTCATTATTTTCCTCTTGCCTCAGAAAAGTTACTGGGTCTAGAGGACCACCTGCTGGGTGAAGTTCCAGGAGCCACTCCAAGAAGTGCCCTATTAGAACATCCTTTTGTGATCAAGTGTATGGGCAGGGCTGTCCCTCCACTGAACACACTGACTGAGAAACGCCCTTTCCGTTTCCTGATGGAGAGGATGTTGAAACCTGCGGGGAACACACAATTCCCTTTCAGACGTTTCTCCTATAAGCTTTAGACTATATCCCGTGATTTTTTTTTTAAGCTCCAAATAGTATTTGGCATCTGGTGTATTTGGGAAATGAAACCAGACATGAGGAATGTGAGAGAGGAGAGGGATGGCCAAGGAGAGAAGCAAAGTAGTTTTTTTCCTTTCACATTTTTCTTGATAAGACAATTTGGGTTAACATTATTGTGTTGTTGCAATGCAAATTACACATCAGAGCCCTCTGGAAAATTGCAAAATGTGAGGTAAACTGCAGTTCTGAAAACATGGGTGTGGCAACTAAAGTGGAGGGTCCCCCAACCTTTCTCTTTAAAGATGCTCTTATTGCATAACTCTGTTTTCTTGTCCTTCTTTTTATGGTTGTGACATGAATTCTATTGTTTCAGAAATTCCAGAGACCATTTATAGTACCAGAACAATGACTATATTTTAGTGTTGAGATTATAATTCTTAGGAAAATTCAATGTCAAATGCTGTCTATCTTGATTCATATAATAGAAGTGGGGAAGAACAATTATGGTCCCCACTGCACTTTGCAAGTGGATGTAAAAACTCTCACAACTTCTAACCAAGTTGGTGGCTCTCAGGAACTAATTGTCCCTCCCTCCCTCCCTCCAGCATATCTTGACTGCCATTTCCACTAAACCCCTCTAGCTAGAGGAAAACCTTGGCAATTGGATTCCTCAGTCTGGACAGTCATCTTATAAATGTGTGGCAGAAGTCCTGATGGATCAATTAAAATAGTCTGCATATCAGCAAAAATCTGTTTTGTTTATGCCAACCTTAACATTTCACTCATGTATTAAATACTGATTGTGTCTTGGTTTGTGGAAAACAAACTTTACTTATCACATATATTGTGACTTGACATTATCAAAGGGAAAGTATTAGGGAGGGTTTTCTTGTGGACTGTAGGTTGTTCTCCAATGTTTTATCATCATAATTATCATCATCCACATTCCCTAAAATTTGGCCTCAGTTTTTGACTGTTGCTACATTGAGAGTCTTGCCTGTTTTGTTGAAGAGCAGTACAAATGACTCTGACTTCTAGCTAGGCCACAGATGGATTGGATTTCTTACTCTTTGCTAAGGAAAATGCACCTGCTCCAGAATCTTAAGAAGCTTTTTAAATTGTTTCCTTGTGTATAGCATAGCACTAGTCATCTGTAATGTTATAGATGGATTGCAGTTTGGATGTCCCAGAAGTGACTTCTTCCTCTGCAACAATGCCAGAAGCTGAGATTAGAAGATGTGCTCTGGTTCAGGGCCCAGCTGTCATGGTGGAATTAGTCCTCTTCCTCAGGCTGATCTGATTAAAAAGAGACCGATATGGAAACCTAGGTCCCTAGTTTCAGAAGCTATGCATTCCTTCTTCATCGGACAGGAAAAGGACCAACTCCCCTCCCTGCTGTATGTCTGCACTAGACTATGATCTCCCAAAATGGCATTTTGAGTTTTCTTCGTCTGTGTCTCCAGTACCTAACACTCTGTGGGTGTATTGAGGAGGTTCAGATCATGATGGCTGAGTCAGTGAATATTTTCTTGGGCAAAATGTTGACTGAATATAAGATATTGGGGAAATGTCTAAAAGATTTTATCAGCGAGTCTCTTTTCAATGGCACTTACTTGGGAATGAGTTGAAAAACTATGCACCAGCTAGTTTGGCCAGAAACTCCTCGCTCTTGGGAAGCTGGAAAGCTGCAAATATCCCAAGGATGGAATTCATTTATGAGGCTTCTGTCAGCATCAGAAAGCTTGACAAGTGCCTAAGGAGAACTTGATGATCTGATTGGCTTCAAATGTCTTGGTGGGTTTGAAAACGGATCTGCAGACAACTATGGGAAGAACACCCAGTCACGTATCTCTGACATTCAGAGGTGAGACCATCTGTTCACTTAGGAATTTATACTTTTGCATTCAACAAACATTTGTTGAGAATATACTACGTGCCAGGGATTGACTAAAACTTAATCCCTGCCATCAGGATCTCACAGTCTAGTGGGGGAAATGGACATTAAAAAAAAAAAGGCACTCAAATATGTATATCATGCTAGAGGTGTAGAAAGAAATGTGTAACTGTCCTGGGAAACTGAAGGCCTACAAAGCAGCAGTATTTGAGCAGAATCTTGAATGGTGAGTGGAAGAGAGCCAGATAAGGAAGACACCGCAGGCTGAGGACACTGTAGACGTGTGGGCTGAAAAGTGCAACCATTGCCGAGGACTGATGAGTGCACGCACGTGCCTGCGTATGAGGCATGTTTAGGGTATTGGGAGATGTGGGCCGGAAAATAAAGTTGGCAAGGGTCAGGGCAGAGACCTCCTTCCAGCACGTAACTCCTCTGGTCTGGACCCTGCCATCTTCAGCCTCTTCCTTCCTAGCACCCCCACGACTCAGCATCCACCATGGCCCATTAGGCTTCAGCCACATTGGTCTTCCCTAGTGACTCAAACATGCCGGCTCCCCACCTGCCCTGGTCTTCACACACACCTCCTTTAACCCAGAATCCTCTTCCCCAACACTTTGCAGGGCTGGTCCCATTTTATCCATCAGGTCTCAGCTTAAATGCATGTGGTCAGGAGAGGCCATCCCTGATCATACTATCTGAAGGACCTGCCCTCCCACCACTACCACCATTGCTCTTCACGTTCTTCCTTCCATCCCCTATAACATGAGCCAACTTCAGGAATAATGTTTTAGTTTTCTTGATTTTTTTCCTGCCTTCCCCAAAGCACACAGGCATCTTTTCTCATTTTCATCCCTCTTCCCTTAGTGCCCAGCACAGTGTTTGGAATATTTGGCTCATAATTTTTACTTGATAAACATTTGACTTAATGATGAAATGGATGGATATGATGGGCTGGGGCAGCTGTTGTTACTTTTATGATGTATGGGCTTCTCCGCATAAACATCTCTACCTTTACCAGCAAATCAAGTGTGTTTGGGCATGGGCAGCATTCAGGGTATTGGGAGATGGGGGCTGGAAAATCAAGTTGTTAAGGGCCAGTGCAGAGACCTCTTCAGTGTGTGGCCCCTCAAACTTCTGTCTTCCTGATGGCCCACCTCCTTCCATCTTAAGTCTCACCTATGAAATGGGGGTGATGAAATGAAGTGATAGTCTCCTCTTAAGTCTTACCTGTGAAATGAGAATGATGAAATGAAGTGATGGGTGCGAATATGCATATTAAATCATATATACTGGGCAGTTGTTGGGATCACTAGTCAGTGAAGTGCTAGGGAAGTTAAGGTGGGCAGGTTCTTCTGAGGGGTCCAGCGGAATGATTCCTTTTGTTTCCTGTTTTGGTCTGTATCTGAAAGACTAGGCTCTGAATAGTGGAGCTCCATATATGGGGAAAAAATGGATGCCTGTTGGAAATCTCCAACACATGCCATCATCTAGAGTTTAGGGATGGGTTTAATAAAGGACCTTGTATTTGGGGATCCATGGAGGAGCCAGCATAAAATCTTGGCCTTTGGGTTTCACTGAGGCTTCCACATACAAATTACCTGTCAAAGGCAATATTTTGGTACTTATTGAAAGGATTTCAATTAGGTTCTTAAGTATAGTAGACTCTGTGTCTTATTACCCATCTCCGAAACTAGCCAAGAACTTCATATTCTTTTGTTTACAGAACTGTTGGGATTTTCTTTTTAAGACTTGAAAAATGCTCTGGACTGATTTTTAGATCTTAACGTTACCCCCGACTTCTCGCCCCTCCTCAGTGCAGCCAGAATGTAATATAACTTGGGTTTAAGTGAAACTTGTAGCATGCAAAAGGAAAACTATTGCTGTTTATTTATTCTGTAAATACTTTGATTGTACCTCTGTGTGCAAAACACTAAGTGACATGTGCCATGTCACTTTTCCTCCCGATTCTTCAATGAGGGAATAAAGACCCAGACCTCGATTTACAGTTAACTGTTGGCTGTACATGATGGAGGTCACAAAATGCTAAGAGAGCCCAGACCATATCTAGTTAGGCAGATTAACAAGACTGCCTGAAAGAGATAGCTGGAAATGAGCTTTGAAGGCTGAATGTGGGCCGTAGGACCCTGCATGAGCTGGTCCTTGCCTATTTTAGCTTACTTAATTTTCTTGCCCTCATTTCCTGGTAGCCTGAACACTGCCTTCCTGCCCTGTCTTCCTGGGGAACACTTCCCCATCCCCCACAGTCATACAGACCTTGTCAGTAGTCCCAGAATGATCTCTCTTCAGTTTACCAAGGATAAGATATGGGACACTGGCCTGGCTTCTGAGTGGGATGTGGTCCCTGCCCTGAGGACACATACCAGAGACAAATATTAACAGTTATATTTTAATGAGATAAGTAATGACTCCCATGTCCTAATGTACATCAGCGCTGCTGCTGCCTACCTGTGTTGGGTACAAGAATTGAGATTAGGCCGGGCGTGGTGGCTCACGCCTGTAATCCCAGCACTTTGGGAGGCCGAGGCAGGCAGATCACGAGGTCAGGAGATCGAGACCATCTTGGCTAACATGGTGAAACCCCATCTCTACTAAAAATACAAAAAATTAGCTGGATGTGGTGGCGGGCGTCTATAGTCCCAGCTACTGGGGAGGCTGAGGCAGGAGAATGGCGTGAACCCGGGAGGCGGAGCTTGCAGTGAGCTGAGATCGCGCCACTGCACTCTAGCCTGGGCAACAGAGCAAGACTCCGTCTCAAAAAAAAAAATTGAGATTAAGCATTTAAACTTTTATAGCAATTTGACATTGCTGAGATCTTTCAGTTTATAACAGATTGGATGAAAACAACTAGTCCTTTACCACAGATAGTTTGAAAAGCTGGTATGTAGATTAACCTAACTTGGATATTTTTGATAGGAACATTTTTGCATACTCATGCTCATTTCCCCCTCTAATATAAGCAGATAATCATATCAATGGGTTTTTTAAATCTCACTTTATTAATTGTGAAAATAGTATGTCTTCAATATGCCAACTTAGGAAGTGCAGAAGAGTCTTTTTGTTTGTTAAAACAAACAAGGTAATCTCTACATTTGTCACAGAACTAACTGCTGCCTGTATTTTGTTATATTTATTTTGTCCTTTTATCCTGCTCATATATGTAAATTTTTTCTCACAAAAATGGGACACTGTATTGTTTATTCTTTATGTGTTTGCATGTCATTAAATATTATTTTACAAAGGGCTGCTTGGTAGTCTGTTATCTAGTTGTACCATAATTTATTTACCTTTTCTGTATAGTCCTTCATTACAAGCACTTATTCTATGCCCTTATTTGCTCTTGCAGATAATGCTTTGGAAATTTCTGTGAAAACATTTTTGATAATATCTCTGAATATTTCCTAAGCATACATTTTCAGAAGTAGAAATACTAGGTCAAAATGTGTGACCATTTTAAGACTTTGATAAATTGCCCTTCAGAAATGTAGAACTGAATTTCAGCTATCAGTAGCAGTGGGTGTACTCTCAGGATTGGTACTTTCAGGGTGGGAGGATGTTGCTAGACAAAGGCAAGAGCGAGAAGGAATGAGTAGTCTACTTGGGTGGAAGGTGAGAGGAGCGCAAGATGTTTATGGGGCATGGAAAATGGCCTGTTGAGTAAAGTGTAGGATATTTTTGAGGAAGTAGGAAAGACAGAAAAGTTGAGCTGAAATCCACTGAAAGCCAATTTAGAATGGTATTGGGGAGCCATTGGCAGATTTTTCAGCAGGGATATGAGAGCCAGGGCTCTGCTCTGAGAAGATGGTGGCATATACAGCACAGTCTATACTATACCACTCATTCCCTGTACCCTTCATGCCCCTTCCTACCTCATGCCTTTGCTTGTACTGTTCCCTCTGCCTAAAGACCCTGTTTTCCATATTCTGTCAAAACTCCACTCATCCATCAGGGACCACCCCCAGATCCTGCTCAGTTTACATGGCACTTACTGGCATATTACCTTTATTATAACTATCTGGTGAACTACTGTCTCTCACTAGATTATGAGCTTCTAGTGAGTGACCTGTTCATTTCCATATGCTTAGGTGACTACTGTCATTCCTGGTACATAGTGGGTATTAATGCACATATGCCAAAGGAATCCCAATTATGACATATGTCTCAGTATGACCTTGCACAAGTACACCCTAGGCCAGGAGACATATGCTTCAACAGAACAGGATGTTGGATGTTTGGCTTAGTCTTTATTTAAGAGCCAGTTACAGCATCATTGTGGACTCTGTGATAGACACCCTGCTTTTAACCTTTCCCTCTCTTCCCGTCACAGAACCTCCCAGTTCCTGACTGTAGAGACCACTTTGCCTTCAAGTCAGCGGAGGACTAGACTGTGGAAGTCTCTGGAAATTATAGTTGTTTATGAGTGCTTTTACTTATTTACGTAGTAGTGTTAATTACAAAATCAAGAAATTGGCTACAGATTTTGGAGTTGGATTATCTGATTTGGAAGATGCCATAAGTCGATGGGTTGGAGTTTACTTTTAAAACTTAAGAACAAAAAAAAGTTCAAGGAAGGCATCTGTTTTCTCACTGTCCACATTTGTTAAATGTTGACAAACTTGACCCTAGTCTTTCTTCTATGTGTATACTTTTATATTTAAGTATATAAATAATGCATTCACAGCCTTGTTCTACCACCTTCCCTGACCAAGATATGTTTCTCCTCCCCTGCCCTTCCATCTCTTGAAGGACCAATTCTCATCCCACCTTTTTTTTTTTCTTTTAACCTCATCTCTTTTTTAACCTCATTGAAGACTTATAACAGTTACACATCTAAATGTATCCACTATTCTTAAAAAAGCATGAAAAGAACATTTTTTTTCTTGCCTTTTTCTAATCTTATTCCACTCTCAGAAGAGAGGAATTAGGGATTTGCTGTCTATCCTTCTGGACCATTTGGTGGAAATTAATTTACATGTATGGCTTTTTGTATGACGTTTTTAAAAAGACGCAATGGCATCATGCTATGCCTATTGTTCTTCTTTGACTTGGTTTTTTCAATAGACAGTATCAACTGGAAATCTTTCCAAGGCAATATATACAGTTGTAACTTAAAACATACCCTCTATCATCATTAAAAACATGTTTTTGTGGTGAAAATTTGGATTCAAAAGGGTAAAAATGAAAATGAATAGTTCTCCAACCCTCTGTTTTTATTTTGAGGATTACTGCTATTAGTAATTTCTTTCATATATTTATAAATACATACATTCTTTAAATCATGTACTCCTATAGCATTTTCAACATTTTCCCATATCTACATATACAAATGCCTTGGTTCTTTTAAATGAGTGTATAATATTCTATTAGTGTGTGTGTGTGTGTGTGTGTGTGTGTGTGTGTGTGTGTGTGTGTAATTTAACCATTTCCTTTCCTTGCTGGTGAATTCATTTTCTCTTTTCAGTTTGAAAATTTCTGGCCCATCTAGCTCAAGTCCTGGCTTTGTTGTAAATTTGAATTAGTTAATACAGTGAACATTTATGGAGTGCCTTCTCTCTTCCTGGGATTGTGCAGGGCACTAGGCCCACAAAATACTTGATGCACAGCCGCTTCCCCTCACTTCAGTTACCACAGCCTAACAGGAAGACACACTCATAAAGAGCTTAGAATGTGATCATGCTAAAGTGGATATATATGTCATAGCATATATGTTATTCTATTTAGGGAAGAGAACTTTTAAATCAGTCTGGAATCAGACTTTAAAAGATAAGGAAGAGATCTCCTAGGGGGCAAGGAAGAGAAGGTCAGTCTTCCAAGAAGAGTAACAAGAACAAACTAGGTCGGCAGGAAAGGGAATGTGATGTACAAAGAACAGACAGTAGCTCAGTGTGATTAGAGTGTATGTTGTCAGGAGAGTGGCTGGAGTTGTCCTGTTTGCTCAGCAGTTATTGCAGGAAACAGTCAACAAATGAATAGAAGGGTGTGTGTTCTCTGTCCAAGTGGACTCCAAACCCACTCGGTGTTGTTCTCTCTGTGCCCTGCAGGGCGCACACAGTGTCGTCAGCACACGGAGCTCTTTCTTGAGTTGGTCTGGCCTTTTAAAAATCATTTTATCTGTTCCTGTACTCTTAACCATGTCATATCCTCTTTTTGCAGCGTTTAGTCACATCAAGAAATAGAACAGAATTCAGCCATGGCCCCAAGAAAGAGAGGTGGACGAGGTATTTCATTCATCTTTTGCTGTTTCCGAAATAATGATCACCCAGAAATCACGTATCGGCTGCGAAATGATAGCAACTTTGCGCTTCAGACCATGGAACCAGCATTGCCCATGCCCCCTGTGGAGGAGCTGGATGTCATGTTCAGTGAACTGGTGGTGAGTCCCAGTTTTCTATCCTGGCATTGGTGGGGAGCCAGAGAAGGAGAAGAGGAGAGGATGTGAATGAGTTGGTTTGGTTTGACATGGACTTTTCCTTTTCAGTGAAATGGCCCCCATTCACCTTTATGTCTGCACCCTCACTGTCAGCACTAAACCTGTGGAGAAGGAAGAGTTAGAAGAGGGTAGTATTACTACATCCAAGTGCTTTGCTTGTGCTTTAAGTGGGTGGAGGGATTTAGACCTTCAGTTCTTCAAATATGTGGCAGTACTGCATCTTAAGTTGCCCTTCCTAATTTGTCTCCATCCCAGTCCTTAGTCTATACATTATGCTAAATAATTCCTTCATTTACTTCACACCTATTGGGATTCCCTAATGCTCCCCTACCCCCACACCGAATGTACAGTATTAACGTATTTTTAAAAAATTAGTCATACTTTCCATCCTGTCATTGATCCTTTGGTGAAAGACATTATTACTTCAGTACAGCATCATTATTTAGCCTAATGATAGGATTAGAATAATAACTGCTGTGGGAATCTTTTTATAGGTACTATCATATTTTAGAATCAAATATACTGAAATGAAGGATGCATCTAGTGCAGGACCCATTCATCAAGAGATGTAAGTACATTCTTCAGCTTAGCTTTTCAAGCATCAAGTAGTGTTTCTATTCTGTATTTCAGAAGATATTATGGCATAGTTTAAAGGGGTGCTAGCATAGGACTTAGGAAGACTTTTTTTCAAATCACTGCTTTGATTTTATCTTCATAATTGTAAAAAATCATGTTATTTTTCTGTTCCTGTTTTCTGAAGGAAAAAAACATCTTCTTCTAGGTTTGATATAATGTTTCAGTGAGAACAGCACACAGTGGGAGTGGCCCAGTGCCTGGCCTTTAAACATGCTTAATAAATGTTACATGAATACTGTATCCTGCTTTGATCACCACTGGCATTTTGTAATGGAATTAGTTCTTCTTTTTTTTTTTTCTTCAACTTTTATTTTAAGTTCTGGGGTACATATGCAGGATGTGCAGGTTTGTTACATAAGTGAACATGTGCCATGGTGGTTTGCTGCACAGGTCATCCATCCCATCACCTAGGTATTAAGCCCAGCATCCATTCGCTGTTCTTCCTGATACTCTCCCCAATCCACCATCCCCCTGCCTCCTGCCACATGCCCCAGTGTGTGTTGTTTCCCCCCATGTGTCCATGTGTTCTCATCATTCAGCTCCCACTTATTAGTGAGAACACCTGGTGTTTGGTTTTCTGTTCATGCATTAGTTTGCTGAGGATAACGGCTTCCAGCTCCATCCATGTTCCTGTAAAGGACATGATCTCATTTGTAATGGAGTTAGTTCTAAATGGACCATTTATATTGTTCAACAGACACTAGAGAATACTATTCATTTTGCATGATTCTTTGGTCAAGGACATACTGTAAGCTGCGTTAGTGTTCTCCTTGGTTAATATCTGAACTGACCATGTCACTCCAACTCTTATAGACCAGAATTCATTTATAAAGCAGAAAGATAAGCCAATATGAGAGAGGTTATGAAGCTGATGTTTGATTTCTGGTCTCCTGCGTGGAGCGATGGGCCTATTGCCAACCAGAGTTGGTCGGGAAAAAGGAAAGATGACTCCTACCAGTGTACTTACGCTTTATGATCTTGAATATTTTCAGTGTTTAAGGAATCTCTTCCTTCTTTGATCTCCACTGCATGAAGAACTCTGTTGCAGGTGTTAACAAGGAAGTTTGAAATAGAAAGCCAGAACCTGCCCCCCAAAGATCTGACAGTAGTAGAAGGAGATCCATTATGAAGAAGGTATAATGGCAACAAAAGAATAATCACAAATTACCTGTGTGTGTAATATGTGTTGTGTGGTGTGGGTCAAGGAGATGAGGAAGGTGGTTAGGGAAGACTTTATGGAGGAAGTGAGCTGTCAACAGGAATTGAAGGTGAGAAGAAAAGTTGGGGGGAATCCATGTTAATGACTGTCTCAGTCATCTTAAACTAGGTTATGCTGTGATAGCAAAACCCCAGTGGTTGCAACAGCAGAGGCTTATTGCTTGCTGTGCTGTGTGTCTACTGTGGGTCTGCTATAGTTCTGCTCCTTCCTGTCTTCTGTCCTATACCCAGGAAGGGTGGAGGAGGAAAGGCAAACCTGGCAAACCATTCATAGGCTCTAAGCTTATGCTTGGAAATAACAGGTGTCACTTGTGCCCACATTTCATTGGCCAGTGCAGATCACATGGCCACACCTGAGTTTGCATATAAGGAGGCATCCTTCTTCTGTAGAGACTGGTACCACAAGTCATGTGGCCAAGGCTGAGGTCATGGGGCAGGCAGATGACACATAGTCCTCTTCTAGGGAGGGGCAGTGAATCATCTACCAAGACAGCAATCAAGAAGGGCAATAATGATGCATTGACAGGCAGGGTTTCCCACTTAAAATGTTTTAAAACTGAAAGTCTCTTGTTCAAGTTGGTGTTTGGATTAAAAAAAAGAAAAAAAAAAGTCAACCAAAGGACATAGGTGTTGCTGATAGCTAATGACTGCCCTCAAGTTGGTGTTTGGATTAAAAAAAGGAAAAAAAAAAAGTCAACCAAAGGACATAGGTGTTGCTGATAGCTAATGACTGCCCTCAGTGGTAGTAGAGCTGGTAGGCAGAGCTGGCACCCTCAAAGCATTCCACATCTACAGTTATATTCTGTCAGTCTCCCAAAATGAGAGCGAGGAGCCCGTGTGGTGGTAGCTTCATGTACGTCTTGAAGACAGCTCATTGTTCTGTATTCATAAGGGAGAAAATTCCACTCTCTCTGCCTTATTGATGTCTCCATTCTGTGTGAAAATTGCCTACAGCTGCTAGTTGTGAGAAAGCCAATGCCAAACCAGAACTTTAAGCTGAAACCATTGGAGAACAAATTATCTTGAGGTTTGTATCTGTCCTGGTAAGTGAAGGATGAATTTTTGTCTACTCTTGACTTCAGGGACTAAGACCACAAATCTATCCAATTGTAAGGGGTGGCCTGGCCAAGAGAGGTAGGCTCAAAGCTGCTGCAAACCTCTGCCCCAGGTTCTCTTGAGTAATAGCTGAAGCAATTCTGCCTCTGGCCTGGTACAGCGGAGGGAGGCCACATGTGGTGGTGGACAGTGCCTGGTCTCTGGAGTCAAACACTTTTCCCAAATGCCAGCTCTGTAGCCTAGGAAATCTCCCTTTAAGATTATTTCTGTTTGAATTTTAGTTGTTTCCTTACCTATAAAATGGAGATAATACCATCTTGCTGATAGGGTTGGTGTAGAGGTGAAAGAAGATAACCTTTAAAAAGTCTGGCACCTAATAGATGATTTACACCCCACAGACAAATACTGCAAGAGGGATGAGAGATAATTCTAGTGTCTTCTAGACACAACACTCTAAGCAAATATTTCAGTTGTTCCTTTTCTTGAAAGCAAATCTGCCCTGGTGTGAGCGGGCCAATGTGGGTCCTAACTTGCAGACCATCTTACCTCTGTATCTGTTAGAAAGCATCTCATCAGAGCTGGTTGTTGTAAGCTAGTTTCCTTTGCCTCATCTCATGAGTCACTCATTTGATGTTTTTAAAAGTGATACCAAGTAGATTTCTTTCAGAATTGGTTACTGCAACCGTATCACCTCATTAGTAAAGCAAGCCTCAATAGGAGGTCAGCCATGTGAATCTTTAAAGAAGGTGGGCAGCATGGAGCACCTTGTTCTCTAGTAGGCTCCCTGCTGTAGGCAGGGGAACCAGAATTAGTCCTACCTCAGGATTTAGCATTGTCTTTCTAGTCTCATCCTGCTTAACTTAAAAAAAAAAACAAAAAACAAAAACAGCTTTATTGAGAAATAATTCATATATAATTCACCTATGTAAAGTGTGCAATTCAGTGGCTTTTAGTATATTAATAGAATTGTGCAACCATTACCAAAATCACTTTTAGCAATCACCCTAGCATGTGACCTCTAAATCCATAAACCATCACTCCTCATTCATGCCTAACCCCAACATCCCCTAACAAACAATAATCTTCTTTGTGTCTCTGAGAATTTGGCTACTCTGGATAGCTCACATAAATGGAATTATACAATATGTGGTCCTCTGTGACTGGCTTCTTTGACTTCACAGAGTGTTTTCAAGGTTCACCCTTAGAGCATGTACCAGTACTTCATTCCTTTTTCTTGCCTAATAATATTCCATTATGTGGATATACGCCCCCCCCTTTTTTTTTTTTTTTTTTGAGACAGAGTCTCATTCTGTTACCCAGGCTGGAGTGCAGTGGTGCGATCTCGGCTCACTGCAACCTCCGCTTCCCGGGTTCAAGCGATTATTTTGCTTCAGCCTCCTGAGTAGCTGGGACCACAAGCACGCACCACTGCGCCCAGCTATTTTTGTATTTTTTTTTAGAGACGGGGTTTTGCCATGTTGGTCAGGCTGGTCTCGAACTCCTGACCTTGTGATCCGCCCACCTCAGCCTCCCAAAGTGCTGGGATGACAGGCATGAGTCACCGCGCCCGGCGCCTGCCACATTTTTTATCCATTCATCATTTTATCCATTCATCATTGATGGACATTTGGGCTGTTGCCAGTTTTTGGCTCCTGTGAATAAAGCTGCTATAAATATCCATATGTAAGTTTTTGCATAGATATATGTTTTAATTCTTGCAAGTATATATGTAGGAGCGGAATTAACTGGGTCATATGGTAACACTGTGTTGAACTTTTGAGAAACTTTCAGACTGTTTCAAAATGACTGCACCATTTTACATCTCCACCAGCAATGTATGAGGGTTCCAGTTTCTCCACGTCTTTGCCAACACTTGTTCTTATTCACCCCCTACCAACTGATAAGACAACTGCTTTTAAAGCTGTTCTATATCTCCTGAAGAACTGAGGACAAAATAACTCGGGAATTGTGTGTGCGTGAGTTGTCAAATAGAAATAAAGTCTCCCTGCTAACAATTTTTAAGTTATTTGGGATATTTACAAATAAAACCTAAGTTAAGAGTCTGTTTAATCTCTGCTAACCATATATTTTATACCTTTCGAGAATCAATTCTTTTTTACTTTTTCCTCTCCCTCTCACCTCTACCTCCTCCCCTCTCCCAGTCTTCCTCTGTGCTCTCTGCCTCAGTCAAAATAAAGAAATATAACCAATATGAATAACACTCACCTATTGAAATAAGATTCAGTAATATTCTTTTCTACAGGTTTTTAAAAGTCTTAAATTATCTCAGCCAACCTATCCGAAGAGTCCTAAGCGTGACAACTCTATAAATCGTCCTTATTCAAGTAACTTTTTTATGTTAGCAATAGACGATTTCCCTTGGAATGAACAGAAGAATGAGTCATTAATCGACTGATGGTTTATTTTGATGTGTGCATGTTAAGAGCCTGTCTCTGCTAATCCTGAGGTAACTGGTGAGCAAAAGACACATGGTCCTGTCCTTGATGATGTTGTGGAGCTGAAGGTCTAGCAGAAAAGACAGGCAACTAAATGTGCAATCTTATCAAAGTGATCAAGTGCTATGGGAGTGCTGCTCAAGCAGTACATTTTGTCTGGGAGGAAGCTTTATTCCCTTTTTCGTGAGGAGGGAGTTTCACTGGAATCACATTCCCGGCCTCTCTTCCAGCTCCTTACTCCTCTTGGGAACATGCACAGCTCAGTACCTCTCTGTAAACAGTCAACGTGCTTTGAGAAAACACATTGTGTTTCTTGGTGCCATACATTACACAGGAGTGAGCCCCTTTGGGGAGCTCTACAGTTGTCCAGCTGCCCCTGTGGGACAGTGGATAAACATCTACATAACTCAGCATTAAATTTCTGCAGGCCCCACTTATCTGCCGATGAAAGTTGGGTTCTCCAGTGCAGCTTACGTGAGTAAAATGAAGGGCATTTTGATTTCTATTGGCTTGATTCCTTAGCTTAGGTCTCAGTGAATTCTAATCTTGCTGGGGAAGGAGGGTGCTGTTCACTAACACCTACCCCCATGATTGCCTAACCTAGTGTGAAGGGTCTTGGAAGCCTTCCTCGGGGAAGTGACATTTAATGTGAGGCATGAAAAACAAGAAGGAATCATCCAGGCACAAAGGAAAGAAAAGAGTGTTACAGACAGTGAGAAGAGCATGTATAAGTGCTAGAGAGTGAGAGAAGGCATGGAAGGCTCAGGTAACTGAAAGAAGTTCAGTTTAGATGACGCATAAAAAAACAGGAAGCTAGAGGGATTGGAGATTCTGAGAGACGAGCCTGGGAAAGGTATGTTTGGGATGGTTATATTGTTGACTTAAACATATATATCAAATTCTTCCTAGAACCAGAGAAAAGTGCCTCTGTTTGCTTACAGATTTTTTCAGTGAACCAAATATAATGAAGTACATCAAAATATTTTGCTATCTGGTTAAATTTACAGAAATAACCATGGTTCTGTTCAGTATTTGTGAGGTGTTGGTAAGTTTTGTGATAGATGTCATGTATCCCTGAGTAGATTCTTATCTTAATCCATTTTATGTTGCTATAAAGGGAATACCTGAGGCTGGGTAATTTATAGAGAAAAAAATTATAGCTCATTGTTCTCATGGTTGGAAGGCTCAAGATTGAGCATCTGCATCTGGTGAGGGCCTCAGCCTGCTTCCACTCATGGTGGAGGCAAAGAAAAGTCTGCATGTGCAGAGATCACGTGGCCAGAGAAGCAATGGTGGTGGGGTGGCAGGTGCTAGGCTCTTTTTAACAACCAGCTCTCCAGGGAACTAATGGAGCTAGAACTCAGTAACCCGGAGGGAGGAAATTAATCTATTCATGAGGGATCCTCCCCCATGACCCAAACACTTCCCATTAGGCCCCACCTCCAATATTGGGGATCAGATTTCAACATGAGATTTGGAGGGGAACACACATCCAAACCATAGCAATTCTGAATATGTTTTCCTTTGAGCTCAGTAGTTGAGGTGAGGTGCCTCTTTGTTACAACATGCACCTCCTCTGGCTACTTTAATTTTGAAATAGAAAAGGACAAAGAGAATTACCAGGAGCCCCCCTGCAATAGACTTCTGCATACCCCAAGAATAAGGGTTTCCTACAGAATATTTCACAGCAACAGTGGTATTGGAACTGGGGTGTCTTTCTCACAGTTTCTGTTTCTGTGACCCTCAGCTTTTTTAATGGGTGAAACATGCAAAATGTGCAACTGCTTTTCCTGTGTGAGATTTTACGTAAAAAATCCAGGTTTAAAACAAGTCTGGTTATTATTTTTGAAGTGTATTATAGTCAGTCTCACCTCTTACAGCACACATATTTGGAATCCATTTCATAGTTTTAGAGGAGAGCTTTCATTTCTAATACACTACATCACTGAATTTATGGCTAGTTGGAAATAATATGCAGTTTGAACCCAAGTTTTTCTAAGCCTGAAATGTTTCCAATTCCATTTTATACTATTTTCTGGTTAATCTGCCTTCTTTCAGATCCAGTTCTTAGACTTCCATTTATTAGGCCAGTGGGTCTAATGTTTGAGGATAATAGAGTGCTGTGCCTTCCAGGAAATGTAAAATATTTTAAAGAAACTTGTTGTGAAATTCATCACTGGTCACAAAACCACTATTTATACTACCGAGAAAATATAAAAGGAAAACTAAAATCCCAATGAGAAGGTAGTGATGGTGGATACTGTAGGATGATAAGATTTATACCATCAAAATATAATCATAAATATAATTACTATAGGCCTATATCATTAAATACTGAGGACATTCGCAGGATTAGTCATCAGCATAGAATTTGAGAAATGAAGGTAGGAGAAATGAAGATAGTAGAAATGAAAGAATTTAGATGATATATCAGATTTAGATAAATTCACAGTCAAGGTAAGTTGTGCCAAATGAATTCACTTGGGAACCTACATCAATAATCTCTTCATTTTTCATATATTCTGAAGTCATTTTGATATGAAAGGAGCTACAGGAACCCAAATGAGTCCTAAGGATATACCAGGGTACACATTTTGTTCTTCTACCAGCCTTGTGAATTGTTACTCCTTTTCTCAGGCTGTCAGCATAATTTCTCTTATGACCGAGGCTTATTTTAAGCTGCCTTTAATAATAAAGTACTTCTGTTGTTACAAAAATCAATGAAAAGTTTCAACATTTTTTATCTCTTCATTTTTAAAACTTGCCTTATAAGTGAAGACCGTGACTAACAATAGAAAGTAACCTACAGGAGCTATTCAGTTGCCTGTCCCCAAGAAAGATGAAAAAATTGCGTAATAGGAACATTCCATTTTAAACTGATAGAAGGAAAAAAAAACTGGTTGTAAAGAGTCATAGTTTTAATCTATTGTTTATTAGAGTATAAAGGATTGCTCTGTAGTTACACAGAGAAAATCGGACTGTATAAGACTTCAAAGATACATGTCTACAATAGTGTCAAAGTATTCAGTTATCTGGAAGCCAAAATTCAGAATCTAATGAGGGAATTGATACTAAAATTGTTCTGTTTCCATGAGATTAAAAGTTGGTTTTATTTGACAAACCTGTAAAGCTTAAAAAGAGAAAAGTTTTGTTTAGCTAAAGGAAACAATCAGTTGACAGAGAATTAAAATATATTGGCTGGGTGCAGTGGCTGGCCAGGCACAGTGGCTCACACCTGTAATCCCAGCACTTTGGGAGACTAAGGCGGGCAGATCACTTGAGGCCAGGAGTTCGAGACCAGCCTGGCCAACATGGTGAAACCCCATCTTTACTATTAATAAAATTAGCCAGATGTGGTGGCACATGCCTGTAACCCCAGCTACTTAGGAGGCTGAGGCACGAGAGTCACTTGAACCTTGGGAGATGGAGGTTGCAGTGAGCCGAGGTCGGGCCACTGCACTCCAGCCTGGGCAGCAGAGCAAGACTGTCTCAAAAAACAAACAAACAAACAAAATATATATATATACACACACACACACACACACACATACACACATATATATGTATGTATGTATGTATGTATGTAGGAGAGAGGGAGGGAGGGGGAGAGATCTTCCTTTGACAGTGTAGCATTTTTTGATAACTTGATGCTGTAGGAAAATGCTCAGAACAGTGTGAAGATATGCAATATATCACAAAGAATAGTTGGAATGTAGATATGGGCTTAAATGTGTGCAGTGCTAAAATTCCTATGGAGTAAATGTGAACTGCTGCCAAGATACAGTCAATTTAAAGGTGACAGAAGATGATCTCACATCCAGGACTTGATCAGTTATTTTGGCCCTGAGAACAACTGATGGTTTATGATATAGGCTGATATTGACATAAGTGGTTTTGCTTGCTGATATCTGCTGTACTTCTGAATAGAACATTGCTTTGTTCCTAAAACAGTAGGGTTGGCAGTAGACTCTCATTTCAGTGGCATTATACATTTCTTTGTACTGGTTGAAGTCCTGTCTGCTTAGAGACAGTAAGATGGTCAAAATGATTTCTTAAGTTTCCTTCTAATCCTCTGATTCATTAAACACATCCAATAAAGCTTAAGATACGACCATAAAACCATTTTGTTCCTTCTAATTCTGAATGTATATTGTATCTTACCAAGATCATTCCAAATGTCCTTTCCTACAGGCTGTTAAATTTGGACTTCAACTTCATATTAAATATTTTGTTACCATTTCAATTATCATTTATTTCTGGATGCTTCTTATATCTTAATATTAGATCAAGGAGACTGAAATGAGGGAGCATGAAGAGGTGGAGGAAAGAAACATGAAAATGTTGTTTTTAAATAGAAATACTATACTATAAAACTATCTCTGAATTAATAATGCTGTTGACAAAATGGCTATGGATCCTCTTGGTCCTGATGATTTTTATTAAAATGAATCCCAAAGAGACCCTGGATAGTATGGACCTACTTAGCTTTTGGCTACAATTTAAAATCTGACTATTTAACTTAGTCCTTATACTACCATATACAAATTATACAAAGTCGTTATAGTATACTGACATTCCCATTCTCTATGTGTCCTCATATAAGCCAATACAGGTGTCAAAAGGCTGGAGGAATAATTTGATCTTTATAAGTAGTGTGGTTTAGGTAAGCTTTTAAGCGTAATTTTAAAAATGTGTTTCAGTAATGGCTAGAAGGATCTGGTAGTTTGTGCAATTAACTGTACATAAGAATATATCTTGATGCTCTGGGAATTATCTAGTCACCATGGTTTGCTCTCAGAAAACACATGTGACATGGCCTTTGGGAGGTAATTGCTCAATACCATGGATGGTGTTTTTCAGGTCTGAACAGTCCTTGAATATTTTTACTCGCTGTGTCTGGAATCTTCCCCACTCCAACCTTCAATTCCCAGAATTCCTCTGGAATTTCAAGCTGTTCTTGGTGCGTGTTACAAGAGCTCAGTGACCAGCTATATCTTTTAGTTATGATTTTCGGGCTTATGGGTGAAGAGCTAGAATTTTTGTTCCTTGGCAAACCAGATTCCTGAAAAAGTTGCAGTATTTTTTCTTGTGTTCAGTTTTAAATGAATTTGTTGGCAAGATCCAAAAGCAGCTAGCTGTTTATTTCATTACTCAGTGCAATATTTAAGAACTAAATTAAACCAAATAATTAAAAACTCAGAATATATATATGACATGTATATATATTTATGTTATGTATATATAACATAAATATGAATTGTTTTCAGGAAAAATAGGCTTTTCTTCGATGTAGAAGGAAAAGTCAGAATCTTTTGCCATCTTTTCAACAGTCAGATAGTTTGAGTTTTTTCTCATATGAATAACTCATTGTGTTAATCCACTATATATATGCACCTTTGCACCTTCAGAGAGCAGAATGGCTCAGGTGTTATATCTGACTTTCTCACACTTAGGATCCTGGGGGCCTAGGGCAGTGCTTGGTCCAGAGTAGGTGCTCAATGAATGTTTGTGGCTTGAGTGAATGGATGTATAACTAATTACTGAAGCATTACACATGAGATGCACAATAAGTATTTGAGTGAATGTATGCATGCATGCATGAATTAATAACTGTGGAATCCTGCAGCAGTTGGGTTTGTATTTTAATATTCTCATAGTGGTGATAAGTTTGGGCTGATTCTTATACTCTGCCTGCACCCTATCCACCTGCTGTCATCCTGTTTTACTCTTTCTTCTCATTAAAATGTTAGTTACAATGGGGACACCAAAGTGGTTGGCATGAAAGTTAGCAGATTAAAAGGATAAGGGTGACAATGTTTAAGAAATATTCTTTCTCTTTAAAAGTCTCTGTACTGTATATTACGTGGTGAAATAAATAGCTCCAATGTGGGAAGACTTATTCTGCTAGATTGTCTTTTGACCCAATTAAAGCTTTAAAGTGTCAGACAAGCAGCCAAACAATCCTCTTGAGGGTGTGGGAGGGGCCTGGGCTGGCAAGAGCAGTGCTGGTGCTATCGAAGGAGGTGGCCATGTGTGGAACTTGGCTTCATGGTTGGTTGCCCACAGGGACTTAGGGTACCTTTCTTGTCTGTCACTTTACAGCTGGTGCTGTATCCCCGGAGATGAAGTACTTCCATTCAATTAGGAAAACATGCTTAGAAATTCTCTCTTTCAAGAACAACAGGCAATGGGGCCTGTCAGAGGGTGAAGGGTGGGAGGAGGGAGAGGATCAGAAAAAATAACTGTGGGTACTAGGTTTAATAGCTGGGTGATGAAATCATCTGTACAACAAACCGTGTAATACAAGTTTACCTATACAACAAACCTGCACGTGTACCCCGAACTTAAAAGTTAAAAAAAAAATTTATCTAGTAAGACTTGTCAACTGAAGTTGTACTAGATTATAGGTGTAAATACTGGAAATTTGGGTGGATATTTGGAGATGATTCTAACATGTTTAGAAAAAAGCTTATTTTAGATTACCGGAAAACTGTTGGTGATGCAGACTATTAAAACTTGAAGTCACTCTAATGAGTTTCTAGTTTAACGGTAAAAAAGCTGAATAAAAAGCCTATGTGTTTAGCTGCAGACTTTGTCTAGCCAACTGAATATAGTCTGCATTGCTTGCTATTAAGAGAAAAAAGGAAATAGTGTAAAAAACACTTAACCATTGGTAGTAAGAAACTAGAAATTATTTCTATTAGTCAGCCTTTGCTTGTGGTGTTTCTCACTTCTTATTTTTATGTATCAAATGAAAACATGTCTATCAGACACAGAGAATATTACTGTGTAGGTGGTGGTGAGTCATATTGTGGTATTTCATGTAATGACTAAGAATATTGGCAGAAATTTTACAGGCTGAAAACCTCCAAGGTTTGTTCTCTGTGTTTACCAATCCCTTTTAGGGCTTAAAGCTCTCTCTTGTTTTCCATTTATGTTTTTCCTGACTGGTTGGGAGCAGGTAATAATTCACTGAATGCACCTCTATGGAAACTGACAAAAATCTTACCTAGCTTTCAGATTTCTAACCACCATCATACTAAAATATTATTCTCAGAGTCATTGCAGTTAAATTTTAAGTGCTTCTTTGGCAATTCATGATTCCCAGATGAGATGGTCATTTGCTGTAATGGGGCTGGATGTTTATATATTTAATGAATTATCATAGCTTAATAGTACATTTTCTCCATGCATTTTATAAAAATGTTTTCTGTTTATTTGCTGCCAAAGCATCACCCTTCAATCTGCCATTAGCTTCTTCCTCTTGATGTTGTACTTATTATCACCATGTCATGTGTCTTTAGGTCACAGCTTCTTCCCCTTGATGTTGTACTATCACCATGTCATGTGACTTGAGGTCTGCTTAGGTGCCTCTCCAGGGGCTTAACTTATTTCTGGTAGTGTTGAGTTGTGGGGTGGGAGGAGAGGGTTAAACTCAGAAAAGGCACTGCTAATGTTGAGTGTATCCTTGAGATGAACTGAAGGCTTGCAGCCTGCTGGGCTTGTGGGAAACCCTTTCTGGGTGGAGTTAGGATAGGTGAATTGGGGCTGTTTATTCTGGACAAATATCTGAGGTATCTAATTTGAAAAATAAAAGTTAGACTTGTCTGAGTAAGAAAATGGTTGGTAATTCTGTGAACTCTGTACATTGAGTCAGATGGACAGGTACCTTATCAAGGACCATTAAAAAGCAAAACAAAAGAAAACAAAAAACAAAACCCCCAAACACAATCACATACAAATAGCGAGTTGATTGGCAGGCTAACCTCAAGGGCCTGTCTTAGCTTCTTTCTCTCGTTTTTCTTAGTCCTCCTGCCCATTCCCCCACCTCAATCATTATTTGAATGTCCTCAGACCTTATCTAAATATATATTTGTATGTATGTAAAGAGTTAGTTAACTCATTAGAAATAGATATCCTGAATTTCTTAGTGACTTCTCTTATTAGCCAAAAACTTGTATTTTATCTCATTGAAATCTATTGATTAGGTAGATTTTCAAATAATAAATGCTTTAGATATTGCTTTAGAGGTTTTATAAATGATCCCATATTTCAGTTTAGCTAAAATCTCTGAAAAGAGCTTTTTCTTCCAAAGTGTTAGTCTTTCAACTCATTCAAGACCCTTATTGTATATTATTTCAAAATTCCTTCCCTTGCTTTATCTAGCAAATGAATCCATTTCCTTCGATTGATTTGTAGCATGCCAATTGTTTTCTGATTTATGTAGGTTTCTCTACAGAACTGCCTGCTTATTCTACAGTGTGGAATTGGTAAGGTTTCTTTGTACAGAATCTCTTAGAAGTGGGGCTTAATAATGCACTTTGTTACGGATGAAGCCTAGAACTTTAGTTCCCACAGCTGGGCTTCCCTCAGAGGTCCTTTCTTCTTAATAATAAAAAAAAATCTTTTCTCCAAAATATTATAAATATGTAAAATATATAAATATATAAAAGTATAATTAATATCATCTCCAAGAAGAAGAGCCTTTTAATCTGTTGGTTTTAGTTTTTGAGAAACTAAAACTTTCTCTGGAGAGGCATGATGCTTGATGCAAAGGTTTCTCCTTTTATCTCTTGCTTAATCATTTTCCTTTGACTTTTAAAACTCTATCCATAGAGAATAACATGAAAAAAAAATTCTCTGACCAATGAAAGGAGCTCGGCCACCCAAGTCTAAGATGTAGTAAGATTTAGATTCTATACTCAACTAGGGTGCTTCCTGGGGTTTGAGTAATTACATCTGTTTGTAATCATAGTGAAAAACCTGGCTGTTAACTCACAGATGATCTGGTACAGTAGTCCTCCCTTACCAGCAGGGGATATGGCCCATCTAAAACCCTCCCCTCCCCTGTGGATGCCTGAAACCACAGATAGTACTGAACGCTATATATACTATGTTTTTTTCCTATACATATATATCTATGTTAAACTTTATAAATTAGGCATAGTAAGGGATTCACAACAATAACTAATAATAAAATAGAACAGTTATAACAATAGGTTGTAATAAATGTTAATGTGAATGTGGTCTCCTCCTCTCTTAAAATATCTTACTGTACTCACCCTTCTTTTGGTGATGATGTGAAATGATAAAATGCCTGTGTGATCAGATGAAGTGAGGTGAATGACATAGGCATCACGAGGTAGTGTTAGCCTACTATTGACCTTGAGATGAAATGTCAGGAGGAAGATCATCTGCTGCGGGTGAACCTGGCTCATGGAACCATGAGGATGCTGATGGTTAGATATTCATGACTAATGAGCAAGGAATGTATACAGCCTGAATATGCTGGACAAAGGGTGATTCATGGCCTGCACAGGACTAAGTGAGATTTCATTGCAATACCCAGAATGACACACAATTTTAAACTTAGGAATTTTTTATTTCTGGAATTTATTCTTTTAGAATTCTTAATTTATACTTTTGGACCACAGTTGGCTAGAGGTAACTGAAATGGCAGAAAGTGAATTCAGAATTCAGAGAATAAGAGGACACTACTATACTTTTCTGTAGAGTCAGTATTAGGGGGAAAAACAAACTGAAAAGGTTCTTAAGGACTTCTTGTTAATATTAACATATCACTTAATTACAAAGGGACCTTGGGGAAAACATTGCCTGTTGCTTGGCCTAAATGGAATACACACTAATATAATTTATGTAACTTTCAAAGAAAGGATAAGAATATTTTAAGGAAGTGATCTTTGATTTCAAAGGAATGCTGTGTCTGAAACTGTAACATTTCCCAGATTGAGCTACTTACTTTAAAGGAGTACACAGTTTTCTTTCCTCCTTCTTCATACACTTCTTTCCAATCAGTTTCTCTTTTAAGCCAACTCCTTGGTTTATCTAATGTTCAAACAGAATTTTCTTTTCTTACTATGTATATACAAAGCTGTATTTTTTCTACTTTGTCTATATAGAATTTTTTGTTTGTTTTCCTGGGGCTCCAACAAGCAGGCTTGATTTTTTTTGACAGCTTTATTGAGGGATAATTTATATGTCATAGAATTCACCTCTTGTAATTGTACAGTTTGAGTTTTAATAAATGTTTATAGTTGTTAACCATCACCGCCATAGTTTATAACACTTCCAGCATCCCATCTCCCCTTGTGCCCATTTGCAGTCATCCCTGCCCTTGCCTCTAGGCCCCAGACAATCATCCGCTTTCTGGCTCTGTAGATCTACTTTTTCTAAGAAATTCATGTTAAGAGATACTATTGAGATACAGTGATACTAATTGCTTTATTTTTCATGAATGCTTCCTTTAGAATTTAATTACCAAAATGAAAAATCTCCTGAAATGTTACCTTGAAGTAATTTGAAGAATGATTTTCAAATTGTTTTGTATCCATTATTTTTTCCTTCTCCCATCAACTTTGCTTTCATTGCCCTTCTTGCCCAGCAGCCTATCTAAATGAATATGCATAGTTAGAAGAGACAATGCAAAAACAATCCAGCTGTTTTGTAACTAAAGAAATACTGTGTGTTATCCAGAAGTAGGGTCTGTGAGAGGGACTGGAGATTCAAACATAGAAGCTAAAACTAAAACCGTACAGCTTCCAGAAGAAACCATACAATTTTTTTTTACCTGTAAGTTGTAGAATTTCTTAGAGAAGATTTACAATCATTAACTATATTTTAAAAATTGATAAATTAGACTTCATTAAAATTTTAAAAAACACGTGGTGATCAAAATATTAACAAAATGAGAAGGCAAGCCACAGGCTAGGAGAAATATTCTTAATATATACCTCTGGCAAAGGACATGTTTCCAGGATATATAAAGAATTACTTTAAATCAGTAAAAATAAGACAGGTAACTCAATAAAAATGGGCAAAAGATTTGAACAAACATTTCACAAAAGAACATGTATGAATGGCCAGTAAACATGTGAAAAGTTATATTTAGCACCAGTTGTCATTAGGAAAACGTAAACTAAAACTGCATTGAGATCGTACTTAACAGAAACTAGAAGAGCTAAAATTTAAAAAAACAGCACCAAGTGTTGATGAGAATGTGGAGTAACTGGAACTGCCGTGTATTGCTGACATGAGTATAAGATGGTACCACTAGATTCTAAGGTGTTAAGTGTTACTTCAATGTATACCTTTGCCAAACTCAAAAACTGTATACTTAACATGTGTACATTTCACTGTATGTGCATTTCACCTCAAATAATAGGCTTTAATCTTTAAAATGCATTGGGCATGTGCCATGGCCCATGCCTGTAATCTCAGCACTTTGGGAGGCTGAGGCTGGAGGATGACTTGAGCACAGGAGGTCAAGGTTACAGTGAGCTATGATCACACCACTGCACTCCAGCCTGGATGACAGAGAGAGACCCTATCTCTAAACAATAAAATAATCAAATAATCCTCACTATATCTTGAAATATCCCTTCCCTTCCTCCCTCCCAGCTTCCCCATCTTCTCTACTTTCTGCACACCTTCCTTTTTTTTTTTTTTTTTTTTTTTCATTTCTGCTATGTCAGACTGCTTTTAAGTACTGATGCAAAGATGAATAGAACAAATTGAGTTCGCGTCTTTTGGGAACGAGTTCACAATGAGAGTCAGACGTACCAATAACATATAGCAATGTGATAAATTCCACAAAGTACAGAGGAGCTACTCATCCCCAGAAAGGCAGGATAGGCTACCTGGAGGGAATAGCTGATGCCTTGTAAAAGCTTATATGAATAGGATTGCCTCTTAGACATGGTGGGCCCTTGGAAAAGGGGAACAGCATGTGCAAACTTTCAGAAGTTGGCAACTTGTGATCAGAGGTAATAGTTTTAAGTGCTATCATTTTTTCTAAGAAAAAGGGCATGAGTTACTGTTATTGTTTTTATTTTCTCTCCTCCTCTCCCCTTTCCCTCTGTTCCCTGTTTCCTATTAGCCCTTCAGAATGCAAATATAACCTGTCACCTTCCCCTCACCAGACATTTCCTGCAGGATGAGTTCTTCTTACTGTCTGTCCCAAGACAGATTTCTCTGCAAGAGTTGACAGTCGACTTGCAAACCAAAACATACCTGCTATGGAACGTTCACCTCTAGGGAATAACGTTAGATCTTCCACCCTCGGGGGGTTGCCTCAGGACTTTCATCTACCAGGAGGACATATCAAAAGTATGCCGGCTTGGCCACTTTTACAACTTATTTCTGCTCAGAAAGGCACCAACTCAACTGTTCAGTAGATAAGACACCAGGCTAGCAGGGGGACCCCTTGCCCTTGCTCACTACCCCCTTACCTTATAAAGATGTCTGTTTTCTGCTCCAAAGGTGAAGTGGCGTATTTAAAGGCAGGACGCTTTGTGCCCCTTCCCCAAGCTAGCTTTGGAGTAAATTCACTTGCCTTGTATCAGACCTTACTCTTGTTAATTGGACTTCGCATGCAGTGAGCAATTAACCTGCTTTTTGGATACACTAGAAGGTGCTGCTGTTGGAGGAGGAGGAGGAGGAGGAGGAGGAGGGGAGGTGGGAAGGTCAGCAAAAGCCATGTCATGAAGGGACCTTTACCTGCTAAGGAATTTGGACTTTATCTTGGAAAGAATGGGAACCTGTAAAGCTTTCTATCACCTTGTCTTCCTAACTAGATTATAAATTCCTTGAAATCAGGATCTGTTATTCATCTTTGTATTCTTTATAACGTCTGGCCCTGGTCCTGGAATGGGTAGGACAGTGAGTAAGTGTTGATTGATCTTGTAAGGCTGTGATAGTTTCTTAGAGTCCTGCCTGCTTGATTCAGCCATATTATGAAATCAAAATGAGTCAGAGCAGAGATACTTTTGGAATGGAGGGGTAGGGATCTTATTATTATTATACCCTGGTCATTGTGCCTAGGCTCTCCCAGTTATTATCGAATTTAATCTGTGTAACTCTCCTCACTCAGAATCCACTAATCCAGATTGCTCATAGGATAAAGAATTAAGTTCACAGTGGCTTTCAAGGCTGCTGTTCATTGTCTGCAGTGCTTTCTACCTCTTTACTTCTTATGTACCTCTAAGCTCTGTATATTTCCTGGGGAAAGCCTTCACTGTCCCACCTTTCCCCATAACAAGTGGGCTCTCAGAACTCAACTTAGTGTGTAACATGTTCCCTCATAATGGAATTTTCCGTAAAAAACCCTCATTGCTTCCCTGATTGTTCATTGTGTTGATCATTCTTGAGTTAGTGTGACTATTTGATTTCCCCTCCATCTGCATGAGGATTGAGCTCCATGATAGCTTTTTGAACCCTGTGCCTATCACAATGCCTGGAATTTAATAGATAGATATTCAACAACATTTTTTTGATAGATGACTATCAGGAATATATGACTATTCTGTCTTCAGATGAAGAAATTGAAGTTCAGAGGCTGAGTCACTTGTGCAAGGTTACGTAAGCCATAAAGCCAGATGTGGAACTCAGGGATATCTGATAACAAATCCCACTCTTTTTGCTAAGAGACACTCAGTAGATGGATGCATTTTGATGTTTGTATCAGTGTCGTGATTTTGCCTACCTGTGTTGACAGAATGAACAGTGTGGTGGTGAAGAACATGGGCTGTGTAACCAGACAGTCTAGACTCGAGTTCTTCCTCCACTGTTTACCAGCTTTGTTGCCTTGAGCAAGCTACTTAATCCTCTCTGACTCAGTTTTCTGGAAAACAGTATAATAATATGACCTACTTTATAGGATTGTTGTAAGGATACACTATATTCATCAATATAAAACACTACTATTAAGAACATAGAAAGTGCTCAATAATTGTTAGCTATTACTATTAGCAGTACCCATTTATTCCTTTCCATTTTCTTACTGTAATCCAAAATCATATGCAGAGACCCTACAGTAATTTTTTTTTGCTCAGTGAAAATTATCTTCCTGCATGAAATACCTGCCCCTAATTCCTAGTTCATATGTGTTCTTTCAATTCAGAATTGGTCATTTCTGCATCTCAGCAGAAGCAGAAGTTATCTACCTGTGACAGCAAAACATATTAAAACCCTTTGCTTTGAATTTCTAGGTTTTAGGAATCACATGTTTCTTCACACCTCTGCTCAGTTAACAAAAACTGTGCTGTAGTGAAGTAAAGGATGCACTCTTAATAGTACAGTTCTCTCTCACACAAACCAAATGTTACCCCCAAAACTAAGCAAGTTACTATTGAACTGTTTGAATAATTGACCTGATTGTTGAGAAGTGATTTATGTCACCATTATTTTCCCATTCATCAATAGTTAAGTGCAGGTATGAATAACAGGAAATTAAAAAGGAAGAAAAATAATTACTTCACATATATAATAGCTGTATGCCAAAATTCTAACATTTTAAACATGTTCCCTCATAATGGAATTTTCTGTAAAAAATCCCTCATTGCTTCTCTGGTTGTTCATTGTGTTGAAATTCTTAATAGCTAGTTTTTGTGGTTAGGGAGTAATACTGTATGTGTGTGTTTTTGTGATGTAACTGTTTACCTTGCCCTTGAAAGTAGCAATTGATTTGTGTTTAAATGATGAAATAACAACAGTACAGTTGCCACCTCTGTGTCAGGCATTACTGCATGCTTAGTTGATTTGCCAATCCTCACAACAGCCTTGCAAGAGAAATGATGTACCTCTCCTGGAGATGAGGATATAGAGGCTTAAAAAGATCATGAACTTCCCAAAGGAACTAGCATATTTTAGGCCATGACTAGGCACTGGAGGTGTGGGTGTTAACAAGATACTGTGTAAGGTGATAACTAGAAGCAAGCCTGGCAAACTCAGTTGGGATTATAAATGGAAGACATCAAAGACAGGCCGATGAGTGGAGAATTAATTTTGCAGGCAATGTGGAACTAATAAAGTTTTTTGAACTGGGAGCTCAAAACAGCACAGGTGCTCCATTTTTAAGGCAGTGGTTCTAAAATGTGGTCTTAGGACCAGCAGCAACACCTGGGAACTTACTGAAAATGCAGTGTCGTGTACCTTTTCCTCCCTGTTCAATCCTAAATGCTGGATGATAAGTGATTTAAGGAACCTTCCTGGTGATTCTGATGCTTGCTCATGTTTGAGAACCACTTCTTTAGGAGAAATCTGGCCATGTTCAGCAGAATTGGAAAGACAAAGAGGAACACTGGGAGGCTATAGCCAGAAGCCAAGGAGAGGTTATTAGGACATAAGTGTTCGTGGTTTCAGTGAGAATGAAAGGGAAAATCAAAGGGGAAAAAAATGAGGTTTTTCAGGGAAGAAATAACAGGACTTGATGACTAAATAGAGGTGGGAATATAAGATGTGAAGTCAGTATCCTAAGCCTACATGTCCATGAGTATTATAGAACTGCAGATATATGCAAGAGCCATTCAGAGGGGGACTTTTAAAATATTCCTTGGAGATCTAAATCTTACTGTGTTTAATTTACATATTTTATTGAAATGGCTAAAATGTCAGATGTAGAATTTCAGAATCTGATGGCAAGGAAGCTCATTTAGATACAAGAGAAGGTTGAAACCCAATCCAAGGAAAACAGTAAAATGATCCTGGAGTTGAAAGATGAAATAACCATTTTTAAGAAAGAACCAAACTGAACTTCTGGAAATAAAAAAATCACTACAGGAATTTCAAAATACAATTGGAAGCATTAACAACAGAATAGACCAAACTGAGGAAGGAATCTCAGAGCTTGAATACCATTCCTTTGAAGTAACACAGGCAGACAAAAATAAAGAATGAAAGAATGTAAAAAAAGAATGAAACTTCAAAAATATGGGATTATGTGAATGCCTGTATTTATTGGCATTTCAGAAAGAAAAGAGAGATCAAGCAACTTGGAAAATATATTTGAGGATGTAGTCAACGAAAATTTCCCCAGTCTCACTAGAGGGGTTGACGTGCAAATTCAAGAAATTCAGAGAACTCCTATGAGAAACTATGCAGGGTAACCATCCCTAAGACACATAGTCATCAGATTCTCCAAGGTCAATGAAAAAGAAAAATCTTAAAGGCAGCTAGAGAGAAGGGGAAGGTCACTTACAAAGGAAACCCCATCAAGCTAACAGTGGACCTTTCGGCAGAAACCTTATAAGCCAGAAGAGATTCAGGGACTATTTTCAATATCCTTAAAGAAAAGAAATTCCAACCAAGAATTTCATATCCTGCGAAACTAAGCTTCATAAAGTGAAGGAGAAACAAAATCGTTTTCAGACAAGCAAATGCTAAGGGAACTTGTTGCAATTAGACCTGCGTTACAAGATCTACTAAAGGGAGTGCTAAATATGGAAATGAAAGAACAATACCTGCCATGATAATGAAGTCTACATATGCACATACAATCAAGTCTACATAACAACCAGCTAACGGCACAATGAAAGGATCAAATCCTCACATATTAATATGGATTCTGAATGTAAACAGGCTAAATGTCCCGCTCAAAAGGCATGGAGTAGCAATTTGGATAAAGAAGCAAGACCCACTGTCTGCTGCCTTCAAGAGACCCATCTCACAAGTAATGGTGCTGATAGGCTCAAAGTAAAAGAAGTGTCAGGAAAGTGGAAAACAAAAAAGAACATGGGTTGCTATTCTTGTATCTGATAAAACAGATTTTAAACCAACAATGATCAAAAAGGACAAAGAAAGGCATTGCATAATGATAAAGGGCCCAAGCCAACAAGAAGACTTAACTATCCTAAATATATACATACCCAATATTGGAGCACCCAGATTCATAAAACAGGATTTTAGAGACCTACAAGAGATTTAGAGAACCAAACAGTGATACTGGGGGACTTCAACACCCTACCAACAGTGTTAAACAGATCATTGAGGCAGAAAACTAACAGAGATATTCTAGACTTAAACTCAGTGCTTGGCCAATTGGACCTAATAGACATCTACAGAACACTCCATCCAACAACAATAGAATATATATTTTGCTCATCTCACATGGCACATACTCTAAGATCAACCACATATTCAGCCATAAAACAAATCTCAGCAAATTCAGAAAAATCAAAATCATACCAATCACACTCTTTGACCACAGTGGAATAAAAATGGAAATCAATACCAAGAAGATCTATCAAAACCATAAAAATCACATGGAAGTTAAACAACCTGCTCCTGAAAGACTTTTGGGTAAAGAATGAAATTAAGGCAAAAGTATAAAAATTTTTTTTTAAATCCTTGAAATTAATGACGACAAAGACAAAATATACCAGAATTTTTGGGACATAGCTAAAGCAGGGTTAAGAAGAAAGTCTGTTGTGCTAAACACCTACATCAAAAAGTTAGATCTCAAATTAACCTAATGATGCACCTACAGGAACTAGAAAAACAAGAGCAAGTCAACTCCAAAGCTAGCAGGAGAAAAGAAATAACCAAAATCAGAGCTAAACTGAATGAAATTGAGATGTGAAAATTCATACAAAAAGTCAGCAAACCAAAAATTTAATCTTTCTTGGAAAGATTAAACAAGATTTATAGACTGCTAGCTAGATTAATAAGGGAAAAAGCAGAGAAAATCTAAATAAACACAGTCAGAAATGACAAAGGTAACATTACAACTGACCCCACGGAAACAAACAAAAAAATCCTTAGAGACTGTTACGAACACCTCTGTGCACACAAACAAGGTGTTTAAGAAATGGATACATTCCCAGAAACACACAGCCTCCCAAGTTTGAACCAGGAAGAAATTTAAGTCATGAACAGACCAATAATGAGTTCTGAAATTAAATCAGTAATACAAAAAAATACCTACCAACCAGAAAAAAGCCCTGGACTAGATAGATTCACAGCTGAATTCTACCAGATATATGAAGAAGAGCTAGTACCAATCCTACTGAAATTATTCCAAAAATTCAAAGAGAAGGGACTCCTCCCTAACTCTCTAAAACCAGCATCACCCTGATACCAAAGACTGGCAGAGACACAAGAAAAAAAGAGAAAAATTCAGGCTAATATCTCTGATGAAGGTAGATGCAAGAATCCTCAGCAAAGTACTAGCTAACCAAATCCAGCAGCACATCAAAAAGTTAATTCACCACAATCAAGTAGGCTTTATTCCTGATATGCAAAGTTGGTTTAACATATGCCAATCAATAAACGTGATTCACCACATAAACAGAATAATAAAAACCTTTGATCATCTCTATAGATGCAGAAGAGGCCTTTGATAAAATTCAGCATCCCTTCATGTTAAAAAAAATCTTCAACAAATTAGGCATCAAAGGAACATACCTCAAAATAGCAAGAGCCATCTATGACAAACCCACAGCCAGCATCATACTGAATGGACAAAAGCTGGAAGCCTTCCCTTTGAGAACTAGAATAAGACAAGTATGCCCATTCTCACCACTTCTATGCAACGTGGTATTGGAATTGCTAGCCAGAGCAAATAAGCAAGAGAAAGAAATAAAAGGCTTCAAAATAAGAGAGGAAGTCAAACTGTGTCTCTTTATGATGTGTTTCTATACCTAGAAAACCCCATAGACTCTGCCAGAAGGTTTCTAGAACTGATAAACAACTTTAGTACAGTTACAGGATGCAAAACCAATGTGGAAAAATCAGTAGCATTTTTATACACCAATAACATTCAAGTTCAGACCTACATAAAGAACAAAATTCCACTTACAATAGCTTCAAAAAGAATAAAATACCTAGGAATATGCTTATCAAAGAAGTGAAAGATCTCTACAATGAGAATTACACTGCAGAAAGAAATCAGAGGCAACATAAACAAATGGAAAAACATTCCCTGCTCATGGATAGGAAGAATCAATATTGTTAAAATGACCATACTGCCCAAAGCAATTTACAGAGTCAATGCTATTCCTGTCAAACTGCCAATGTCATTTTTCACAGAATTAGAAAAAAGTAACCTAAAATTCATATAGAACCAAAGAGGAGCACGGACCATCAAAGCAATCCTAAGCAAAAAGAACAAAGCCGGGGGCATCACACCAACCAACTTCAAACTATACAGCAAGGCTACAAAAACCAAAACATCATGGTACTGGTATAAAAACAGACACATAAACCAATGGAACAGCATGGAGAACCCAGAAATGAAGCCACACACCTACAACCACCTGATCTCTAACAAAGTTGACAATAACAAACAGTAAAGAAAGGACATCCTATTCAATAAATGGTGGTAGGATAACTGTCTAGCCATAGGCAGAAGATTGAAATTGGACCCCTTTCTTTCACATAAGCAAAAATTAACTCAAGATAGATTGAAGACTTAACTGTAAGACCTAAAACAATGAAAACCCTAGAGGAAAACCTAGGAAATACCATTCTGCACATCAGCTTTGGCAAAGAATTTCTGACTAAGTCTCTAAAAGAAATGGGAACAAAAACAAAAATTGACAAGTGGGACCTGATTAAACAGTTTCTCCACAGCAAAAGACTGTCAAGAGAGTAAATAGACACCCTGCAGAATCAGAGACAATATTTGCAAAGTGTGCATCTGACAAAGGTCTAATATCCAGAATCTACAAGAAATCAGCAAGCAAAAAACAACCCAATGAAAAAATGGGCAAAAGACATTAAGAGACACTTCTGAAAAGAAGGCATGCATGCAACCAATATGAAAAAATGCTAATCACTGTACTACTCTGTTTTCATACTACTGCAAAGAACTACCTGAGACTGGGCAATTTACTAAGAAAAGAGGTTTAATTGACTCACAATTCTGCAGGCTTAACAGGAAGCATGACTGGGGGGCCTCAGGAAACTTACAATCATGGCAGAAGGGGAAGCAAGCACATTTTCCTGTGATAGCAGGAGAGAGAGAGAGAGAGAGAGAGAGAGAGCGCGCGAAGGGGGCAGTACCACACACTGTTGTTGTTTTTGTTTGTTTGTTTTTTTGTTGTTGTTTTTGTTTTTGAGATGAAGCCTTGGTCTGTCACCCAGGCTGGAGTGCAGTGGCACAATCTCCGCTCACTGCAACCTCCACCTCCAGGTTCAAGCGATTCTCCTTCCTCAGCCTCCTGAGTAGCTGGGACTACAGGCGTGTGCCACCACACCCAGCTAATCTTTTGTATTTTTAGTAGAGACAGGGTTTCACCATGTTGTCCAGGCTGGTCTTGATCTCCTGACCTCGTGATCTGCCCGCCTCGGCCTCCTAAAGTGCTGGGATTACAGGCATGAGCCACCACACCCGGCCCAACCACACACTTTTAAACCATCAGATCTAATAGGAACTCACTCGCTCATCACAAAAACAGTGAGGGGGAATCCACCCCCATAATCCAATAACCTCCCACCAGGCCCCTCCCCTGACACATGGGGATTACAGTTTGACATGAGATTTGGGTGGGGTTGCAGAGCCCAATCACATCAATTACTAATTATTAGAGAAATGCATATCAAAACCACAATGAGATATCATACCATCAGAATGGCTATTATTTAAAAGTCAAAGAACAACAGATGCTAGTGAGGTTACAGAGAAGAGGGAACAGTTATACACTGTTGGTAAGAATGCAAATTAGTTCAGCTACTGTGGAAAGCAGTGTGAAGATTTCTTAAAGAATTTAAAATAGAACTAGCATTTGACCCAACAAAATCCCACTATTGGGTATATATACAAAGCAAAATAAATTGTTCTCCCAAAAAGACATATGCACTTGTATGTTCATTGCAGCACTATTCACAATAGCAAAGACATGGAATCAACCAAGATGTTCATCAACAGTGGACTGGATCAACAAAATGTGATATATATATATATATAATGGAATGCTATGCAATCATAAAAGGAACAAGATCATGTCCCTTGCAGCAACACATATGCCGCTGGAGGCCAGCATCCTTAGTGAACCAGCCCAGAACAGAAAACGAAATATCGCATGTTCTCACTTATAAGTAAGAGCTAAACTTTGAAGACACGTGGACACAAAGATGGGGAAAATAGAACCTGGGGACTTGAACAGGGAAGGTGGTGGGGGTGTTGGCAGGAATGCTACCTTTCAGGTACTGTGCTCAGTACCTTAGTGATGGGATCATTTGTACACAAAGCCTCAGTGACATGCGAGTTACCTATGTAACAAACCTGCACATGTACCCCTGAACATAAAGTAAAAGTAGAAAAAAAATAAAAGACTGTGAATTAAGTTCTTGTTAAACACCAATAACTTTTTTCTAAGCTCTTTATATTCATGATTCCATTATGGTTATCCATTAGTTATTAACATTTATAAATTACCTTCCTTTAGGGTTCAGTCTAAGCAGTACACCACTATAAAGTTAACATTTCCAAACACTGATCTGAAAGGCTAAACATCTGGACTCTGGAGTTCAACAGTTCTAAGCTTAAAACACGACTCCACTATTTGCTAGGTGTGCAGTCTTGAATAACTGATGTGGCCAATCTTCAGCCTAAATTTTTGCAAGCTATATCAGTGTGGATGTAGTAATGAGTAGACCACTTGGGGTTGTTGTGAGAGGTACAGTAAATGAGAACATGCCTGCACATAATGTACTGAGTAAATATCAGTTAGTGTTTATGCAATGAGGGAGTCACTGCCTTGCCCAAAACTTCATTGCCTCAATTCATTCAAGAAAATAACCTCCTTACTCTGGCATTTAAAGCTTTCCGCTATTCACTCCCTACCTCTCCAGCCTTTAAACTGATGATCCTTTGCAGAAACCCAGTGCTTCCTGTAAGCTGACCATTGTCCCACATACACACTGTCTGTCACCACACTCGGCCTTTGTCTGTTTCTCCCCTCCTCATATCCAGGTTCTTCAGGGCCCAGCCTGTTAGTGTTTGTGAAGCCATCCCCAGCAAATCCTCATCTTTAACATGACCAATATTTCTAAACTCCTGAAGTTTGACAGCTTTTGCTGCTCAATGGACCATACTCAGCAGTAGACAGTAGCTCAGGATGGATAATTCTGTCTGTGCTTGGTCCACTCTCCCCTGACCTTTGTGACTGTAGGGCTGTGCCTCATCCCTCTTGCTGTGCCCCATGCCTAGCCCCCTGCCAGGGACATGCTTTCTTCTTGATGGAAAAACATACCTAACTTAGCTTCTTGATCTTTTTCAAGTTCATTTAAATATGTGTTTGTGTTTTTGTTTTTTTTCTTCCTTGATGATACTGATAACGTTCTCTACAGGAATAATGTTTATCCTATGAAACACTAATTATTTTCTTTCTTCTCAGGATGAACTGGACCTCACAGACAAACACAGAGAAGCCATGTTTGCACTTCCAGCTGAGAAAAAATGGCAAATATACTGTAGCAAGAAAAAGGTAAGATTTTCATTGTGATTATGGTTAACTGGAAAATAATCATTGATTCCATTTGCTCTTCCATTTCACCACTAGAATTGGACAGCTCTTTGTAATATGAAAACCAGATTGAATGTGTTATGTTGTGGCTGTGGTGCTACATGTAGCCAGTGTCAATTCCCTGGATGTTGTTTTTGTCAGTACTTCATTGGGCTCTTTTCCACCTGTAACCATCATTCATAATCATGTGTAACTGAAACCCAAAATAACGTTTGCTTACACAAGACAAATTCCCCCCAACCCTGCGCTTTACATACCAGTCTGTATACAGGTGGTCTAGAACCAGGTTTGGGGTCACAGCCCTCTAAAACCACCTTCTGACAACTTTCCATTTCATCATCTCTCTGGTGTAGCCCCATCCCATGCACCAAGGTGACTCTCCAGCCCCTTCATGTTCCAAACCAGCGATGGAAGAAAGGAAAGGAAGCACAGGCTCCTCCACTCCCACTTTGAGGGACACATTCCTGGAGTTACATGGCTGACTCTCTCTCGTATCCCACTGCTGGTTGCATGGCCACATCCACTGAAAGGACTAAAGTCTTTATTCTGGGCAGTCACTTCCCATTTAAGATCTAGGGGTTCTATTACCTCAAGAGATGGGGAGAATGGATATAGGGGACAGTGAAACACCAAAGCTCTTCTTATTCCCTAGTATCTGTGGCACCAGGCATCACTCCATGGTGACTGTATCTCCTGAAACAGAGTGCACTCTGCCAACTTTTAAACCCTGTAGCAGATTCTGAGGATATCCCTACACCCATTTTGGGGACTCCTTCTGTTCATGGCCACCTTTTGCCACTTTCTCTTCTGTTCCAACAGAGATTTAAACCAGAATGGGGTAGTGGGAAGGTCAAGGCTAGCACCTAGCTCTCCATCAGGCAGTGGACACTTTGATGACTCACTCTCGACCCAGGGAAACAGGAACAAACTATACAATAATCCAATATTTTTTCAAGACACCACTGTCAGGGAAGCCTTTTACTAGGTGAAACCAATATGCAGCTTGGGACCTCCATTGGCCCATGTGGCATCTCTCAGCACATCTGCCCCCCTTTGCTATCTTGTGTAATTGCCCTGTGCCACTCTCCTGGGAGCATCTTACATTACTCAATAAAGGGACTCTCTCTAGCAGTGAGCCTATGTGAGTGGCTCTCCACCTGACTTTATGCCTCTGATGAAGAGGCACCATGTCTTATCCATCTTTGTAACGCCAGCATCTGATACTTTGAAATGAATGCATGATGACTGAATCACTGCATTGTCATTAGTGTTACACTGAATACTGTCAAAAAATTTAAAGCACATTAATTTTCCAGCTGGGCAATTTTAATTGGTAGAACTATGTGTCAGATTCAGTTCTGGTGGCCTTTTCTGAGAAATGTGGTCAGCCTTAACCCCTCAGTATGATCTCTGAGCCTCTATCAGATTATTTCCAAACTAAAGCCTTAAGAGTTCTTAATCCAGTAGTAACCAGTAAAATGTCATTGTGAAATAAATGTCTTCCTCTCCTCTTCTGCCATTTCTCTTTGTATACATTGAACCAACTAGAAAACCTCTTTTTTATTGAACTGATTGTCATGGCTCAAGAAACAAATATAATACACTGAGAAGGAATTTTAAAATGGAATAAAATGTGCTCAGTTCTGAAACTGGTATTATATAGCCTTTGGAAACAAGGAAACTTTTCACACTGCCATCTTAAAAATCTGCTGCTAGAACCGAGAAAGAGAAATCCTCAAGTTGCGGGTATACACAGAGGACTTTGTCTATTTTGGCTCATCCTAGTGTAGATTCTTTCTGAAAATAAGGAAACAATACAAAGGAGGGATTGAGAATGTTCACTAGAGGAAAGAAAAGGGCAGGAAAATAGGAGCAGCTTACTGAAGGGAAAGTTTTCTTCTTTCCCAGATTTTATTACACCCTTGACAGCAATAGAAAGTTAATCATGGAAACTACTGCCCCTTAGATTAGAAAAGGCAAACCCTGGAGAATAGTAATGACCTCGGGCTTGCAGCTGCTGCTCATTTTTCAATTTCCACACCTATCGAATCCCCTTGAAAACCTCATCTCAAGTGTGCATGATGGGGGGTTTGCTTCTTGTAGGAGGATGGATATGGATGTGGTCACTGGCCTCAGAATCCCACTTTTTGACAGCTAGGCCTTTCTTATTAGTACCTGGCTGGATTGCACAGACCTTTGAGAATGCACTTCTCCTACTAGCTTCATTCCAACAGCTTGGCTTCCTTATATGACTTAGCAATCAGTGGGAAAGCCATTTTGACTCTTTAGGGAATCCCATGGGTTCTAGATTTGCCTCACTTTAAAATGGATGGTAGCATTGTTTCACCAAAGATTTTAATTTGAGCTTCTAACACTGTTAAAACTCTACTGTGCCTTTGGTCTGAAACTGAATTTTTGGTCACTGCAATAAATTGGGAAATACACAATGAATATGAGAACATGAAAACTGAACCAGGAGGAGGATATTATGTTTACCTCTCTTCAGAGAATGTAATTTCTTGAAGGACAGGTTGCCCATTCTCAGAATAGAGCCCCATAGTGGCCATCGTTAATATTAAGAACAGATTATTTTCCTTGGAACATCTCTCGCCTAGCCTTTTCAAATCAGGCTTATCACCAGCAAGCCAAGCCACATCCATTTCTCAGGCTGGAGGAAAGCTACACTCCCAGGGCTCTGTCACATTTCCCGTCTTTCAAGATTAGAATACAGGGCATTACAGACATTCTCACACATAGTAAAGTCATAGAGTAAGGGGCCACTGAAGCCAACCGAAACAGATGGCGTGAGTTGGTGAAAAGCAAACTTTCCATGTAAAAATGAACAGAAGTTGTGAAGGCCAATGAGCCTGGGACCTACAGACAGGGCCAAGCTTGGCTCAGCCCAGTGTCTGTTTCCCTGTCCAACAGCGACTTGAGTCCCGGCAGCAGCTATCTGCTTATCAAGCTCAGTGTTCATTTATGAAACTTCTCTATCTATATCTCTGGTTGAAAACCTATTTCCAGAGCCAAAATCAAAGCAGAAAATATTTCTCAGACTAAAACGATTCAAAAGAAGTTAATTGGAATTTTGTCTAATTGAGTAATCTTGGGGGAGCATAAGAGATGGATGTTGAGGCCTTGTTGAAAGTCCAAACAAATCTAAAACTTACCGGACTGGTTGGTCATCCTTGCTTTGTCATAGACAGCAATCCACTGTCATTTTTTTTTTTTTTACTTTCATGAAAGGTCCAAAAAGGGTTCTGTTAGTTGTGATGGGGTATTTTCAAATAGGAAATGTTTGTGGTTCTTATCTTTAAAGGTAATTCCCTTTTTTAGTTCCAATCACAACATACTCTTTTGTTTAAATGAGGTTTTTCCCAGTCTCTAGCCAGAAACTGCATCTGTTAACAATCTCTTGGATTTTAAACTGAAGCTTTTTAAACAATGAACCATCTGACCACAAAAAGGCGTCTGGCCATGCTGTATTTGCTTATTGTTAACATGATTTTTAAATCCTGGGAACAGTAAGGAGTAAGTCTTCAGAGAGGAGAAAATAAAGTGGGTGTATACATGTATTATGCTGACAGCAATCTTATCAGCACAGGAAGAAATCATCTTTAATTGCTGTTCTGCTCAGAAGCAAATGTACAAGTTGTGTCACTTAACCAGTCCTTATTAGTATCCAGAAAAATACTTGTACCCCTTCTTGGGCTTCAGAGTTTGCCAAGTAAGTAAATGGGAATATAGACACTGCTAGCTGTGATGACAGCAGATATTTGAGGCAAAGATCAGGATTTGATGATTGTGCCTAATTTTTCCTGCTTAGTTTCTGATCTCTAAAGCCAAGGCTTAAGTAAATGGTATTAGATTGTTCATATTACATTTCTGTATGTGTTGAGGTCTACTTTGGGGAAGGTGAATTTTTACTCTGCTGCTGAGTGTGTTTGATTCTAACTTAATTAAATCATTCAGTAATCTTGCCTGTCATGGCTGCAGCTCAGCTATCATGATTTCTGCAAACTGCTGATCTGGTGCTAGGTACATACTGAAGACATCTAAGGAAAGTGGCTGGAAGTTCAGCTAGTACTTTTCATTTATTCCTTAATTTGGTTTGTATACCCTGATTGGATCAATTCCTGACTCTTCCCCACAAAAAGAAATTCGTCCACCACACGTACAAAAAGATTAAAGTTGTATTGTGTGTGGCCATTGGGATGCAGTTCTTTCAGTTCCTGGAGAGCTGAAGCCCTCCTGTGTTTCCAGTGCTGGAGAGGCAGTAGCTTGATCAAAACACAGATTTACACAGATTTAAAGAAACACGTGTTAAAGTAGTGGAATTAAAGTCAAAAGAAACCATCCATTTTCTACACAAAGTAGCTGGAAAAGGAGGAGACGAGATGAGACATCGGTCTTCTAGTTCTTCCCAATATCTTTGTGAGAAAAGGGGTAAACTGGGAAGGGAAGCAGTGGCTGGGCACTGGGCCTGAAGATGTGAGAGGGAAGAGAAGTTAGATGTCTTCTTTCTTTTACTGTGGTTGATTAAATATACAGTAAAGTGAGCATTGGATTTCCAGGGACCCACTTTGCTAGGTGTTAAGATTTGGGAGAGGGAACCAGTAAAAGTAAAAAAACTAGACTTCAGTGACAGTATTACTAGACTTCTTCAGAAGTACCTGGTTTAGTCTTCTGCAATTGAGTTTTCAACTCCAGTGATGGGTTCAAACTGGCATTTCTGCTCTTATGTGATAAGAGCTTACAGAAAGTGGCAGAAGTAGCAATGATTAGAAAGAAATTTGTCTGCCTTTCCTCCCTACCTCTCTAAAGGCTATATAAGGGAAGCACAGTAGCTGCAGGACAACCAGCTTTCTAGACTCTGCAGGCTCTGAAATTATCTGTCTTATCTACATAGTCCCTGGCATTGAGAGATGAGGATTTGTGTATAAGCCCAGATTGAAACAGTAAGAAATAACAAGCTTGGAGTATCTGGTGTTTCACTCACCAAAGCAATGCAGTTGGTGAAGGGCAAGGCAAGTTAGTGTGTGATTTGTTTGATGTGTATTGAGTATCTTCTCTGGGGCAGAGAAAACTAGACAGAGAATCTAGACTCTTGGTTAGATTCTGAGGATTAAAAAAATAAGCCAAATTTCTTGGAGTGGATGGTCCTGGTAGGAGAAGCAGATAGAATCAAATAGTAATCAAATGTTGTCATAAGCTCCATAAAAGGGTAAGCAGACAGGCTCTGGGGCACAGAGGAAGGAGAAACCAACCTCTAGGAGTGTGTGTGTTTGACTGAGACAACCATTCTTTTACCACTTTGACCCACCATTGGTTACAGCAGTGAGAGTTGATGTTGTGCTTTGATCCCGTGATCTAGAAACTGGCTCCTTTTTCAACATTTGAGCTGTGTTCACATGCACTGTACACTTTCCTCTTTGATTTCTATTTTGTTTCTGTCCCTTTTGCCATTGCTTAAAAGGTCAAGTTTGGACGATTGACCAAATCTAATCTTTACTAAACACAATTTGTAGAGCCTGTTAGGAAATCTGTAAAAGGCTTGAACTTTTGAACAATGAAGTCAGTGCAGGGGAAGACTAAAATAATTGAGGCTTGTTTAGTCTGAGAAAGAGAGAGTAAGATGGAAACTCCAACACTGGCTGATGTTCAGTGGATATGCTCCAGTGAAACTGTATTACTGGTCAAAATATTACCAAATGCCAGTTGGTCAACAGGAGCTGCCCCAAGCCCTCCCAGTAAAAACCACCCTGCCAATCTGGCCCTTCTCCCAAGGGCCCACCATTCTTCCCCCATGATTCTAGGACTGAAGGGCTAACTCCTGGCATGGCACAGCCAGGAACTTTGCTGCCCTGTTCCCACATTGCATCACTGGTTCTTATTCATGGATGCCCTTGTTATACTGGTTGACCAACATTTTGAACATTGACCTGCAGATGTTTACCAAAGCCATTTGGTAACGTGTGTCCAGAGCTTGGAACATTCCTATTCCAGAAAGTGATAAGAGATGCAGAAGAGGAATTATGTGCGAGAATGTTTTTGGCAATGTTGTCTCTAAAAGCCAATGACTGTAAACAACTTAGAGGAGGATAGCTACACTATAGCCATAGTCATACTATGTATGCAGACAGCAGAGCATTTTGCAGCCAGTGAAAAGTCATGTTTCTAAAGAAATTTTAATGACATGGGAATCTGCTCAGTATGTAATGGCAAGATTTTTAAAAAGATACAGTAGTCTCCTCCCCTCCCTCCGTGGTTTTGCTTTCCGTGGTTTCACTTATCTGCAGTCAACTGAGATCCAAAAATAAGTGACTACAGGACAATAAGATATTTTGACAAAGAGAGAGACCGCACTCACATAACTTATATTACAGTCTATTGTCATTATTGTTCTCTTTTATTATTACTGTTGATAATCTCTTACTGTGCCTAATTTATAAATTAAATTTTATCATAGGTATGTATGTATGGAAAAACAGCGTATATAGGGTTCAGTACTATCCAATCTGAAGTTTCAGGCATCTACTGGGGGTCTTAGAATGTATCCCCCATAGATAAGGGGGGACTACTGTGTAAAACTTTGTAATTAGTATAATCAAATATCTGCCAAAGTGTATATAAAGAGGTAGGTGGACAGAAAAATAATTGTGAGCTTGGATTGTGGGTGATTCCAAATTTTATGAAGCATGTTATTCTCCCTCTTACCTTAAAATAGTTTTTTCTGGTTGCAAAAAATAAAATTGTTCTGTTTAAAAATTCATGCAATGTATTTTATATTAGGTTTTAGCCAGAGAAGCGGGACCACTGGGACATGGTCTGTTTCTCTGTCTCAATGGTTGTGGTTCAGCTTAGCCAACTTGAACCTTACAAAGCCACCACATATTTCCATTAAAATTAGGAGGAAAAAATAAATATTTAAAATGCAGCCAGTGCTTGTGTTGTCAAGACAATGTTGGCATATTTTTTCTTTGTCCAGCTCAATCTCTCTCTCTCATTGTCTCTCACTTTTTACTCTTCCCCAGAGGGAGTAAAATAAAGATTAATCCATAAACCACCCAGTTTTTTTAAGCACCGTTTACCTGTTTAGGCAATGACTCTGAAAACATAGTGGCCCTGATGAGATGCCCTCGGTTTTCTGCCCAGAAACCCACTGAGGGCATGTTTCTCATTGTCCTTGCATTCCTAAATGCTATAATCTCAAAGCTAGTGATCCATTTCCTTTCTTTATTTCCTTTTTATTGCAAAAAAGTCAGCACTATTAAAATGAACACCAAATTTTAGATTTGAAGTGTGAAATACTGTTCATTCAAAGATTCTCTGCCTCTGACAGTCAAATCAATGTTAGGTTATAGTCTAACAAAAGGCAATTGGTTTTTGAATATTTATTTGCCTCCTCTTCCTCTAATTCCTTTGTTTAATGATACCAGTGTTGGGTATTATTTTTGTTTTCCTGTCAGCTTTACCACTTGGGTCATTCCAGCTGTGTCCCTACAACCACCCCTGCCTTGTGTATCCAGAATGGTCTTGTGCTCACAGTGTGCATTTTCATAAATGTTGCTTCTCGTAGATGCCCATTCTCCTTAACGAGGCAGCAGTAAGTAAATGTACTCATAGGTTGAACCAAAACATTAGCTGTCTTTTCTCTTTGGTGCTTGGAGAATTGAATAAATCTGCAATATTGTGGACAAACTTTTGGAGCCATCTGTTGGGGTATAACATTCTGGTTCTGTAGAGTCCTCCTTAGGGATGGATCTTCTCCAAAAGCCTTTCAATCTAGGTATCTGCATGTAGCTTTCCTGAATTACGTTTGTTCCTCATAATTGTTCCAAACTATAGTATGATGTATGTGTAATACAATTTTTTCTAAGATAAATAGAAGCCAAATAAATACTTTGCATAGTTAAAAGCCATCTAAAAGGTAATCTTAGAAGGGAGGATACCATTTACTAGTTGTATGACCTGGGGCATGTTAACCTTTCTAATTTCTCGCTCCTCTGTAAAATGAGATTAACTTTATGGGGTTTTAGTGAAAATTAAATGTAATAATATGGTTTAGTACTTATCAGAGAGCTTGGAGGCATGGTAACATTAGCTGTTGTCATAGTCAATGGTAACAATGGTGACTATGCTTGTAATAGTATGAACTGAGTTTCTGCTTGTTCACCCATATGCTGACCTGGGATTAATCTCCATTTTCTTGAGTGATGTTGATGTCTGGTTTTCTCAGAACAATAGTGATAATTTCAAAAGTGTTGAACGGCAGGATATTTCAGAGGCAGAAATACTAAGTTAGGAGGTTCTATTATAGATAAGGGAAGAGACTGAGAAAGTCACTATGCTCAGCACCAGAAGCTGGTAAAAGGAGGACTTATTTGGCAAAAGTTCTAGGGCAGTGGTGAACAAAATGCAGTCTGTTGGCTTCTGGGTGGGACCCTGGACCTGATTTCCAGAATTAAGGAACACCCTTAATTTATATTTGGGAAGTCTCTGGTCCAGAGAAAGTCAGCCTGCACTGCACTTTTTTTCCTCTTAGCCACGTGCCCTCCACAGTGCTTCAGCATGCTACTGACCAGGTGTAGCCCATGGAGGAGCTCACACAAGTGGGTTTGCTTGGCAAGCAGTTGTCAACACCAACTGAAGTCAAGTCTGGAAAAGTGGGTATGTGTGAGTTTAGCCACTTTTTAAATAAAAATTAAATTCCTACTCTGCTGCCTAGAAAAGGTAGGTGGTTGATGAATATCTTAAGTTTTGAAATAAGAGTATTTTTTGATGAAAACATTGCTGCTGCTGTTGTTTGCAATGGGGGAAAATCCCTTTATAGGACCCAACACAAAGAGAATTCATTAAGTAAGCTAATTTTTACAAATAAGTAAGTTATTAGGTTGGAGTGAGCCAGATTTACAAATGCCCTGTTAAGCCACAAAATTTGCTCAAAGTTGCAGCATTGTAATTCAATAGAGCATTCTAGCTGTGTTATTTCTGAAGTGAACAAAACTTCAGTGATGGAAAGATAATAAAATAACGTTTCAGCACATTTGCAGATAATGTTATTATTAGAAGTCTTAAACCTAATTACCAGAGCAATCATTCTAGGTTCCAATAAGTTGACACTCTCAAAATTTCTAAAAGAAAAAACTAACCTCTGATAACTTTCCTCTCAAGTCATGAGGTAAACTGTTGCTTTCTGTTTGATTAATTTTTATTGTGAAAACGTTAAATATACAAAAAAGTACAGAATATAATAAATACCCATATTTAACAAATGCTAATAACATTTTACCATATTCACCTCAGATTTTTTTTAAAAAAGAAATAAAACATAAATATAGTTGAAGCCCAAAGGTGACTGCTCTTCTGAAAGTGGTTTGTGTTTCTGTCTTTTACTTACCCATATATTTATAGCCTAACTCCATGCGCATTTATTCCTAAACAATATATACTGTTTCTCCATTTTAACTGGTTTATAGTATTGCATTTTATGAACATGCCACAGTTTATTTTTATCCCCATTAGACCATGCTTATTTTCAGTTTTTCTTACTATTTAAAAAATATTGTGATGAACATGTTTGTGCATATGTTCAAGAGTTTATCTAGAATAGACACCTAGACATGTAGTTATTGAGTTGTTTGATATGAACATTTTCACCTTTAATTGCTCTTCAAAGTGGTTATAATAACTTATACCTGCAGTGAATTAGTTGTCAACCATGTGAAGATACTGTCTGAGGGAAGGAAACTAATATCTCATTGCTCGATCAATCATTTTATGAACGTTTAAATGTTTCCAGCATAAGAAACTGTCATTAAAGTTTTTCAGTTTTTTCCCATCTGTCTCACAAATCAAATTGATGTAAAAATTACTGTAATATAAAGTGCTCATTAAAAACAAAAACTCAAGGTTTAGAAAATGAAAAGTATTCTATTCAAATACATACAAAGCCATACAAAAGTACAAAATATTAGAAGTATATTGAGGTCTAGATGAGTGAACCCTACACAGAGCAAACCAAATAAATATTGAACGAATTGTTCATATCGTTCAAATGAACAATTTGCTTAATATTTATTTGGTTTGCTCTGTGTACAGTTCACTCTTCCTTTCATCTAGACCTGTTTGCACCCTGATTTCCAGACCAGGCAAATTGTGTTTCCATCTTTAGCAAGCTCTTGACTGATATTTGCCATCACTGAACACAGGAAGTTCCTCTGAGGCATTTGCCACTTCCCTGGTTGGTGACTAAAGTGCAGGTGCAGAATCAGCACATCTGCACAAGCGAGCAGATGGACTGTTGCTGGGGCTCACGCAATCAGCCCCTTCTTCCTCTAGCCAAAGCAACTTTATCTCGAGCATTTCTTTATAAAGATTTTGAGACTCTCTCCTCTTCCTCGATTCCTTTGGATATTCAGAAGTTGAGAGGTCTAACTTGCTGTCTATCCCCCATTCCTAAATTTTGAGCTCGTTTCTACAGACAAGTCAATTTATGGATTTGGGGTTTGTTGATTCCTTAGCCTGAAAATACTTTGTTCTTCACAGAATTGTAAAAGCAGTGAAAAATGTGTGTGCTTTGTGGATACCATCTCTCCTTGTGCTTTCTAATACATGTTGAGTATCCCATATCTGAAACTTTAAAATCTAAAACTTTTAAAGAGAGTGCCAACATGACTCTCAAAAGAAATGCTCATTGGAGCATTTTGGATTTTAGATTTTCAGATTTTTGGATTAGGAAAGATGAACAGGTAGATATACTGCAAATATTCCAAAATCTGAAAGAAGAAAATCCAAAATTTGAAACAATTCCGGAATATCCAAGCACTTTAGTTAACCCAAACTTGCATTTCTTTAGTGAGTAACACCCTTTTACTGAAGGTCTTGCACTCCCTGTAACTGGGGAACACCGGGCTGGAAGAGAGTAGAAGAGAATGTCCTTGTGTTTGTGTTCACTTGTAATCCAACAATAACAAAAATAAGTTAGCAATATACAGCTGAGAAAAAGTAAGACAGATTGGTTGGACAACCCAATTAATGGGGAGTCATGGGGAGCATGAAGGTAGTGTGTCCTATGGAGCTCTCTTTTTCCCTCTCAAGTAGGGGTTAGAGAAGCAACTCCCTCAGCATTCACTCAGGGCTTGTCACTCACGCCTGCATTGGTGCTGCACCATGGGAAGAATGCTCCTGTCTTGGCTCCAATCCCTGGAGGAGACTTGGAACATAAGCTCTGAATGGCAGTCCTGGAGGACAGTGGTTCTCGACTCCCACAGAACAGCAATCTTTGGCCCCCAAGTTATTCTTTATTTTTTATTTTTTTATTTTTGAGATGGAGTCTCACTCTGTCACCCACACTGGAGTGCAGTGGCGCAATTTCAGCTCACTGGAAACTCCACCTTCCAGGTTCATGTAATTCTCCTGCCTCAGCCTCCCGAGTAGGTGGGATTACAGGTGTCCATCACCACGCCTGGCTGATTTTTGTATTTTTAGTAGAGATGGGGTTTCACCATGTTGGTCAGGCTGGTCTCGAAGTCCTGACCTCAGGTGATCTACCCGCCTTGGCCTCCCAAAGTGCTAGGATTACAGGCATGAGCCACCGTGCCCAGCCAGCCTCTAAGTTATTCTTAAGCAGGTTCCTTTTAACAGCTCTGGTGCAAGTCAAATTTGGCTGTGTGTCAGTTGCCAAGGTAGGAGTCCGTGACTATCTTTGAGCCCTCCGTGGTTGTCACAGAATGTTTATCAACAGTGCTATGGTGGAACCAAGATTCTAAATGTGACTGTGCGAGGCCCTTTGAACCCCTTGCCTGTGTGTGTTAAGGAACAAGGGCATAGCTCCATTTCATTTCCAAAATCTGCAAATGCAGAATTTCACTAGGCATGAAAATGGACTCCTATAGTGTCCTGTGAAACTCAGAGTGAGTTTCTTTGCAGAGTCTGAGCAGATAGTTTCAGTAATCTGAGTAAATAGTCTCTGATGTGTATCTCACGTCTGAGAATTCATAAGTAGCTATTCATTCTGGTTACCACCACCCCAGTGGTCCCCTGAGGGACATACAACACAGTAGTTGTGCTAGAGTGATGCATACCTTTTGTTACAGCATTCCTTAGAACTGTGGCTTCCTGCCCTGGTTAGCGATGGAGTACTAATAACCTCAAGCAAAACTGGCATAAAGGTTTATTTTGATTGCTAGCTCTGAACAATTGGGGGTGGATGCCTGGAGCACTTTGGGAAGCATTCAGAGGTTATGAATGATCTCAATAAGAAATAGGGCCAGGTGCGATGGCTAACGCCTGTAATCCCCGCACTTTGGGGGGCCAAGGTGGGTGGATCATTTGAGGTCAGGAGTTCGAAACCAGCCTGGGACCCAACGTGGCGAAACCCCATCTCTACTAAAAATACAAAAATTAGCTGGGCATGGTGGCGTGTGCCTGTAATCCCAGCTACTCGAGAGGTTGAGGCACGAGAATTGCTTGAACCCAGGAGGCGGAGGTTGCAGTGAGCCAAAATTGCACGACTGTACTTCAGCCTAAGTGACAGAGTGAAACTATGTCTCAAAAATAAAATAAATAAAATAAAATAAAATAAATAACAGCATCTGCCGTGACACATGATGGAGAATGTGGCTTATGTGGGAAATATTTGTTATCCCTGTCCTTGAAAGCTCCTCTTACCACTGGATTATAGTCAGATTCAAGTACCATATTCCATGCTGTCTTTCCTTTGAGCTTCTCTCTGGTTCTTGGCTGACTCTCCAAATGGTATGGCCCATACTTTCACAGAAAGACTGCCCCAAGGCTGCCTGACTTCACCAACTCCAACTCCAGAAGATAGGATTATGAAAGACATCAATATGGAAAGAAATGGCCCCTTTAGAAGCTATATCAAAGAGGAACAAAAAACACGTTTCCTGTGTCTTTCCTATATATATTTTTTCACTAATAGCTCCAGCACACCTAGTACTATTGAATCATTCCATTCTTTGCGCATTTCAGAATTTCTCCTCTTTGTAGAGTAGAGAGAAGCTTTGAGCTTCTAGTATGTTAGAATGTGCCACTAATAATTTGGGATTCTCAAAATTCCTTACACTTTAGGAACCTGGTAACTTGTGGCACTAGAAATGGGTTACAGTAGAGTCTACCAAAGAATACCACCCTTAAGTTACAGTGTCTTAAATTCTGTTATTCTTCAGCGTGGTACAGAGCAACATTGACTTGTGTAGTATCCTTTTATCTGTCCCCATACATAAGGAAAAGCATTTTGTTTTTTCAGTTTCTGAGAGGTACTTCCCTATGTCCCATATTGAGATGTTTCTGATACAGTGGTATCTTCTAACTAGTGCTTTTGTTTCTTTCTTTTGCCAAAAATGCTGTCATTAATTCATGAGTACATTGTAGAGTTTATGGTGGTCTAAAATTAGGAATACAGTTCCTAACTGTCCTCAGGGACAGTTAACCTTGCATTAGCACTTTTTTCTCATTCTGAGGATGCATCCCTGAATGGCATATGCCTTTATGTGCTTACTGTTACCCCTGATTCTCCTTTTAGCTTAATTACTCTTTTCCAAAGGGTCCTCTCTTGTTATAGCCTTGTGTTAAACATTATATTGCAAATCATAAACACACTTTGATTGTTTTCCCAAGGGCTGGTTACAGAACATCAAAACCTACTTTATGACATTCTGAAAGGTGGGTCTGGTAGCTACAAATGTGGTAGCAAGATGTGAGGCAGCAAAGGCCATTGACACCACTGATTGAATTTGCACGATACATAAGGGTTTAGCGTTGTGTGTCCAAATATGTTAATTTACAAACCAACTGGACCACATTGTACCTGGGTCTTTAGCACTCCATGGTGACATGTGGATCAAAGATTTGGCTCTTAACAAGCTATGTAGGAATAATTTGTTTTATGTCATTGCACACTGTTGTGTCATAGGCACAGTGCCTGCCTGCAGGGGAATGTGGGGTTGTATCATTTCTGAAACTAATAATTGGAGAATATTTCTTTTTCTTTGCCATGAAACTGAGGGGGAGTTGTCATATAAATTGGTTTCAGATGTTGGAGTTGTACTGCTTGAGAATTTTAGGCTTCAGTCATATGCCATGCTGTGAAGTGCTTTGCCAAAATAATGACTTGTTAAAATAAATAAAGTAAGTGTCTCATAGTTTGGGAAGTGGACTGTAAAATCTCAGTTCTTAGTTCTAGCTAAGTGTTGTGGCTGCTTTCTCAGATATACCAGGTGCACATAAAATGTATTCCCCCACATCCCCTCTAACCACCCCCCAACTCCTTGTAAAGTCAGCTGAGGCTTGTTCAGGAAAGAAGAGGGTGTTGGAGCAGAGGGCTCCTGAACCCTTACAGAAATGCGGTGATATTGTTGCTCTTCTCTTTGCTGCTCTTCCCCACAGGGTGACTAGGTCTCTGTAAAGTGGCACTCTTTTCTTGCTTTTCTTGCTTTTCTGGGTGTGTGATTTTGGGGAGGACATAAATAATAGCTATGTGCTATTTCATTCAGGCCATTCAGAAACTCTGATTTTTACCAGTGTAAATAAAGTTTGTGATATATGGAAAATATTAATGTGACATTTTGTGCTCTCAAGGAAATGTCTCAAAGGATTTTTTCCCAGGGGAGTTCAGGAATGCTTGCACTGTATCTTTACTTTGAAGTTAGAGATCCATTGATAAAAACCAGGGCTTAGTTAAAAGGCAGGAGAGTTAATGAACACTTGACTGTTGTTTTTTTTTTAACATGATGACCAGAGAGAGTGAAGTATTTAAATAGGCATACTTTTTTGTAGCTATACTTGCAAAGACTTAGAACCTATTGTTGGAGTAAACTTGGAATCTTCTCAGAACCTCTCAACTCTAAAGTTCAGAAATGTGTAAGTCTAGGAACTGCTAAGTCTGTCTCAGGGATCACTCACAAGGAGAGCAGGGAACTTTGTTCTTTTATTCATGTATTCCAACACCCAGAATAGTGCTTAGCTCATTATATAATAGAATTCAATAAATATTTGTTAGATGAGTAAAGGAATGAGAAGGAAAGCAAATGCCTTTTTAGATTCCATTCAGCATTGTAGATATGAGCTTAGTGAAAACAATTCTGCTCCTATCCTGCCCTTGAGAAGCCTTATGTTTAGCAGCATAGTATTAATGCTATCACAGAGTTTGGCTGTCTACACAAGTATTTAGATTTTAAAATGCTGCCGTGTCTTTGGGAGATTTAGTAGACTGTGTGTTACTCTAACATGGCATCCAGCTCTAAACCAAACTGTTAGGGAGCAGCAGTTGAGTATAGCCTCTTTTCTGGCTGGAGGGTCTAACCTCACTGAGTTCACAGCTTTTTTTTTTTTAATCAATAATGCAGGAAGACTTAGTAATACCCCAAATACTTAACCAACAAATTCCTGAGGGGGATAGAGGACCAAGTGCTCCCTTCCAAGGGAGGTGGAATGGAATGGTCAGGAGCTTAGTGGTCTGAAGTTTGAGACTCAGTGATGCACAGATAGAAACCATACCATGCAGCCTAGGCAAGGCAACAGAAATACACAGAATTGTGGTGTAATGGTCAGAATGGGGTAGGTGTTCTTGAGCAAGAGCTTTGGGCCAGCCTGGGCATTTAGGTAATTTAGATGCGAGGAGTCTGGAGCAGAGTATTAGTCATGCAGTGTGGCCTCTGCATTATACCTTTATAGATTGTGTTTTCTTCAACCAGGAAGTACTAGTCATGCATCTTTTGTTTTGCTAAGCTGCAGTTATAGTGAAATGGAGTAAATATCAGATAGACTAAATATCCTGTCTATAGCACTCTTAAGAGTCATCTCTACTTTTGTCTCAAGCTTATTTCACAAATCTGTAAATTATTTTTTTAAAAACCTGATAGCACTTCCAATGGTTCTTATCCATGAAATGCAAATTGAGTCTGATACAATTGACTGTTGCCCTCTTGGCCAGTTTTGCATCTGTTTGTAAACTCTTTCAAACATCATGATGCTAATCATAAGTCTACTCCTTGGGTTCTCCTTTGAACCAGTTGTAACATCTTCCTAGTTCTCTCATTTATTAGCAAGTTTAGTAAAAAATATTTGACATGGATTCATGCCATGCTTTTAAAAAATTATTCTTTACCAATACAGAATTTTAAACTTAGAGAATTGATAAAGAGGGAGCTAACTGATTCTACGTGATCTGAAATCTTCAAGTATATTTTATTTTTGAATACGTGATATGGTAGCAAGAGGCTTTCTCTGGGCAAACGTGGCATTTTGTATTGGCTCAACTAGTCTTTCTACCTGCATAAACCAAAGAAAAGGAAGGAGCAGAGCCCTGGGGGGTCAGAGGAGGTATCAGGCTTCATATGCATACATGGAAAAAATTCCTATGATATGTGAACGGATGGTTATACAGGAGAATAGTGGAGATAGCAAAAGTCATCTGGAGGTGTAAAAAACAATGCTCTAAAGGGACTTAAATGTCCCCCCAAATTTCTTGACAGCTGGCGAGTCGAGGTCCTATTCATGTAGTTTCAATTTTGTTAACCTAGATTTATGTTTTAGATGTGAAGCATCCTCAGTCTTATAATGAGAAAACCCATTTTGCTATTTAGTTTACGGCCAACTTTGTTAAAATATGTATACTTAATAAAGCAAGGACTAAACAAGTTTCCCTCCACTTAATATGACGTGTCTTTTATTCTAAGTCATAAATGTTATCTGTGAGGACTATCAGGAGAGTGAGAGCTTGTTCTTTTTCTTCTTGGAGAGACATTTTGGATAGAAATCTTCCCTCTCAGTAGAGTTTGTATAGAACTGTGAATGACTAATACAAATATGTGAAAATAGTCCTTTTATAGGAGCTTAGTTATGTTTGTTAAAGTTATCCCTGCAATTAATGGACATGAGGGTATGATGAACTTATAGAAAATTTGAGATTTGTTTATGAATTGAGGAAGATAAACTTGTGTTATATGGCCAGTAGAGAATTTCTGGCTTGTAAAAGGGAAGATTTGGGGAGGATATAATCACTTTATTCAAATTGTTTAAATATTTGCTGGGTCATTGTTCATAGGAGAGATTAAACTTATTCCATGCAGTTCCCAGGGACCAAACAAAAGCCAACAAGTGCTTGAAGTTACAAGGAGACATCTGTCAATTCAGTGTCCGGTGAATTTTTTAACAGTTCATGAGAGTGCTAGTTCCAGAAGATTGTGGACCTCTGGAAGCCTTCTCAAGAGCAGATGATGGATCACCTGCTGGTAACCTTATAAGGGACCCCTGTGAGAGGAAACTCAGCCCAGGTTGTCTCTAGGGTCAAAGACCAGTTATATAATCCTGTGA